>NC_000003.12:44555454-44858484 GCF_000001405.40 Homo sapiens | reverse complement strand
ACCCATCACACGCGCATTACTATCCCATTAAAACCTAATCACCCTTACCCTGCTCAATGCCAGTATCCCATCCCACAACAGGCTTTAAGGGGATTAAAGCCTGTTATCACTCGCCTGCTACAGCATGGGCTTCTAAAACCTATAAACTCTCCTTACAATTCTCCCATTTTACCTATTCAAAAACCGGACAAGTCTTACAGGTTAGTTCAGGATCTGCGCCTTATCAACCAAATTATTTTGCCTATCCACCCTGTAGTGCCCAACCTGTACACTCTTTAGTCCTCAATACCTTCCTCCACAACTCACTATTCCATTCTTGATCTTAAAGATGCTTTTTTCACTATTCCCCTACACCCCTCGTCCCAGCCTCTGCTTTTACCTGGACTGACCCTGACACCCATCAGTCCCAGCAGCTTACCTGGGCTGTACTGCCGCAAGGCTTCAGGGACAGCACTCATTACTTCAGCCAAGCTCTTTCTCTTGATTTACTTTCTTTCCACCCTTCTGCTTCTCACCTTATTCAATATATTGATGACCTTCTACTTTGTAGCCCCTCCTTTGAATCTTCTCAACAGGACACCCTCCTGCTCCTTCAACATTTATTCTCCAAGGGATATTGGGTATCCCCCTCCAAAGCTCAATTTCTTCTCCATCCGTTACCTACCTCGGCATAATTCTTCATAAAAACATACGTGCTCTCTCTGCCGATCATGTCTGACTGATCTCTCAAACCCCAACCCCTTCTACAAAACAACAACTCCTTTCCTTCCTGGACATGGTTGGATACTTTCGACTTTGGATACCTGGTTTTGCCATCCTAACAAAACCGTTAAATAAACTCACAAAAGGAAATCTAGCCGACCCTATAGATCCTAAATCTTTTCCCCACTCCTCTTTCCGTTCCTTGAAGACAGCTTTAGAGACTGCTCCTGCACTAGCTCTCTGTGACTCATCCCAACCCTTTTCATTACACACAGCCAAAGTGCAGGGCTGTGCAGTCGGAATTCTTACACAAGGACCAGGACCGCGCCCCATAGCCTTTTTGTCCAAACAACTTGACCTTACTGTTTTAGGCTGGCCATTATGTCTCCGTGCAGCGGCTGCTGCTGCCCTAATACTTTTAGAGGCCCTAAAAATCACAAACTATGCTCAACTCACTTTCTACAGTTCTCATAATTTCCAAAATCTATTTTCTTCCTCCCACTTGATGCATATACTTTCTGCTTCCCGACTCCTTCAGCTATCCTCACTCTTTGTTGAGTCTCCCACAGTTACCATTTTTCTGGCCCGGACTTCAGTCCGGCCTCCCACATTATTCTGGATACCAAACTAGACCCCCATGACTGTATCTCTCTGATCCACCTGACATTCACTCCATTTCCCTATATTTCCTTCTTTCCTGTTCCTCATCCTGATCACACTTGGTTTACTGATGGCAGTTCCACCAGGCCTAATTGCCACTCACCAGCAAAACAGGCTATGCTGTAGTATCTTCCACATCTATCATTGAGGCTACCGCTCTGCCCTCCTCCACTACCTCTCAGCAAGCCGAACTCACTGCCTTAACTCAGGCCCTCACTCTTGCAAAAGGACTACGTGTCAGTATTTATACTGACTCTATGCCTTCCATATCCTGCACCACCATGCTGTTATATGGGCAGAAAGAGGTTTCCTCACTACGCAAGGGTCCTCCATCATTAAGGCCTCCTTAATAAAAACTCTTCTCAAGGCCGCTTTACTTCCAAAGGAAGCTGGAGTCATACACTGCAAGGGCCACCAAAAGGCATCAGATCCTATCGCTCAGGGCAATGCTTATGCTGATAAGGTAGCTAAAGAAGCACCTAGCCTTCCAACTTCTGTCCCTCATGGCCAGTTTTTCTCCGTCTCATCAGTCACTCCCACCTACTTTCCCACTGAAACTTCCACCTGTCAGTCTCTCCCCACACAAGGCAAATGGTTCTTGGACCAAGAAAAATATCTCCTTCCAGCCTCACAGGCCCATTCTATTCTATCGTCATTTCATAACCTCTTCCATGTAGGTTACAAGCCGCTAACCCGCCTCTTAGAACCTCTCATTTCCTTTCCATCGTGGAAATCTGTCCTCAAAGAAATCACTTCTCAGTGTTCCATCTGCTATTCTGCTACTCCGCAGGGATTGTTCAGGCCCCCTCCCTTCCCTACACATCAAGTTTGGGGATTTGCCCCTGCCCAGGACTGGCAAATTGACTTTACTCACATGCCCCGAGTCAGGAAACTAAAATACCTCTTGGTCTGGGTAGACACTTTCACTGGATGGGTAGACACCTTTCCCACAGGGTCTGAGAAGGCCATCACAGTCATTTCTTCCCTTTTGTCCGCCATAATTCCTGGGTTTGGGCTTCCCACCTCTATACAGTCCGATAACGGACCGGCCTTTATTAGTCAAATCACCCAAGCAGTTTCTCAGGCTCTTGGTATTCAGTGAAACCTTCATACCCCTTACCATCCTCAATCTTCAGGAAAGGTAGAACGGACTAATGGTCTTTTAAAAACACACCTCACCAAGCTCAGCCTCAACTTAAAAAAAAAGAACTCTCAAAAATAGAGCCCAAAAACTCACCAACCAACCAATCAATTACACTAAATCCCCTTGGATGCTCTCTAATTGGATGTCCTGCGTCCTCCCAATTCTTAGTCCTTTAATATCTGTTTTTCTCCTTCTCTTATTTGGACCTTGTGTCTTTAGTTTCTCAATTCATACAAAACCACATCCAGGCCATCACCAATAATTCTATACGACAAATCCTCCTTCTAACAACCCCACAATATCACCCCTCACCCCAAAATCTTTCTTCAATTGAATCTCTCCCACTGTAGGTTCCCACGCCGCCCCTAAGCCCACTTGAAGCAGCCCTGAGAAACATTGCCCATTATCTCTCTATACCACCCCCAAAATTTTTCGCCACTCCAACACTTCATCACTATTTTGTTTTGCTTTTCTTATTAATATAAGAAGACAGGAACGTCAGGCCTCTGAGCCCAAGCTAAGCCATCATATTTCCTGTGACCTGCACATATATATCCAGATGGCCTGAGCAACTGAAGATCCACAAAAGAAGTGAAAATAGCCTTAATTGATGACATTCCACCATTGTGATTTGTTTCTGCCCTACCCTAACTGATCAATGTACTTTGTAATCTCCCCCACCCTTAAGGTTCTTTGTAATCTCCTCCACCTTTAAGAAGTTTCTTTGTAATTCTCCCCACCCTTGAGAATGTACTTTGTGAGATCCACCCCCTGCCTGCAAAACATTGCTCCTAACTCCACCACCTATCCCAAAACCTATAAGAACTAACGATAATCACACCACACTTTGCTGACTCTCTTTTCAAACTCAGCCCACCTGCACCCAGGTGAAATAAACAGCCTGTTGCTCACACAAAGCCTGTTTGGTGGTCTCTTCACACAGACACATGTGACACTTTCCTTGCAATGAGTGATGTTCTGGGTTGAATTGTGTCCCTTAAAAAGATATGTTGAAGTCTTAACCCCTGGTACCTGTGATATGACTTTATTTGGAAATAGGGTCATTATAGTTATAATCAAATTAAGATGAGATCCTTAGGGTAGGCTCTAATCCAATATGACTAGTGTCTTTCTAAGAAGAGATAGAGGCACAAGGAAGAACACCAAGGATTCCTGACAACACCAGAAGCTAAGAGAAAGGCATGGAACAGATTCTCCCCTATGGCTCTGAGAGACTGTGGCCCTACTCACACCTTGATTTTGGACTGCTCGCCTCCAGAACTGTCAGAAAATAGATTTCTGTTGTTTTAAGCCACCCAGTTTGTAGTCATTTGTTATAGCAGCTCTACAGCTGATACAGGTGATCAGAACCAAGCCTCTTCATTATCAGCTTCAATATTCCACCTTCTTCTACCTCTGAGGCAGTTGCAGTGTCTGCTCGCTACCTTATATTTAATACTACATTAAAGTTCCTTTTTCATTTTTGGCCCTTACGGATTTACTATTTATTATTCCTTGAGAGTTCAACTATGCATTACAATTTTTTCCTGCAGTTTTATTAAAATTCACCCATTTTGAATGTATAGTTCCCTTTTTTTTTTTTTTTCACTCTGTTGCCCAGGCTGGAGTGTAGTGGTACAATCTTAGCTCAATGAAACCTCTGCCTCCCGGGTTCAAGCGATTCTTGTGCCTCAGCCTCACGAGTAGCTGGGATTACAGGCATGCGCCACCACACCCAGCTAATTTTTGTATTTTTAGTAGAGATGGGGTTTTGCCATGTTGGCCAGGCTGGTATTGAACTCCTGGCCTCAAGTGATCCACCTGCCTTGGCCTCCCAAAGTGCTGGGATTACAGGTGTGAGCCACCACACCCAGCCCTATAGTTCATTTTTTAGTAAACATAGAGTTGTGTAGCCATCATCACAAAGCAATTTTAAAACATTTCCACCACCTCAAAAAGTTCCCGTGTGCCCAGTCATTCCCACTCCCATCCTAGCTCCAAGCAGCCAATGATTTACTTTCTATCTCTATAATTTTGCCTTTTCTGGACCTGCCATAGAAATAAAAACATATAATATGTGGTCTTTTGGGTTTGGTTTTTCTTTTACTTAGCATTTTTTTGAGATTCATCATGTTGTAGCATGTTCCCTTTTTATTGCCAAGTAATATTCCATAATATGGAAAAATGTTCAATAGCATTAGTAATTAGGAAAATGCAAGTGATATAACTACACACCTAGGATGGCTGCAGTAAAAAACCTGACAATAACAAGTGTTGGTGAAAATGTGGAGAAATTGGAATACACTGTTGGTAGGAATGTAAAATGGTATACCTAAATGGTAAATTTGGAAAACAGGCAATGTCTTAAAAAGTAAAGACATGCTTTTCAGATAACCCAGTAATTCTACTCCTAGGCATGTGCTCAAGAGATATGAAATATATGTCCACACCATGACTTACACATGAACATTTATAGCTCCATTATTTATAATAGTCCTAAACTGGAAACAATTCAAGTATCCATCAGCTGTTGGATGGACAGTGTAGCATATCCATAAAATGGAATATTTGTCTCAATAAAAAAGAAAGAAGGCCCAATACACAGAAGTTCCTTGAGGGCAAGATTTGCTTTGTTCACTGATGATTAGTGCCTGGCATATTGCAGGTGTTCATTAAGTATGTGTTCAATGAACAACAGAATGAACAATGTAAGTCACTTTAATTATTATCTTAAAAAATGGCTTTATTTACAGTCATGGAAAATGCTCAAGAAAATACCTAAAGTAAGAATACAAAAATAATCTATATTAACAAGTTTGCTTCTTGTACCTGCTACTAAGTCAGTCATTAAACTCACTGCAGGTGTTGGAACCACCATATATTGTTAGAACTTCCATAAGAATCAAAGGAGATTATGGCATAATCTAAGAAGAAAATGATCTGGCTAATGTCCACTGTAAACCTTAGCTACAGGCTTTTATTTTTACAAAGACAAAAGGTTTTCCCTTAAGTTGATTCAAAGCCTTGAAGTAGGCCACTTAATAGCAGACTGCTGACTGTCACAGGGTGTATATGGATGCAGAATGTTCATCAGAAACTTGAGGTGGTTACCACCACCTTATAAACATTTAATAATTAAGGTCCATAAATTCAGCTCTCCTAAGTGGCCAGGAGTAGGTCTTACTTGTAAAAGAGAAGAAACATCTTCAAACAAGGTGATGCCTAGGTAGCTGACCGGAATCCTCAAGATTCACTTCTTTTCTTTTCTTTTAAAAATACATTTTCGGCACGCAACTTTTCTGTCTCCTAAGTAATTTTAAAAAAACAAAAAGAAAAAAAATAAGGCTCTAATTCTTACAGGAAGTGGTTTTTTTTTGCATTTATTAGGTGTATATTTCAAATTAAGACTGGAATTTTCAATGTGCAAACTAAACGTTAAACAAGAATCTGCTGTCTATGAAATGCCACTGATTGAATTAGGCTCAGAATAGCAACGACCAACTTTTTTTTTTTTTTTAATTCAGGAAGCTCCCTGAAGTAAGCAGTTAACTGATTCAATAATTAAGTTTTAATTTGGTTTCAATAAAATAATCATTTTTAAACCAGACAGAATTTATTCAGAATAATTTTTAGGTTTACCTCAGCAAGCCTGACATTTTCCTTCTTTAGTCGCACTACGTACTGAATCTTCTGATGCAAATTTTGGTGACCTACCAACTTTCCATTTTCCTCAGCAAGACACTCCACCTGCTTCCTTAACATTTCCATCTCCTGCAGGTAATCAATCCAAGGAGGGAAAAATGAGAAGTAGGTCTTAATTTTCTTTTAAAGTCACATTATTTCTTGCCTTCCAGGAGCACAGGAAGTCAGAGAGTCCAGAATCCCAGCTTTCAAGGCCTCACAACTCTTCATACAATAAAGCAACTCTGAACTAAGGACACCCAATCACAAAGTGAGTTTTACGCTAATTAGTTCTATTCATTTGAGTGTTCTAAGTATCATGAAAACACCAACACACTAGCACACCTGGGATGTTCTCTCTCTTTCTTCATACATTTCTTCCAGCTTTGATCTCAGTTGTTCTTTTTCCTGGAATGCTTTAGACTCCAAAGTTTGGGTTCGTTCGACTTCATCAGTCATTCTAAGGCATTCCATCTCTTTGTTGTAAAGGGCACTTTGGACTTCTTCTAGGCTGTAGGAATAGGTTATCACTTTATAGTATTTGAAAGAAACATAATCATAAAACAGTGCTCAAGTTAGACATGTGTACTGCAAGGCCAGAATTTTGATTTGAAAGTATTACTAATCTTTAGCCCTCCTCTGCTGATGGCAAAAGAAGACAGTAAGTGCTACATACCAGATATGCTTTTTTTGGTTTTGTTTTACCCAAGACTTTCATTTTGGAAAACTCCTCAAAACATTTTCTAAACAAAAAAAATTTAGAATAAAATTGTTTAGATTCAGCCCACTTGGGGCAAATGTAATTTAAGTATTATTATAATCTGCATGGTTTATTCAGTATCCCCTATCTTGATCATTTCTGATTTCAAAAACTGGTCCTCAGACAGTGGGACACCAGTCATTTCTTTCAATTCATTTCTTCAGTTGTTTAGAATTTATACACTTCATGTACATTTCACTGACTTTATAAAATGATCTGAATCCTGTAAGTTTCCCAAAACAAATGCCTACTTCACCCCCCACCCCCCTTTAGGGACAGGGTCTCACTCTGCTGCCCAGGCTAGAGTACGCTGGCACCATCATAGCTCACTGCAGCCTCCAACTCCTAGGCTCAAGCAATCTTCCTGCTCCAGCCTTTGGAGTATCTAGGACTACCAGCATGCACCACTGTGCTTGGCTAATGTTTTAAAAATTATCCGTAGAGATGGAGTCTTGCTATGTTGCCCAGGCTGGTCTCAAACTCATGGCCTCAAGCAATCCTCTTCTCCTTGGTCTCCCAAAATCCTGGGACTACAGGTGTGAACCACTGTGCCAGGCCTGCTTTTTATTTTATAATGCTCATGAAATGTAATGTTGACTGTTGAAATGATGTATTATTACACCATTCAAGGCCAGCTAATTTCTAGCTGTTGATTACTGAAATGATATAATACACAAAATTTAATACACCACTCAAAGCCAGCTAATTTCTAGCGGTTGATTGCTAAGATGATATAATACATAAAATTTAATACACAAAGGGCCAGCTAATTTCTAGGCAAGTTGTTTTTGGACTACATTCTGTGGATCTCAGAAGGACAGTCTGGGGAGAAGGGCACTGATGCTCTCCCAATTCATTGTTGGCTTTGTATTGGTTCCCCATTACTTTTAAAAGCATCTTCACAAATATATGGGTAACGTAACGTTTAAAATTGCTGTTGTAGGCTGGGATTGATAAAACAGTGCATGCCGTTTGCTGAAGTGTGCTTCACTTGCCCGCAGTGAAGTTTGGCCTGCTGTATGTTCCAGAGACAGCATATCATGAAGACTCTTGGTTACTAGACTATGAAATAAACTATACACCAAGTTAAATAGCTTTTACTCTTTTTGCTAGAAGACCTCAAATAGATATTAGTTCTAAAATAGCTGTAATTCAACCAACTAGCTGGATTCTCAAAAATCCTGTAAATAATCTGGGTTTCTGACTTAGCTTTACCACTAATTAGCTAGGAGCCGGACTCTGAATGGCTCATACACAGGTGAAAAGGCTGTTTTCCTATGTATACTCTGATTCTATGAAGCAAATGAATCAATGATTGGGTAACAAATCTTTCATAAATTGGGTGGTCTTTGTCAGCTGATCATTAAAAAGAATTTTTGATGGTAAATCACCATGTAATTTTTGACATATTTACTTGCATAAAGTTCAAATAACTGGAATACAGTACCCTATCAAAACTCCTTCATTGCCATTTACTTAACTATGTGAACAAGATTTCTCAGCATTTATATCTATAAAAGCAGAAAATACGAATAGAGTTGATGCTGAATCCTGTCTCATTTGAGAAGTACAACAGAAAAATGAGCTGACTGAAGAAAAAGCATTAGGTTAAAATACATTAAGAGATGCATTTCCACTAAAATTTTCCCTAAGTATAATAATTACTTATAAAAATTTCCAGTAAATTTAAGGCACACTGATTAATAATTGTAATGTGAACTCAATTGGTAATAAACATAACAAAGCCATATGATTAAAATAAATTTTTACAAATTACTTTCAATTTGTGTGTGTGTATGTATGTACATACATATATTTTATTGTTAAGTAGTATGATGGGGTTATCAATAAAAAAATTTTCCAGAAAATATATTAAATCAATATAAAATCCTGCAGGGTGTAGAAAGGAACTTCAATTACAAAGGAAAAAGGAAAAATGTAAAATTTTAGACTTGGAAATTTGTTCATGTATTTCTTAAACAGAAAGTAGCAAATTAGTTAAATACTTTTAAAAGAATGGCAAGAGCTTTATTTTCTTTTCTCTTTTTAAAAAAATTTATTTAAAAAAAATTTTAGAAATAGAGACAGGGTTTCACCATGTTGCCCAGACTGATCTCAAACTCCTAAACTCAAGCAATCCACCTGCCTCGGCCTCCCAAAGTGCTGGGATTACAGGCGTGAGCTACTGGGCCCAGCCAACAGCTTTATTTTCAAATGTCACTATATTGTATATCCCAGAATGTCTATTCTTTGTAACAATTTAAACTTACAATGAAAAATTTTAGATATAAAGTCAACTTCAAAAATATGCAAGAGGGTATATGATGTTTCAAAATCCTTTAAATCAGTATAATAAGCAAAAATGTTTGAAGATCTCTATCCCTAATAAGGAGTATCTACCCAGAAAAAGCCCAATAGCTCTCTAATGTTGTTTTGTTTGTGTTAATGCCAACCAGCTTACTTAGTTTGAATTTTACAGAAAATATAGTACACCTTGCTCATCAAAGAGTGAGGCCATTTATAAGGCTACATGAATTAATATGAAAACTTTATGAATAAATTAAACTCATGGCTTTAGAAAACATAAAGAGACCCAAGGGCTAGACCAGAAGAAATCAGAGTACTGATCTTTGGGTCTCAGAGGGCCTCAGGTTTTAAATCAGAGGAAACCAGAAGCAGAAGTGAAAAGGGACACCTGGTAGTTACATTGTTCTCATTGTCCATGAGGAAAAGCCCCATCGATTCCTCAAGGGAAGCTAGGCTTTTCCTGCTATTTATTTCTTTAAGATTTCTTTTGAAGTGGCTTCACATGAGAAACCCTTTTAGCAAATGGTATTTAAAAAAAAATCTGTAAACATCTATTAAATTCACTTATTACTGCAGAAGGAAAGAAGTTACCTACCTTGTGGTATATCATTCCTTTAGAGGAGAATAAGGAAAAGATGATCAAGATTTTAAATTACAAAATAGTACACTTACTCTGCTTTCATTTTCAGCATTTCTTCAACTATTTTACTCTATAAGAAGATTAAAAAAAGAAAATAAAAAGATTGCTTAGGTTCTTAAATAACATTGCTTAAAAAAGATAGAAAGGAACCAGCCCATTCTCCTTCATGTGAATAAAATCAAACCAATATCCTTTTCCACAGTGCCAGCTACACATACATAAAGTAAGTACCTATTTCCAAGACTTCATGCACTATGCCCTCTAAGGCTTCAAACAGGCCTTGGTACTTGCTTCTAAATGGAGAATTATATGTGTGCATGCTGAGCAGTAGGCTTGCCATGTAGGCATGAAGACAAATTCTTAATTCTCAGCTGTGTCTAAATACTAATGGTAAATATCATGCTAAACAGTGGAAATGCAGAAAAGACAGGAATTTCAATAGTAAAATGATTTCTAAAATATACTACCATAAATACTAACTATAAAAGCATTGCTCAGACAAGAAGAAACTATTACATAAAAAAAAATCTTACTTTTGCAAGTCTTTCTTTGATACTTTCTTCTTGTTCATTCTTCAGCTGTTGATTATCTGGATGATTCTGATCACTGCATAGATTAACAGGGGTGGGAGGAGGCATAGGAAAACACTGCTAAGTATATTCAAGTATCAATTTCAAATTCAAATCCATTATATGCAGCAATGCCAAGGTGTACAAAGAAAGGCTAACTCTATTGTGATTGGGTCAAGTCAGTACAGTTGATAAATGTGATTGACACATGGGGATGAAATAAGGCACTTCCCCAGAACTCAGGATTCCTCCCAGTACAAAAGCAAGATGAGATGAGGTGGGAAATATAATCAAGGATTGGTTGAAAGTAAAATACAGTAGAAACTTAGTTAAAAGTGGTAACATCTGAAGATCGAATGTGAACAAAAGGGGGCTGAAAGAAAGAGCCAAGAGCCTGGTATGAATGTGATCAGCTGGGAGGGGGCACATTTTGGGTAGGCAGGGTCGCTCTGGCCTCAGGCTAGTGGAGTCCTTGACTCTCTTTTGCTCAGGTTCCATAGTCAGTTGGCATTTTCTGATAACCACTCTGCCTTTCCGTGTATGTGGACACCAGGGCCAGATGTCCCAAGCACCAGATATGTCTTCATGGAAAAGGAATGTTCCAATATATAAAGTAAGAAAATTACATTCTAGATAATACATCTATCTCTGTGAGCCTGACCAGGTGAGGATAATAAGTTGAGTTTCTGTGTGCAGCCCCTGGACCAGAGAGACATCCCTCCCTCCCTCCTTGGAGAACCTTCCTGAATGTTGTAGGCTTCTCTAGGAATATCTCTCTCACTGGTGAGTAAAAGACCATTTCTTGAAGGAAAACAGAAGCTACAGTGAGGTTTCTTTCCCTTAACAAATCTGGCAGCCCAGACAAAAATGGTAATGAGTCCTCAATGAAGAAATACCCCAAATCATTAGGGAAAGATATGTTTTCTGTCCACTAATCCAAGGATTGGCAAACGTCTTCTGTCAAGAACGAGACAGTAAATATTTCAGGCTTTGGGAGCCATGCGGTCTCTGCCACAGCTATTCAACTTAGCTATTGTAGTGCAAAAGTAGCCACAACAATATTAAAATGACAGGGTGTGACTATGTCTCAATAAAATTTTATTTACAAAACAGGTTGTGAGCTGAATTAGGCCCCTGAGCTATAGTCTGCCCTTTCTCTAATTTTTCACAAAGAAGGTTCTGAGTAGCTCTTTTATATATAAGGAATGTGAGGCTATGAAATGAAAAACTTTTTTTTTTTTTTTTTTTTTGAGACAGAGTCCTACTCTGTCCCAGGCTGGAATGCAACAGTGCAATCTCAGCTTACTACAACCTCCACCTCCCCGGTTCAAGCGATTCTCCTGCCTCAGCCTCCTGAGTAGCTGGGATTACAGGTGCGTGCCACCACTCCTGACTCATTTTTTGTATTTTTAGTAGAGACAGGGTTTCACCATGTTAGTCAGGCTGGTCTCAAACTCCTGACCTCAAATGATCTGCCTGCCTCGGCCTCTCAAAGTGCTGGAATTACAGGCGTGAGCCACGACACCCAGTGAAAAACATCTTTTAAAAGACATTTATTCAACATCATGATCAGACTATGACATTTGGCAATCAACAGGATGAGTGCAAAGGAAAAAAAAAACACATTAAAACTCTTTGTTAAGACTGCTTTACACTTTCCACAGAACAGAAACTAAACTAACCTGTTATACAATTAGTCACAAATACGGTCCTTGAGTTTTTTACCCATACACCTGAGTATTGTCTAAAACATATCTTCTTTGTAGCAGCTAGGCCCTGCTACCAACTGTGCTTGGCTGAGTTCACAAATCTGTTGTAACCTGTAGTTTCCCTGTCACTTCTCTGGCTCTCCTCTCCTGCTAAGCTTTGTTTCCTGGCATTAATTAAAACCTTCTGCCACTGCCATAACTACTGCTGCTACTGGAACTGCCTGTCAACCTAAAAAGAAACTCAGAAAGACAGGCTCTTTAGAACAAACAAGTTTATCTAGGAATAGCAGAGGGATTGCAATTGCAGGGTATGCAAGCTATGACGGGCCATTAATGTATCCAGGGGAGTTGGGGAAAGGGAAAGCTTTTAAAGACAAAGAGAAATCCATGAAATAAAGCTTGAAATAAAGCTCACGGGTCACAGAAGCTCAGTGCAGGAGTTGGCGTTTATTCATTGGTGGAGATGGCTGTTGCTGAGTAACTGTCCTGGTGCTGGCAGCTTGTCTGAAATACTGCAGGCCTGAAAAATTCCTGTGATAAGCTCTGTTGCAGGGTGAGTGCAGAAGTGGGGCATGTGGGACCTGCAGGAATTTCTTGTGATAAGGTATATTATAGGCATGTGCGGTGAGAACTTTTTTAGGGCCTCCTGACTCCACTTTGTTAGGGTTTTGACATAAGTGACTCCATTCTGGTACTGGCAACTTTCACATGCCTTAGCCACCTTGATTTGATGTTTTGGCAACATAGTAGCCTCAGCCACCACAGGGGCCAGAGTTTCTTTCTTTCTTTTTTTTTTAGGTGCCAGAGTTTCTGTCTCCAAAGTTTCTTCTCTTCATGGGTTCAAAATTGATTGAAGATTGGTTGTTGTAATTACCAAAATCGTTGTAGTTCCCACCATCTCCAAAACTGCTTCCATCATTTAAGTACTAAATCCATTATAGCCATCCCTGCTGCCCCCATATCCACCAATACAGCTGCCTCCAAAGCTACCATTACCAGTGAAATTTTTCCTTGATGACCAAAGTTGTTACTCCCACCAAAACCACCTCCATGACCACCACCAAAGTTTCCAGAACCACTCTGACCTCTCTGGCTGGCTGAAGTACTAACCATTTCTTTCTTCAACATGGTTTTCCATACTTCATGGTAGTGGCTATGTACTTTACGGTATTTCTGAGAGACAATCTTATTCGCAGAGTCATGGCTGTCCTCAAAGGTTAAAAAAGTAAAGCTCTTCTTTTTGCCATTGCCTCACTCAGTCATGATTTCAACCACTCCTATTTTCTCATACCTTCACAATAATCTCTTAGGTGATGTTCTTCAGTGTCTTCTGTGATGCCACCAACAAAGATCTTTTTTACAGTTAACCAGGCACCTGGTCTTTGAGAATCTTTTCTTGACATCCCTCTTTGGTTTCACAACTCTTTCATCTGCCTTGTGTCGCCTTGATTTACGGCTGCATCCATCTCCTCCACAGTGCCATCTGTGAAAAACCAAAGGCCCTGGAATGCTTGGTGTTTGGGTCTCTCATTGCTATATAATCCATGAGCTTTCCTCACTACTCAGAATGGCTCCCCAGACTCTTATTGGTTGTTTCAAAGCTCAATCGTCTGATGAAGAGCTTCTGTAGCTATTCGGGCTATTTAAGAGACTCTGACTTAGATATGTTGGTAGTGGGAAGAAAGACTTGAACGATGCATCCTTAGTGGCATCCATGGGCAAAAGTAGTAAGCTTATGACGTATCTCTGAAATACGGTATTTTAAATTTTCATTTTACAAATGATCCGGAAATGTTCTATGTTCACAGTAGCTCTTGACAAAAGACAGTATACTAAATATAAGGCTTTTCTTTAATAGAATTGGACATATATGGAGCATATGAAAACTAGGTGAGCAGACTGTGGACTACCTACATCAGAATCACCTACAAAGGGAGGCACGTGCTTTTTTAAAATGCAGAATTCTGGGCTTCGCTCCAGCCCTACTGAATAAGATCTCTGATGCTCACTAAAATTTGAAGAGAATCATTTAAGAAGAGATTTTAGCATAGCCACCATTACCATCCTCAAATCTCTCCTGCCTCATTTAGGTTTTGAACAACTCATATCAGGGGTGTTTCTGGACAGGGCCAGGGAGCTGCAGGAGTGCACAAGCTTCTCTGTCAAAGATGTTGTGGCAACAGCATGGACAGCAGTCAGTGGAATTCGGTAAGGGCTTCTATCTCGGAGATCCCACTTTGATTCAATTCGACTTCTTGCATAATTTTACAGGCCACTATCATCTCCAAACTCTCACTCAGAAAGTTACAATAGGCAGAATCATAATTCTACCTTGTGTACTTAATAACTACTTTTCATTGACTGACACCTGCTACCAAACACTGTAACTGGCACTTTATACATGTAATTTTTAATCTTTAAAACTCCTTGTGAGAAAATGAACATTTTCTTCATTTTATTGTTAAGGAAAGTGAAGTACTAAAAGGGTAAAAAATATGTTGAAAATCGTATGACTTTTAAGTCAAAGACAAGATATAAGTCTGGATATGGCTGCCCCGACACTATGCAAATGTATCGGCAAATGCAACTACAAAACTGCCTTACCTGAAGCCAAAACACACTCAGAGAGATGTCTAAATCCAAGTGAATGCTCCTCTGTAAAATGCTAAGGATATCCTTCTTGTCCTGCCCAGGGGCTTTCCCTGGACCATGAGTTACGAAGCAAAGCCAACTAGTAGGGAATTCTCCCTTTCTCTGCAAGGCTTCTTGAACCTTGTCGATATTATATATACCTTAAAAAAATTTTTTTAAATATAAGTAATTTGTTTTAAGTATCTCACATGTTTTAAATTCATTTCAATCACTTTAAAACAAATGCAACAATGCCAAAAACGCACTGCAGAGCAATGCAAAGGTGAACAGATCAGACTTGATTCAAAATCAACCAAAAGACCATCTCCTGGATTAGTGGGAAACATTGTACACCTTGGGAAACCTGTGAAACCAATTCCAACCTCATTTAACTCCACACAGGCAGGCCAAGATTTAGCCCATAGAGTTCTCGTGGTTCTTTCTCACCTGTTTTCCTTTTGTCTTTTAATATCATCCAGCTGACCTTGCAGGAGCCAGTTTTTCTCTATTAACTGCTGACTTTCCAGGCGTAGGTTTTCCATTTCACGCAACTGCTCCTAATAACATCAAATCGTATCTTTTCAAAAAACACATTACAGTAGGCTTCATTTAGCTCCCCAAGGCCACCACTGAGACAGGTATTCCTCTTTTAAGTTCCTATGCAGAGACACTGCACTGGGTATTGCTGCATGAAAAGCAGACTGTGACAAGCTATTGGAGGCCTAGAATGGTGATTCATGATCACATCCACAGTGTCTTGAACACAGATTTTTAAAATCAATATCACAGAATTCATTAAAAATTAAAATTCCTTTGTGAATAAAGATGACAAAAATCTCTATATTGAAAAATGTTCTCAACTATTCGATTCTATTTATTACGTAGATTCTAATTAAAACAAAAAATTGACGTCACAGCTCATCCCTCAAAATACTCAATTGCATCCTAACTTGAAAATCATGAGCATAGCTATCTGGAAGAAATAAATACTTGTCTGCAAGGAATATCCTTTTGGATTTACTTGCCTATTATCTGATTTCGTTTCACCTGACCCAGTTTCTTCTAAGTTTCAAGATCATGGCAATCTGGATAACAGCCACATTCCTGAGATAGCATACTGAGAACTGCCCTAAATAAAAAGATTGGGAATAATCTTCTCCATGAATAACAAAACTCAAGATAAGTGCTGTCTTTATATACATCCCTTGGTTAAAGTGAACAATTTGTGTTCCTAAACAAAAACTCCCTGCAGAGCAATGACCTCACAGGATAAATGCTATCTTCTGTGGAGCATCACATCCTTCCCCATGCACCTACACACCTACCCAGACACTCTTCCATGTGCCCCACCCCTGAGCCATGTGCACACCCCACTACTCAGACAACATACCATCAAGTAACTGGGTAAAAACACTATGAGGAAGCTTAAAAAAATGGAAAACAAGAAAGTATTTTAAATTTATCAGAGACTAAAAAAATCTCTAATATATAAAAATGCCTATGAATCAATAAGAAAAAGTCCAGTGATAGAAAAATGGGTAATGGATATTGTTCACAGAAACAGAAAAACAAGATGCTCAATTTTACTCTTAAGAAAAATATAAATGTAAAACTACATCATTTAATACTTTAGCTATTAAACGGACAAAGATCCGAAATTCAGATAGCACCATGAGGTGAGGTTTAAGGAAACATGCTCTCACCTTCATTCCTGATGAGAGCATAGCTGGCGCAACCTGTATATGACACCATTGTGTAAAAACCAAATGGGGCAGGAGAGAATGCTTAGCGATGTGGTTATGTATGCATTAAAAAGCTCTAAAAGAAAGGGGCTACCCTGGAAGCCTCCAGGGACAGCAAAGTAGGTGGATTAGTATCAGGGGTAGAAGGAATACTTTTCTCTGTCTACCTTTCAGTTCTGTGCTTTTTGAATTTTGTATCCTCAGTAACCATGAGGATGCTGCTTAGTTTAAAAAATTAAATTGGCCAGGCGCGGTGGCTCACACCTGTAATCCCAGCACTTTGGGAGGCTGAGGTAGGCGGATCATGAGGTCAGGAGATCAAGACCATCCTGGCTAACACAGTGAAACTCCGTCTCTACTAGAAAATACAAAAAATTAGCCGAGTGTGGTGGCGGGCGCCTGTAGTCCCAGCTACTCGGGAGGCTGAGGCAGGAGAACGCTGTGAACCTGGGAGGCGGAGCTTGCAGTGAGCCAAGATCACACCACTGCACTCCACCCTGGGCGACAGAGGCAGACTCCGTCTCAAAAAAAAAACAAAAAAAAAAAAATTAAATTTACTGGCTGGGCATGGTGGCATATACCTATAGTGCCAGATACTGGGTGGCTGAGGCAAATGGATCACTTGAGCCCAGCCTGGGCAACATAGCGAGACTTGGTCTCTTTAAAAATAATTAAATTTACTGGAAAAAAAATCCAATTACCTTCATTCTGAGGATTTCAGCATTTTTGACTTCTCTGTCTTCATTTAGCTTTGTTACAAGGTGTTCCAAAGAAGTCTTAGAGGCTCTTCCATCTTCTATCTCTTGTTCTTGTGTTTCCAGGAGTTTTGCCAAATGTGTTTGAAAGTGAGGTGGTGTCTTAGGACTCTAAAATAAAATCACATCTCATCCAAATATCCAATTAAGTGATATTATAAAGATTTCTTTTAAACGTAAATGTCAAGTACATAAAAAATATTCTAGCTACGGCTGGGCATGGTGGCTCACACCTGTAATCCTAGCACTTTGGGAGGCCGAGGTGGGCGGACTGCCTAAGCTCAGAAGTTCAAGACCAGCCTAGGCAACACAGTGAAACCCTGTCGCTACTAAAATACAGAAAAAAAAATTAGCCAGGCGTGGCAGTGTGCACCTGTAGTCCCAGCTACTTGGGAAGCTGAGGCAGGAGAATTGCTTGAACCTGGGAGACGGAGGCTGCAGTGAGCCGAGATCATGCCACTGCACTCCAGCCTGGGTGACAGAGCAAGACTCCATCTGCCAAAAAAAAAAAAAAAAAAAAAAAAAAAAATCCGCTGCTTAGCTTATTATTCTAATTCTTTTCCAAGGAAATAAAAGACTGCTACTTTCATCAAGTAAAAAGCAGACAGAGGGTATTAGTGAAAATCTTTTTCTTTAAAAAGACAAAGGTATGTTCTTCCTAATTTCCAAATTTTTATCATTTACAAAACTGTTTCTTCCTCCTGAAATAATCTTTTTCTGAAAAGTACCTGGGGATCCTCAGCAGCAGAATCCATCACATGTTCTAGTTGCCTCATTTTGAAGTTATATTCATTCTTCTTCTGTTCTACTTCCTCTTTCTTTTGGTTTAGCTGGGAAAATTGAACAGATACAAGGTTACAACTTAGTAATATGGGGTACATGGTCCAAATAGAAAAGACAAACTTCCCATCACCAATCATCAGGGAAATGCAAATGAAAACCACAATGAGATATCACTTCGCACCTGATAGGGATGGCTATCATCAAAAAGATGAAAGTTAAGTGTTGGTGAGGTTGTGGAGAAAAGGGATCCTTGTATACTGTTGGGAATGTAAATTAGCACAGCCATTGTGAAAAATAGTATGGAAGTTCCTCAACAAACTAAAAACAGAACTACTGTATGATCCAGCAGTCCCACCTCTGGATATATATCCAAAGGAATTAAAATCAGTCTATTGAAGAGACAGCGGCACTCCCATGTTCTCTGAAGCATTATTCGTAATAGCCAAGCTATGGAGTCAACTTAACTGTCTATTGATGGGAGAATGGGTAAAGAAAATGTGCTATATATATACACAATGAAATACTACTTAGTCTTAAAAAGGAAGCAAATTCTGTCATTTGTGACAACATGGATGAACCTGGAGGACACTGTTCCAAGTAAAATAAGCCAGCACAGAAAGACAAATACCACACAATCTCACTTATATGTGGAATCAAAAAAAGTTGAACTCATAGAAATGGAGAGTACCAGAGTCTGGGGGAAGTGAGGGGTGGAAGGAGACATGAATCAGCAATGGGAGATGTTGGTCAAAGGGTATAGTTTCAGTTGGACAGGAGGAATACCTTTTGGAGATCTACTGCAGGGCATGGTGATTACAGTTATTAGGTTGATGCAAAAGTAATTGCGGTTTCTTCCCATGGCATATGGAAATATGCTGTATTTACATTATTTTTTCAGAACTTGATTAATAATTTGAAAAGCAGTAAGATATTAAAATAAACCTATGATATTTTTAAAAGTAATTGTGAAATCTAACTTGGTTGCTACTATAACCCAATCATCATCTCCTTTTCTTTTCTTTTTTTTTTGAGATGGAGTCTCTCTCTGTCGCCCAGGCTGGAGTGCAGTGGCGCGATCTCGGCTCACTGCAAGCTCCGCCTCCCGGGTTCACACCATTCTCCTGCCTCAGCCTTCCCGAGTAGCTGGGACTACCGGAGCCGGCCACCACGCCCGGCTAATTTTTTTTGTGCTTTCAGTAGAGACGGGGGTTCACCGTGTAAGCCAGGATGGTCTTGATCTCCTGACCTCGTGATCCACCCACCTTGGCCTCCCAAAGTGCTGGGATTACAGGTGTGAGCCACCGCACCTGGACCCATCTCCTTTTCTCTCACAAATTTATTTATACTTATAAAAATGTTCCAAGTTTCACAAGTAACAAAACAGTCATCTGAGAAAAATACAAAATATAAAATGACAACAACAACCACCAAAAATATGATAAAAGTCAGGCATAACCTCACTGGAGTGGTTAGAACTGGTTGCCATGTGTCAAGGACCTAAGGTGGGTGGGAGGCAGCTGAGCAAGTCTCAGTCCAGGTAAGGATACTCCATTAGCCTCCCCTTTGTACATGGAGAAGTTGGCCAATGCAGGAATGTCATGACAACCTCAACTGTGGATTCCTCCTGTCCCCCATTTTTTTTTTTTTTTTTTTTGAGACAGGGTCTCACTCTGTCACCCAGGCTGGAGTGCAGTGGTGCAATCTTGGCTCATTGCAACCTCCACCTCCCAGGTTCAAGCAATTCTTGTGCCTCAGCCTCCCAAGTAGCTGGGATTACAGGTGAGCGCCACCACGCCCGGCTAACTTTTCTATTTTTAGTAGAGACAGGGTTTCAGTTCACCATGTTGGCCAGACTGCTCTTGAACTCCTGACTTCAAGTGGTCCACCCCCTTGGCCTCTCAAAGTGCTGGGATTACAGGAGTGAGCCACTACACTTGGTCTCTTGTCTCCCATCTTGAGTGACACCTGTGTGTTTCTCACCTTGTGCTGAAGTTCCTGAATCAGGGCTTCCTTCTTGGTCAGTTCTTCCTGGGCAGACTGCAGCAGCCCCGAGTGTTTTTTTGAGGCCTCTGTGAGCATGTTCAGCTGCTCAGTGGCATGAGCCAGGTCCTCACAGAGCATATCCCTCTGTTAGGAGACAATCATCACAGTTTCTTAATTATGGTATTCCAATAAGGATTCCCAAATCATTACTATGTACAACTTTTAACAGACTAAGGAAGTTTTATGTAAAAACCTATTTCTTTTGCTTGTGTGCTAATCCATTCTAAGACAAAGTAATCAGTTAATATTTAGATGAACAGGTCTAGAGATTAACATTATTACAGTAAACATATATAGGTATCCCAATTGAGGTTTAACTGTACTCTAGGTTTGAGGTCTAATTGCATTCTCTCCTCACCCCCAGGATCTCAAGCCAATCTCCCTCTCCTGGGGAGGACTCAAAGGTCTCTTGGTTACTTGTTGTTGTCTCACCAATTGACTCTAGTCCTTTATATACTGGAAAGTAAACAGCTGTGAAGATGAGCCTCCATCAGCCAGTTGAGGAGGGCCTGGGCAGTTTGCACCAGATTGTGATTCATTGTCATAGACCATCAAAGTTTCAGGAAGTAGCTTTGTGGAAACTGGCACAGAAAATTAGAAGTCCTATAGGTTGCATACATAATTTCTATGTACACAGTATATGTAATTCCTCCCAAATTAGAGCAGATACTGCTTATCCTTCTTTTCCTTTCCAAATGTATATATATGTATGTAGGTATGTGTGTGCATGTATATATATATATACACACACATATATATGTGTGTACATAGACATGTACATATACATGGATATACACAGATATATATACACACATATAAACACACACTTTTAAAAAAACTTGACACATCACAAACATTTCTGCATGTACTCACTCTTTTCACTGTGTGGACTCCATTTCACCTTATGGATGTACCACAATTTAATCTATCACTAAATATTTTGGTTGATTTGAATTTTTCACTATTCTATGCACTTCATTCTTGTATCTAGATTATTTCTTTAGGCTGAATTTTTAAAAGTGCAAACTCAAAGGATATGTAAAAAATATAAGGCTATGTATTACCAGACTACCTCCCCAAAGGCTGAACATAAACTCCTCCAGAAGTTTGAGTAATCATCCTTGTCTGCACATCTTCCTTGGGTCTTAAACTTTACCAGTTATAAGATTAGAAAATAGCTGTTATTTTAATTTGTGAAACTGGCCCAACTGTCCCCTAGAACTGATGTTTATGGTTTCTTTTGAATAAACATAGAAATTGGCCCTCCCAGTCTTAAAACGTAAGAAAGTTACATTTGTCTTATCTGAGTTCCTTTCTCAGGGAACCAACCAACAGGCATCCCAGACAAGATCAAGGAACTGAAACTTACCAGATCATGGCAACTGGACAAATGAGATGCCAGGCCCCTCACCTGTCATGGCTGCCTAACTGACAACCTGTTTCCTGTTAACCAACTCCTTTTCCTTACCCCTCCCTAGTTCCTGCTTTTCCACACATGGTTACCTTTCTTGCTATATAAACTCCCAATTTTAGTCAGTCAGGGAGAAGGATTTGAGACTGATCTCCTATCTTGGCTATGGCACTCATTTAAAGTCTTCTTCGCTGGCAATACTCCTTGACTCAGTGATTGGCTTTCTGTGTGGTAAGCAACCAGACCTAGGCTGAACTCCTAATGTTTCAGGAACATTTGCATGTCTCTGATTCCAAAGAAGTTTTGTGCCACTATATTCCTTCTTTGGGGAGCTACCTATGTCCATTTTCCACCAGCTGTGTTTCTATCCTTCTCCTGAAGGATAAATTAAGGTGGTAAAATACTTTGTCATCAGTTGCAAATATTTTCCCCATCTGTTGTTAGAATTTTTGTTTTTAATATTGTATAATCTTCCCTTATGAGTTCTAATCTTTATATCAAGATATTTTCAGAGTCACATAAACTCAAGATATTTTTATGTATTTGTATTTTTTCTTCTCCTTAAAAAAAAATTATTTATTTATTTATTTTTTTAGACAGAGTCTTGCTCTGTCGCCCAGATAGAGTGCAGTGGCGTGATCTCATCTAACTGTAACCTCCACCTCCCAGGTTCAAGCGATTCTCATGCCTCAGCCTCCTGAGTAGTTGGGATTACAGGTGTACACCACCACACCTGGCTAATTTTTCTAATTTTTGTATTTTTAGTAGAGATGGGGTTTCGTCATGTTGGGCAGGCTGGTCTTGAGCTCCTGGCCTCAAGTGATCCACCTGCCTTGGCCTCCCAAAGTGCTGGGATTACAGGTGTGAGTCACCGTGCCCATCCCTCCTTTTGTTTTTTCAGAGATGGGGGCTCTTGCAACAACATTACCCAGGCTGGACTTGAACTACTGGACTCAAGCAATTGTCCCATGTCAGCCTCCTGAGTAGCTGGGACTACAGGCGTGCATTACCATGCCTGGCTTGTATTTTTATTTTCTAGTACTTCTATGATGTCATCATTTGTACAGAACTCTAATCCATGTAAAAATTGTTTTGGCTTTGATATCTTTTCAAATTGGTCAGACAATTTTCCCAACATATACATTGATTAAACCGACTCTTTCTTCACTGTTGAGAAATACTTCCTTTACCATTACACTAAATTCCTTCATATTCACTGCTCTCTATTTGTGGATGTTCAAAGTTGTTGCAATGATCTCTCTATCATCAGTCCAACACTGGATATGGTTACCATTTAGCTTAGAAATCTCTCTGCATTATTGTTTTTCTAAGTTTTGTTGGTAAATCTTGGGTATTTTTTTCAAAGGAACCTTAAAATCATCAGTTTTTTATACTGGGATTTGAGGCCAGGCATGGTGGCTCACACCTGTAATCCTAGCAATTTGGGAGGCTGAGGCAGGGGAGGATCACTTGGGTTTAGGAGTTCGAGACCAGCGTGGGCATCATAGTGAAACCTCATCTCTACAAAAAAATACCAAAAATTAGCCAGGCGTGGTGCTGCACATCTGTAGTCCCAGCTACTTGGGAGGCTGAGGTGGCAGGATCACTTAAGCCCAGGAGTTCAAGGCTGCAGTGAGCCATGATCGCATTACTACATTCCAGCCTGGGTAACAAAACAAGACCCTGTCTCAAAAAAATAAAAATAAATACATTGGGATTTGAAGTGGAATTACATAAATTTCTGTTTCTAAAACGACAGGGTCTTCCTGTCCAAGTCTCCCTTTAGATCCTTTTATTGAAGTCTCTTTTCATGTTGCTTGTAAAGTTTTATGTTCTTAACAATTGTCAAATATTCACCCTAAGATTTTGATACGCTATATTATTTCTGTGAAAGAGAATTTTTAAAAGCTCCTGTTATGTTTTTAAACTGTTTATTTAATATTATATATTATTTTAATTATAACATAATATTATATAATAATCTATAATAAAGCTATTCTTTATTATTATTTTTTGAGATGGAGTATCGCTCTGTCGCCCTAGCTGGAGTGCAGTGGCGCGATCTTGGCTCACTGCAACCTCTGCCTCCTAGGTTCCAGCGATTCTCCTACCTCAGCTTCCCAAGTAGCTGGGACTATAGGCACGTGCCACCACGCCCAGGTAATTTTTTTTTTTTTTTGTATTTTTAGTAGAGACGGGGTTTCACCGTGTTAACCAGGATGGTCTCGATCTCCTGACCTTGTGATCCACCTACCTCAGCCTCCCAAAAAGTGCTGAGATTACAGGCGTGAGCCACAGTGCCCAGCCCCAGTAAAGCTATTCTTTCTTTAATATTCAATTTCTTTCAATATCCCTTAGGGAAGTTTTATGTCCTTAACAGTTGTTACAAATTCTCTCCTAACGTTTTAACACTTTTGGTTGTTTTTGTGAATAGAATTTTTTAGTTCCAATATTGTTAAATGGTTATTAATGGCACATAGTAAATATTATTTTTAAGACTAATTTATAACTGATTACTAAACTCAATATTCTAATAGATATTCAGACAGTATTTTGGAGTCTCCATGTAGACACTCATGACCATCTGCAAATAACAGTCACTTTCTCTCAGTTTTTATGATATTTGTATCCCACTTAGTATTTCCATTTTACTGCATTGGCTAAGTACTCATATTGTTGAAAAACACTGATATATGAACAATTTGAATATACTGAACAATTCACAAACCATAGCCATAAAACTAAATTTTAGCTAATAAAGACTGAAGATAAGTACAAAGGGAATATGAATTAGCTGTTTATAGGGTCAATTCCACTTGAATCTAAAATGTATGAATCTAAAATACGATATTTAAATCTAAATACAATATTCGTAGTCACATTTTATTTTTAAGAAGAAAAAAGAGAGAAAGCAAGGAAGGAAGGAAAGAAGAGCTTTTAGGTAAACAGGCATGAGTTTTCATTATTTACCTACTCCCACTCAAATAGCTAGATTTCCTTTTAACTTCGTCAATAGTCAGTATGAAACTGAATTTTTAGCCCATCATCTTATACTTTGTAGGGGACCCTAGGTTGTGGCTTCTGTGTACTAACTTTTCAATTGGCTTGCTAAAACTATTTCCATCTGACACATATTGAGCAGTTACAAGGAGCCAGACACAGTTCTCAGCACTTTCCATGTATTACCTCAGTTCATCTCTGCAACACCTTATGCCAGCGGCCCCCAGCCCCTAGGCCACAGACTGCTATCAGTCTGTGGCTTGTTAGGAACTGGGCTGCACAGCAGGAGGAAAGCGAGCACAGCTTCATCTGTATTTACAGCCATTCCCCATCGCTCGCATTACTGCCTGAGCTCCGCCTCCTGTCAAATCAGTGGCAGCATTAGATTCTCACAGAAGCATTAACTCTATTGCAAACTGCGTGCCAGGGATCTCGTTTGGGCACTCCTTATGAGAATCTAATGCCTGATGATTTGTCACTATTTCCCATCACCCCTGGATAGGACCATCTAGTTGCAGGAAAACAAGCTCAGGGCTCCCACTGATTCTACATTACGGTGAGTTGTACAACTATTTTATTATATATTACAATGTAAATATAATAATAGAAATAAAGTACACAGTAAATGTAATGTGCTTGAATCATCCAGAAACCAGCCCCCCTCACACTCCTGGTCTAAGGAAAAATTGTCTTCCACTAAACTGGTCCCTGGTGCCAAAAAGGCTGAGGACCACTGCCTTATGCAGTAGGAAGTACTGTTATCTCTACAGATATGGCAAATGAAGCACAGGGAGAAATTTAACTTCCCCAAGGTCACACAGCTAGAATTCCAACTCCGTAGCCTGTGCTCTTAATAACTTGTTACTATTCTACCCTTACTTTCCTTTTATTCTAATTTTTGTTGTCTACTTTAATCTTCTTTTTTTTTTTTTTTTTTTGAGATGGAGTCTCGATCTGTCACCCAGGCTAGAGTGCAGTGGCATGATCTCAGCTTGCTGCAACCTCTGCCTCCTGCAACCATTTTCCTGCCTTGGCCTCCTGAATAGCTGGGATTACAGGCACGCACCACCACACCTTGCTAATTTTTGTAGTTTTAGTAGGGATGGGGTTTTACCATGTTGGCCAGGCTGGTCTGGAACTCCTGACCTCAAGTGATCCACCCGCCTCGGCCTCCCAAAATGCTGGGATTACAGGTGTGAGCTACCACGTCCAGCCTATTTTAATCTTATATCTTATGTGTGTTAGCAGCTTCAAATCCTTTCTGCGATGTAGCAAGATATAAATACAAATTACTGGGAATAGCCATCTTGGATATCTACCCCACAGGTCCTTAAAATTCAAAACTGGTATGTATAAAATGCATCTCATTAACTTTCTGTGGGCCTCTATTCTTTCCATCTGAAATGTGCACAGAACCATTCAGTCCTCCAGGCTAGAAAGCTTGGTGCCCACTCTGACTGCTTCTTCCCTTCATGGTACATATCCAACTGGACACCAACAACTGTCACCTGTAGCTCTGAAACATTTCCCAACTCTATCTCACCCCCTATCCCCACTAGCATTTCTTAGCTCTGACTTCATGACCTTCTGCCTGGGTTCAATGTCTATGCAGTTTTGGTTTCCTAAAAGATACAGCTGACGTTCCTCAAGACACTTCACTACACAGGCTCAGTCTGCCCCCACTTCACTGCCAGCACCTTGTATTGGCCACCCTGACTGCCTGCTGTGCTTGGGACACTCCACACATGTTCACACTGCCAAGCTTCCCTCTCTGGCAAAGTTGTGTACAAATACTCTCTCTTCTGAGGAGGTCTTTAGAATTTCCCCTGGCAGAATTACTCCCCTCCCTCCCTTTTCTGTGCCCCCAGGTTATTACATCATATTACACATATCTCTTAAGCTAGAATGCATGCTTTGATGTAAGTAACAGTGTTTTTCAATCATCTTTCCATTCCCAAATGCCAGGCCGGGTACAGGTTGTATAGTAGGTGGATTCAATATTTGTTGAATTTGTTTCATGGGTAGCATAGGTTAGCCAAAACCCCTTTATTTCTAAAGCAAATATAGAACAATTTATACAATAGGTTATCATCTGTGTGGGGAAAAAAGTAAGGCTAAAAGTATATAGGATTGCTTAAAATATCTCTTGAAAGTTACACAAGAAACTGAAAACATGGGGGTAGCTGAGGAATAGGAAGGGCTGGAAGAAAATCCATATTGCTCCTAGCTTATATACTAATTTTTAAAAAGATAAGTTCACATCATCAACAACAAAAAAACTTCCTTTAGCTGTAGGTTACAAATTAACCTGTACTGCTTAATTTTTAAAAAGATAAATCTACATCAAAAAAACAAAAATAAAACTTATCTTCGCTAAAATGCAAAAGACAACCCTGAAATCAGCCTGTTTAAACAGCCCTTTTCTGCTATCTGCTACTATCACTGCATCCAATTAAATGCAGTTTCCACTCTGCTCCCCTTACAGGGGTCAGTTATAGGAAGTTAACGTGGTGTCAGCAAAAATGACGGAAAATAGATTAGCTAGATAAAATATAATAATTTTGGTGAAATTATTATACATGACTATTTGTATTATTATACACTATACAATAATACATTAGTAGTATACAAATACTATCTCCTCAAAGGAGACAGTATATGTATAAGACTGCCAGAGGAGGAAGCTTGGCAGCGTGAACGTGTGTGGAGTATCTCAGGCACAGCAAGCAGTCAGGGTGGCAGCATGAGGTGCAGGCAGTGAGGTAGAGGTAGAATGAGCCTGTGTAGTGAAGCGTCTTGAGGCACATCAGCTGTATAAGAATTATTTCTTTAAAAATCCTGTATTTATTCATTAATAACTTCCACACACAAATACACATATTGACAAGTAATAAGGCAAACAAAGAAGCTGTGATGCGTTAATACCTACCTCTATGTCCTCAGAAAGTATTCTCAGCCTAAGGGTTTCTTTCAGATCCAGAATATCCACTTCCTGCTTCTTGATCAACACTCTGCTCTCTTCTCTGTCAACCAAAGCAGAGTTGTATTTGCACTGTAGAAAAGAAAGTCATGCTATAAGAGCCATTTTATTTCCTGTTTCTAGATTAAAATAACAAGAATGAGTCTGGGTTCCAAGGTGATGACAAGATTAACACAAGATAATTCAATAAATACTTGCTGACTGAAGGAATAGAAGAATAAGTGCATGAATGGTGAAGAGAAATGGAAAAGTCCTCTAAGTATCAGTGAAAAAAACACAGGGTTTGTCATCTACTGCCTTCAGAAATAAACATGGAGTGCAGCAAGCTCCCTGTAGAGCAGAGGAGTGAGGAGGAGTGACAAAAGCCTTCGCCTCGACCCAGAGGAGAAAAGCATCAACACTGAACTCAGATACATGCTGACAAAATAAGTAGTTAACTTTAGGAAATGATATTATGTCCAATATTGCGGAAACGAACTCACTTTCTAATTAATGTCTCTGAACTTAACTGCAATGTGCTACTGTGTTACTTTTTCCTCAAAGCCACTAAAAAACACCACATTTGCCTTAACTGTTACGGCCAGCAACCAGCCTGTTTCTTATTCAGTTTATACCGGCATTCCCAAACAGTGCACAGAGAACATTGTCCCAGATCAGTGAAACCTGAGAAACACTGCAGCCTACATTGTCCCCCAGAGATACATACTACACACTTCCATAATGACTCTGCAAGTCCTACAAACACACAAACCTGTTGAGCTTTATTTAACTAGAATTTCCAAACTTATTTGACCACAGAATCTTTTTTCTGGTGGAGCATCTGTTAAACTCTTGAAAAGTCTGTGAAGTGTCCCATGCTCAAATTTAACATCTTGTTGGTGACCGAACTTACATTTATGTCCTTCAGTTCTTGTTTCAGGGTGTCTATAGTTTCTGTTTTCTCACAGACCGATGTTCTTAGCTCCTGGATC
Organism: Homo sapiens; assembly: GCF_000001405.40. NCBI lineage: Eukaryota > Metazoa > Chordata > Mammalia > Primates > Hominidae > Homo > Homo sapiens. The sequence goes on along the minus strand of NC_000003.12, from coordinate 44,829,996 downwards.
TGGTTCATGAGGTCAGCTACAACTTTCTGATGAGGACAGAAATAATATCTTCATACCCAATGACATTAAGGAGAAGAAAATTTTTAAATGGTAAATCACTTATCTTTCCTAATGGCAATATAAGTCAATTTTATTTTAGTAAAAGATCGTATGTCACATTAGTATCAATTTATATATATAATATATATACATATATTATATATGCATATATTATATATATACATCTATAATATATATACATCTATAATATATACATATATAATATATACATCTATAATATATATACATCTATAATATATATACATCTATAATATATATACATATATTATATATACATAATATATACATATATAATATATACATATATAATGTATATACATATATAATATATATGCATATATAATATATAATATATACATATATAATATATACATATATAATATATACATATATAATATATACATATTATATACATATAATATATATGCGTATATTATATATGCATATATTATATACACATATTATATACATATATATTATATATGCGTATATAATATATACATATATATTATATATACATATGTAATATATATACATACACACACACACACACACACACACATATATATATATATTTTTTGAGATGGAGTCTCGCTGTGTTGCCCAGGCTGGAGTGCAGTGGCGCGATCTCGGCTCACTGCAAGCTCCGCCTCCCGGGTTCACGCCATTCTCCTGCCTCAGCCTCTCGAGTAGCTGGGACTACAGGCACCTGCCACCATGCCCAGCTAATTTTTTGTATTTTTAGTAGAGATGGGGTTTCACCATGTTAGCCAGGATGGTCTCGATCTTCTGACCTCGTGATCCACCCGCCTCAGCCTCCCAAAGTGCTGGGATTACAGACATGAGCCACTGCGCCTGGCATCAATTTATATTTTAATGGCTTTATAATTTTTTTTTTTGAGACAGAGTTTCGCTCTTGTTGCCCACACTGGAGTGCAATGGTGTGATCTTGGCTCACTGCAACCTCCACCTCCCAGGTTCAAGCAATTCTCCTGCCTCAGCCTCCCGAGTAGCTAGGATTACAGGCATGTGCCACCACACCTGGCTAATTTTGTACTTTTAGTAGAGATGGGGTTTCTCCATGTTGGTCAGGCTGGTCTCGAACTCCTCACATCAGGTGATCCACCTGCCTTGGCCTCCCAAAGTGCTGGAATTACAGGCGTGAGCCACTGTGCCCAGTCTATAATATTTCATTTAATCATTTGTTTTGGTTTTATGAATGTATATGAGCTAGACATAGAAGAATTTTATACGTAATTTAAACTTGGACATACAGACTATTTTTATTATTTTAGTTAAAGTCAACACCAGGAATTTGAAAATTTGTATCATGGGACTTAGAGTCAACAAGAAAGGGTCACACTAATATCAGCATCCTAGTTAAAAGGGTAGGATGCGTTTTAGAAACACTGCCATCCAAAGTGACAGTAGTTTGTACTTGAAGTTACATGGCAAATTAAGTGGAAGACCTCATTCTCTAGGAACCTTGGAGGATGAACAAGGCTTAACTGCATATAGAAATATTCATATTATCTATTGGTCACCCTGGAGGTGCAAGAAGAGGTAGGAGAACAAAATGTTAAACTAGCATTTATAAGAAAATGCACAGAGAGATGTAGCTTCAAACTCTACCAACCTTATCAGAATCTCTAGACTTTTCCAGGGAACTGATCACTTTTTCAGTAGCAAGCAAGCTCTCTTCTAGTTTCTGTACTTTTGCCATCTATGGTGAAAAAGAAATATTTTTAGAAGAATAATTAAATCGCAAAGTTAACCATACACACAGATAAACAAGTTGAAAGCAGCTTTTCATATTATAGAGTCTATGCTAGGAGTAATACTTGAAAATGATAAATTGGGTTGAAAGACAGTGATTTTGTGCTGTCTACCAGGAGACTACCAACAAATTATTATTGTAACCCTCTGGGAGTTAGAAAAACAAGAGTCGAAAAACAATAGGCCAGGCACGGTGGCTCAGGCCTGTAATCTCAGCACTTTGGGAGGCCAAGGTGGGTGGATCACTTGAGCTCAGGAGTTCGATCCTGGGCAACATGGTGAAACCCCATCTCTATAAAAAATACAAAAATTTAGCCAGGCATAGTGGTGCATGCCCATAGTCCCAGCTACTCGAGAGGCTGAGGTGGGAAAATCACCTGAGCTTGGGAAGTCAAGGCTACAGTGAGCCATCACTGCGCCACTGCACTGCAGCCTGGGTGACAGAGTGAGAAACTATCTTAAAAAAAGAAGAAAAAAATAAAATTAAAAATAATAGAACCAGCCCCAAATTCCATTTCTTTCTTACTAATTTCCAACATCTGCAAGCTGAAATCATTATAATAAGCCTTTTAGGTATCAGGAATAAAAGTTATAAACTTCAAATACTAGAGTTAGAGTAACAGGAATTTTACCTGCTGCTCACACTTGGCCGTCTCTTTCTGTTTCTCCTGACGTACAGCCTCAAGAACTTTTAAGATTTCTCTGGAAGAGAATAATTATCTTTTACCCCTGACTTCACTCAATGAAAACAGGAACTGAATCTGTTAGTACAGAATAGATTAAGTGCAAATGAACTTTGTTAGGCACACCCTTGGTGTCAGGCATTACCTTCCGGGGGGATCAGAAATTTGAACCCATTTCTTCAAAAATTATTCAATGAGAACCCATTTTTGTGCCATGACTGTTTTTCCTCAGAGTGTTTAGTACTCCTAAATATAACATATATCATATAGTATTTGTTTATTACCTGTCTCCCTGTGCTAGAAGTTAAAATCCACGAGGACAGGGATGTTTTGTTCACTGTTTCAACTCTAAATGTTCTGGAATTCACCAGATCAGTGCCTGGCTTGTTGGATATCAATAAATGTTTGAATAAATGAGTAAATGTCAATTGCTTGTCTCTCAACTGGATGTAAGCTCTACGTTCACCACTGTATACCAGGGCCTAGAAGAAAAGCGACCTCATAGGAAGAACTCCATAAGTACCTACTGAATAAACAAATTCTTCTCATTAGAGTGACTCTCAGCCTAGTGACCGAGGCCCAAAGATTCACTGAGACTACTAAGGAGAGGAACCTGGAAAGAGGGAAGAAATATGGCAGCATTCCTGTTAGGGGACATTCCTGGTAGAAAAAGATTTGTAGACACAGAAATAAAAATCTGTCTCCTCCTTCCAATAATAAAAGGAAGAGTTAGAAGTCATCTTATTATATATTTGCTGTGATTTATTTACAGAAGGCCCTGAGTTCTGATTACCACCAATTGCTATTCATTTAAAAGTACTATAGCTAGTTGTTACATGTTTTGAAAAATTAAGTTTCTCCACATAGCCATTTATACAAAAGAACCTGCTGTTGCTTTTGGAATGCTTTAAAAAAATAACTCTTTACAGGGTATTGGCAATAAAAAAAAAACAAGATTAAGAATGTGGTATTAAACAATATTCTAGTATGCTAGTAGAAAAAATAAATAGCACTCACTTAGAACTGTTTTCTTTATCTTCTTCAAACTGTAATGATAATTTGTTATTGCGTTCTTTTTCTGCCTCAAGAAGCTCCATCAAATTCTAAAAGACAACATTAGATTTTAAGTAACTGTTACTAGCAATGCATAGTCAACGAACATGTCAAGTACCTTCTATGTGGCAGGCACTGTGGGCAAGTATAGCAAAGAAGGAGGAAAGGACAGTCCTTGTCCTACACTCAAAAGGACAGTCACAGATGCGGGACAAATTCACCCTTCTTAACATACATTCAGATCAGATTTCAGAGTTTCATTTTCTTTTTTGAAGTTTTGGAGGTTTCTTGAAAGTTGGTCAATCTCAAATTTCATTATTTCTTGTAAGTTGTCATAGGAATCCTGTAGGCAGGCTTTGCTCTCAAGCAGCTTTTCGTTTTCTAACCTTTATAAGGAAAACATTTTAAAAATGGTAAATAAACATTTAATGTATTTCTATTAATCAGATCATCTGCAGTTCAATTTATCTCATCTACAGCCCATTCCCAACTCACATAAGCCTCGAGTGATATAAGGCTCCTTATGGACCTGTGTGAAATGTCCATGATGCACAAACATGTGAGACACACTGGACCATAGAGTAGTTTGGTAGGAACAGAAAAGACAAGTGGGAGCATTAGCTTGCAAGCATCACTTCCTCATTCTTTCTCCATGGCTTCAACCAGACATGCTTAATGGATGAGCAATTTATAGTGATTAGACTCATTTAGGGGTTTCCAGACCTAATGCTCACGTAAGCCAGGCACTGGCTGTTAATTTCCAAGTTTTATTGATAGCTCAACTCCAACTATTCATACATCCTCTCAGCTCTAGGAACATTAAGATGACAATGTGAATTTGATTTGAGCAAGAAAGAAAATGTTTTTGGAAGATAATTACTGCTTTTTTTGGTTTTCATCCTCTTATTTCCCTCCTGAGTAAGCTGTAGCACCTCCAAGAATCCAGAGCTCAGCCAAGAACTACCACACAATCAATCTGACCTCTGGATCATCCAAAGCAGATGTCCTAGCTTATGTACAGAAGGTTATTATATATGGAATATCTGCTGTACTAACTCAAAGCAGAGCAGAAGCAGCAAATCATAAAGTGGTATAAATCAATTGCTAAAGACAGATACATGGGCAATAGATGGTAGGGAAGGGGAACATATTTATGTATTTATGGCATAAACTATATAGATATAGATATATAAAGTAGACAAAATAATTCAAGAAACACATGGCAGTGTCATGCTGTTTCATTCACAGGACTTAACAACCATTGAAGGCCACAGTGGAATATAAGCAGCCCAGTAAATGATGTACTTAAACTGGAGACACTGAGAAGGTTAAATTGTGTTCAGTGTATTTAAAAAGCTAGGAAGAGGCTGGGCACAGTGGCTCATGCCTCTAATCCCAGCACTTTGGGAAGCTGAGGTGGGTGGACTGCTTGAGCTCAGGGGTTTGAAAACAGCCTGGACAACATGGCGAAACTCTGTCTCTACAAAAAATACAAAAATTAGCTGGGTGCACTGGCATGTGCCTGTAGTCCCAGCTATGTGGGGAGCTGAGGTGGGAGGACAGCTTGAGCCCGGGATATTGAGGCTGCAGTAAGCCGTGTTTATGCCACTGTGCTCCAGCCTGGGTGACAAAGTGAGACACTGTCTCAAAAACAAACAAACAAACAAACCTAGGAAGTATTTAATGATGAAAATAGAATTTAAGTATGTAGCAAAATATAGTGGATTCTTAACATTTTTTGATGTAGTTCAACTCTGACATATAAACATTAGGAAATTAAGATCCCATGAGATTAGTGACTTCAAAACAAATTACACAAAATAGTTTGAGTTGAGGCCAAGATTATTAGATCCAGTGATTCAGAAGTTAAAACAAATGCTAAGGGTAAGAGAAGGCAACAGTGCACCTGTGATAAGTTATCAATAAATTACCTATTTTGTTTAACTAATTTGAGTTGGGTTATACCACTGCACTTCAAGTAGATTACAGGCCAATCAGACAACTAGATAAGTGGACTTGGTGCTGGGGAAATGGGACAGGGTGGTGGAGGCTGTGCTGACCCAGACAGCACATTCTGTCTCTAAAGAGAAAGGGGTGAATTTTGCAGCAACTGATGGCTGCCATGCAGGGATGTGGGCCTAGTGGTACCAAATAGTATGACTTTGCTAGAGAATGCTGAAATATAGATTTTTATAATAAAACACTCAATTTTTAAAATGCTATGTTCATTTATTTTTCTTTAGCCACTGGGCAGGCCTAAGAAAAATGTATGTGAATTAGGCAAGATGGCCAAACAGGAAGAGCTGCAGTCTGCAGCTCCCAGCGGGATCGATGCAGAAGATGGGTGATTTTTACATTTCCAACTGAGGTACCTGGTTCATCTCACTGGGACTGGTTGGACAGTGGGTGCAGACCACGGAGGGCAAGCTGAAGCAGGGTGGGCGTCGCCTCACCCAGGAAGCGCAAGGGGTCGGGGAATTTCCCTTTCCTAGCCAAGGGAAGCCATGACAGACTGTACCTGGAAAAATGGGACACTTCTGCCATAATACTGAGCTTTTCCAATGGTCTTATCAAATGGCATACCAGAAGATTATATCCCGCACCTAGCTCGGTGGGTCCCACGCCCACGGAGCCTCACTCACTGCTAGCACAGCAGTCTGAGATCGACCTGTGAGGCAGCAGCCTGGCAGGGGGAGGGCCATCCGCCATTGCTGAGGCTTGAGTAGGTAAACAAAGCGGCCTGGAAGCTTGAACTGGGTGGAGCCCACCACAGCTCAGCAAGGCCGGCTGCCTCTATAGATTCCACCTGTGGGGGCAGAGCATAGCTGAGCAAAAGGCAGCAGAAACCTCTGCAGACTTAAACATCCCTGTCTGATAGCTCTGAAGAGTACAGTGGTTCTCCCAACACGGTGTTTGAGCACTGAGAATGGACAGACTGCCTCCTCAAGTGGGTCCCTGACCTCTGTGTAGCCTAACTGGGATAAACCTCCCAGTAGGGGCCGACTGACACCTCATACAGGTGGGTGCCCCTCTGGGACGAAGCTTCCAGAGGAAGGATCAGGCAGCAATATTTGCTGTTCTGCAGCCTCCGCTGGTGATACCCAGGCAAACAGGGTCTGGAGTGAGCCTCCAGCAAACACCAACAGAGCTGCAGCTGAGGGACCTGACTGTTAGAAGGAAAACTAACAAACAGAAAGGAATAGCATCAACACCAACAAAAAGGGCATCCATACCAAAACCCCATCTGTCAGTCACCAATATCAAAGACCAAAGGTAGATAAAACCACAAAAATGGGGAGAAACCACAGGAGAAAAGCTGAAAATTCTAAAAACCAGAGCGCCTCTTCTCCTCCAAAGGATTGTAGCTCCTCACCAGCAATAGAACAAAGCTGGACGAGAATAACTTTGACGAGTTGACAGAAGTAGGCTTCAGAAGGTCGGTAATAACAAACTTCGACAAGCTAAAGGACCATGTTCAAACCCAATGCAAGGAAGCTAAAAACCTTGAAAAAAGATTAGACGAATGGCTAACTAGAATAAACAGTGTAGAGAAGACCTTAAATGAACTGATGGGGCTGAAAACCAGAGCATGAGAACTTCATGACACCTGCACAAGGCTTCAACAGTCGATTCGATCAAGTGGAAGAAAGGGTATCACTGAGTGAAGATCAAATCAATGAAATAAAGCGAGAAGAGAAGTTTAGAGAAAAAAGAGTAAAAAGAAATGAACAAAGCCTCCAAGAAACATGGGACTATGTGAAAAGACCAAATCTACATTTGATTGGTGTACCTGAAAGTGATGGGGATAATGGAACCAAGTTGGAAAACACTCTTCAGGATATTATCCAGGAGAACTTCCCCAACCTAGCAAGGCAGGCCAACATTCAAATTCAGGAAAAACAGAGAATACCACAAATATACTCCTCGAGAAGAGCAACCCCAAGACACATAATTGTCAGATTCACCAAGGTTGAAATGAAGGAAAAAATGTTAAGGGCAGCCAGAGTGAAAGGTCGGGTTACCCACAAAGGGAAGCCCATCAGACTAACAGCGGATCTCTCAGCAGAAACTCTACAAGCCAGAAGAGAGTGGGGGGCAATATTCAACATTCTTAAATAAAGAATTTTCAACCCAGAATTTCATATCCAGCCAAACTAAGATTCATAAGTGAAGGAGAAATAAAATCCTTTACAGACAAGCAAATGCTGAGAGATTTTGTCACCATCAGGCCTGACTTACAAGAGCTCCTAAAGAAAGCACTAAAAATGGAAAGGAACAACCAGTACCAGCCACTGCAAAAACATGCCAAATTGTAAAGACCATCGACGCTAGGAAGAAACTGCATCGGTACTGCTGACATCTCAGCTCACTGCAACCTCCCTGCCTGATTCTCCTGCCTCAGCTTGCCGAGTGCCTGCAATTGCAGGCACGCACCGCCACGCCTGACTGGTTTTCGTATTTTTTTGGTGGAGACGGGGTTTCGCTGTGTTGGCCGGGCTGGTCTCCAGCTCCTAACCGCGAGTGATCCGCCAGCCTCGGCCTCCCGAGGTGCCGGGATTGCAGACGGAGTCTGGTTCACTCAATGCTCAATGTTGCCCAGGCTGGAGTGCAGTGGCGTGATCTCAGCTCGCTACAACCTCCACCTCCCAGCCGCCTGCCTTGGCCTCCCAAAGTGCCGAGACTGCAGCCTCTGCCCAGCCGCCACCCTGTCTGGGAAGTGAGGAGCGTCTCTGCCTGGCCGCCCATCATCTGGGACGTGAGGAGCCCCTCTGCCTGGCTGCCCAGTCTGGAAAGTGAGGAGCGCCTCTTCCCAGCCGCCATCCCATCTAGGAAGTGAGGAGCGCCTCTTCCCGGCCGCCATCCCATCTAGGAAGTGAGGAGCGTCTCTGCCCGGCCACTCATCGTCTGAGATGTGGGGAGCGCCTCTGCCCCGCCGCCCCGTCTGGGATGTGAGGAGTGCCTCTACCCGGCCGCAACCCCGTCTGGGAGGAGAGGAGCGTCTCTGCCCGACCGCCCCGTCTGAGAAGTGAGGAGCCCCTCCGCCCGGAAGCCGCCCCGTCTGAGAAGTGAGGAGCGTCACCGCCCCGCAGCCACCCCGTCCAGGAAGGAGGTGGGGGTCACCCACCGCCAGGCCAGCCGCCCCGTCCAGGAGGGAGGTGGGGGGGTCAGCCCTCCGCCCGGCCAGCCGCCCCGTCCGGGAGGTGAGGGGCGCCTCTGCCCAGCCGCCCCTACTGGGAAGTGAGGAGCCCCTCTGCCCGGCCAGCTGCCCCGTCCGGGAGGGAGGTGGGGGGGTCAGCCCCCCGCCCGGCCAGCCGCCCGGTCCGGGAGGGAGGTGGGGGGGGTCAGCCCGCCACCCGGCCTGCCGCCCCATCCGGGAGGGAGGTGGGGGGGTCAGCCCCCCCGCCCGGCCAGCCGCCCCGTCCGGGAGGGAGGTGGGGGGGTCAGCCCCCTGCCCGGCCAGCCACCCCGTCCGGGAGGTGAGGGGCGCCTCTGCCCGGCCGCCCCTACTGGGAGGTGAGGAGCCCCTCTGCCCGGCCACCACCCCGTCTGGGAGGTGTGCCCGGCAGCTCATTGAGAACGGGCCATGATGACAATGGCGGTTTTGTGGAGTAGAAAGTGGGGAGAGGTGGGGAAAAGAGTGAGAAATCGGATGGTTGCCGTGTTTGTGTAGTAGGAGGTAGACATGGGAGACTTTTCATTTTGTTCTGTACTAAGAAAAATTCTTCTGCCTTGGGATCTTGTTGATCTGTGACCTTACCCCCAACCCTGTGCTCTCTGAAACATGTGCTGTGTCCACTCAGGGTTAAATGGATTAAGGGCGGTGCAAGATGTGCTTTGTTAAACAGATGCTTGAAGGCAGCATGCTCGTTAAGAGTCATCACCACTCCCTAATCTCAAGTACCCAGGGACACAAACACTGCGGAAGGCCGCAGGGTCCTCCGCCTAGGAAAACCAGAGACCTTTGTTCACTTGTTTATCTGCTGACCTTCCCTCCACTATTGTCCTGTGACCCTGCCAAATCCCCCTCTGTGAGAAACACCCAAGAATGATCAATAAAAAATAAATAAAAGTTTAAAAAAAAAAAAGGAAAAAAAAAAGAAACTGCATCAACTAACGAGCAAAATAACCAGCTAACATCATAATGACAGGATCAAATTCACACATAACAATATTAACCTTAAATGTAAATGGGCTAAATGCCCCAATTAAAAGACACCAACTGGCAAATTGGATAGTCAAGACCCATTGGTGTGCTGTATTCAGGAGACCCATCTTACGTGCAGAGACACACATAGGTTCAAAATAAAGGGATGGAGGAAGATCTACCAAGCAAATGGAAAGCAAAAAAAACCAGCGATTGCAATCCTAGTCTCTGATAAAACAGACTTTAAACCAACAAAGATCAAAAGAGACAAAGAAGGCCATTACATAATGATAAAGGGATCAATTCAACAAAAAGAGCTAACTATCCTAAATATATATGCACCCAATACAGGAGCACCCAGATTCATAAAGCAAGTCCTGAGTGACCTACAAAGAGACTTAGACTCCCACACAATAATAATGGGAGACTTTAACACCCCACTGTCAATATTAGACAGATGAATGAGACAGAAGGTTAACAAGGGTATCCAGGACTTGAACTCAGCTCTGGACCAAGCGGACCTAATAGACATCTACAGAACTCTCCACCCCAAATCAACAGAATATACATTCTTCTCAGCACCACATCGCACTTATTCCAAAATTGACCACATAGTTAAAAGTAAAGCACTCCTCAGCAAATGTAAAAAAAACAGAAATCACAACAAACTGTCTCTTAGACCACAGTGCAATAAATTAGATCTCAGGATTAAGAGACTCACTCAAAACTGCACCACTACATGGAAACTGAACAACTTGCTCCTGAATGACTACTGGGTAAATAACGAAATGAAGGCAGAAATAAAGATGTTCTTTGAAATCAATGAGAACAAAGATACAATGTACCAGAATCTCTGGGACACATTCAAAGCAGTGTGTAGAGGGAAATTCATAGCACTAAATGCCCACAGGAGAAAGCAGGAAAGATCTAAAATCGACACCCTAACATCACAATTAAAAGAACTAGAGAAGCAAGAGCAAACAAATTCAAAAGCTAGCAGAAGGCAGGAAATAACTAAGATCAGAGCAGAACTGAAGGAGATAGAGACATAAAAAACCCTTCAGAAAATTAATGAATCCAGGAGCTGGTTTTTTGAAAAGATCAACAAAATTGATAAGACTGCTAGCAAGACTAATAAAGAAGAAAAGAGAGAAGAATCAAATAGATGCAATAAAAAATGATAAAGGGGATATCACCACCTATCCCACAGAAATACAAACTACCATCAGAGAATACTATAAACACCTCTACGCAAATAAACTAGAAAATCTAGAAGAAATGGATGAATTCCTGGACACATACACCCTCCCAAGACTAAACCAGGAAGAAGCTGAATCTCTGAATACACCAATAACAGGCTCTGAAATTGAGGCCATAATTAATAGCCTAGCAACCAAAAAAAGTCTAGGACCAGACGGATTCACAGCCAAATTCTATCAGAGGTACAAAGAGGAGCTGGTACCATCCCTTCTGAAACTATTCCAATCAATAGAAAAAGAGGGAATACTCCCTAACTCATTTTATGAGGCCAGCATCATCCTGATACCAAAGCCTGGCAGAGACACAACAAAAAAAGAGAATTTTAGATCAATATTTCTGATGAACATCGATGCAAAAATCCTCAATAAAATACTGGCAAAGTGAATCCAGCAGCACATCAAAAAGCTTATCCACCACAATAAAGTCGGCTGTATCTATGGCATGCAAGGCTGCTTCAACATACGCAAATCAATAAATGCAATCCATCACATAAACAGAACCAATGACAAAAACCACATGATTATCTCAATAGATGCAGAAAAGGCCTTCGACAAAATTCAACAGCACTTCATGCTAAAAACTCTCAATAAACTAGATATTGATGGAACGTATCTCAAAATAATAAGAGCTATTTATGACAAACCCACAGCCAATATCATACTGAATGGACAAAAACTGGAAGCATTCCCTTTGAAAACTGGCACAAGACAGGGATGCCCTCTCTTACCACTCCTCTTCAATATAGTGTTGGAAGTTCTGGCCAGGGCAATCAGGCAAGAGAAAGAAATAAAGTGTATTCAATTAGGAAAAGGGGAAGTCAAATTGTCCCTGTTTGCAGATGACATGATTGTATATTTAGAAAACCCCATCATCTCAGCCCAAAATCTCCTTAAGCTGATAAGCAACTTCAGCAAAGTCTCAGGATAGAAAATCAATGTGCAAAAATCACAAGCATTCCTATGTACCAATAACAGACAAACGGAGAGCCAAATTATGAGTGAACTCCCATTCACAGCTGCTACAAAGAGAATAAAATACCTAGGAATCCAACTTACAAGGGATGTGAAGGACCTCTTCAAGGAGAACTACAAACCACTGCTCAACGAAATAAAAGAGGACACAAACAAATGGAAGAACATTCCATGCTCATGGGTAGGAAGAATCAATATTGTGAAAATGGCCATACTGCCCAAGATAATTTTATAGATTCAATGCCATCCCCATCAAGCTATCAATGACTTTCTTCACAGAATTGGAAAAAACTACTTTAAAGTTCATATGTAACCAAAAAAGAGCCCGCATTGCCAAGACAATCCTAAGCCAAAAGAACAAAGTTGGAGGCATCACGCTACCTGACTTCAAACTATACTACAAGGCTACAGTAACCAAAACAGCATGGTACTGGTACCAAAACAGAGATATAGACCAACGGAACAGAACATAGGTCTCAGAAATAATACCACACATCTACAACCATCTGATCTTTGACAAACCTGAGAAAAACAAGAAATGGGGAAAGGGTTTCCTGTTTAATAAATGGTGCTGGGAAAACTGGCTAGCCATATGTAGAAAGCTGAAACTGGATCCCTTCCTTACACTTTATACAAAAATTAATTCAAGATGGATTAAAGACTTAAATGTTGGACCTAAAACCATAAAAACCCTAGAAGAAAACCTAGGCAATACCATTCAAGACATACGCATGGGCAAAGACTTCATGAGTAAAACACCAAAAGCAATGGCAACAAAAGACAAAATAGACAAATGGGATCTAATTAAACTAAAGAGCCTCTGCACAGCAAAAGAAATGACCATCAGAGTGAACAGGCAACCTACAGAATGGGAGAAAATTTTTGCAATCTACCCATCTGACAAAGGGCTAATATCCAGAATCTACAAAGAACTTAAACAAATTTACAAGAAAAAAACAAACAACCTCATCAAAAAGTGGGCAAAGGATATGAACAGACACTTCTCAAAAAAAAAACATTTATGCAGCCAAGAGACACATGAAAAAAATGCTCATCATCACTGGTCATCAGATAAATGCAAATCAAAACCACAATGAGACACCATCTCACACCAGTTAGAATGGCAATCATTAAAGTCAGGGAACAAAAGATGCTGGAGAGGATGTGGAGAAATAGGAACACTTTTACGCTGTTGGTGAGAGCGTAAATTAGTTAAACCATTGTGGAAGACAGTGTGGCAATCCCTCAAGGATCTAGAACTAGAAATACCATTTGAGCCACCGATCCCATTACTGGGTATATACCCAAAGGATTATAAATCATGCTACTATAAAGACACATGCACACATATGTTTATTGTGGCACTATTCACAATAGCAAAGACTTGGAACCAACCCAAATGTCCATCAATGATAGACTAGATTAAGAAAATGTGGCACATATACACATGGAATACTATGCAGCCATAAAAAAGGATGAGTTCATGTCCTTTGCAGGGACATGGATGAAGCTGGAAACCATCATTCTCAGCAAACTATCACAAGGACAGAACACCAAACACCTCATGTTCTCACTCATAGGTGGGAACTGAACAATGAGAACACGTGGACACAGGGCGGGGAACATCACACTGGGGCCTGTCAAGGGGTGGGGGGCTGGGGGAGGAATAGCATTAGGAGGAATACCTAATGTAAATGATGAGTTAATGGGTACAGCAAAGCAACATGGCACATGTATACCTATGTAACAAACCTGCACGTTGTGCACATGTACCCTAGAAATTAAAGTAAAATTTAAAAAAATTTTAAAAAAAGGAGAAGCAGCAGCAGCAGATAAATATGGGATTTTGCCTAAAACTCAAGCTATTCAACATTCAGTGAGATAGAGATATGGCAAGGAAAGGTTACAAATGTCATCACTTTCTCTTTTATGAAACTATTGTCAGTATTTCATTAGTAATAATTATGCATTTTTTTCATTTTACAAATAGAAATGAATCTTTAAAAAAAAAAGAAAAATGTATGTATAGGTGGCTCTGGCCTGCAGATCTCAAGTTTTCTTCCTCTCTTTCAATTTCTGGTTGTATATCCAAAAAACACTCAACAGCTACAGATTTTAATCTTTGTAACATCTACAAAAATTAAACTCAAGGCTGCCTACTAGTAGCTTTTCCAGAGCAAACAGTTACATTCACATCACATTCACAGTGTAACATTCATGTCCATTATTAAATTATGGCTTATAGACACAGGAGACATTATCAAAAAGTGTTATGTTATACAAAAGGTTGAAATTAGCAAGAAGAAAAAAAGAAACAGTAAATAACAAAGAATAAACTATTTAGATGTGAGATTACATTTGTTTCAAGATATCAGCACTTGACTAATCAGCCAGCCTTTGTAGAGTTAGTGTGCACAGCAGTGAAGACTATTGTTTTGGTTTACCTTATACTGACTGTCCTTTCTTCTAGTAAGAGCACACCTTTCCCTCCAGAGCAGGCACATTACTCTATGTCAGGCCAGTGCCATCTCAAACCTGGTAAAGTGACTGGTCCAAAGGTGAGCAGATGACTCAAGCAAAACCAATTCAGATTTTCTCTGGGATAATACATGGCTATTGGGAGAGAGAATTTCTTTACAGGGGTTTTTATCCTGGGAACCAAAATATGGAGCTGTGTGAGGCAATCTGTTCCTTGTCACATAGAAGAAGGACCTCAGTAATAGGAGGGAATAAGAGCAACACATAGAACTGAGCATAGCTGAGAGAGATAGAACACTGACAATATTGCTTGAGACTCAGACTAGTTTGTTCCTGAAACCAAAATCACCTCTGGGGCTTCCAATATTGGAGCCAATAAATTATCTTTTTTATTTGTCTAACTGCTTTGAGTTGAGTTTATAACACTTCCAACTTCAAACAGTCGTAGGTTACAGCCAATCAGGCAACTTGAAACCATAAAAGAACAACTCTACCTGAGATTATCTAATTGAAGCTGTACATGCATGTGTCTTTCGGAAAGTTTGTTGAATTCTTTCTCCTGATTCGTTTTGAATGAACTATATTCCAATTTCACTGAAGAAAGCTCCTTGTCAGCAGAATGAAGGACTACTCGCAGGTCATGTACCTCACTTTTCAAAACTAAAAAACAAAGAAAACATATCCTCAGTAGGTTTCTTAAAGCAGACAAATAAATCTGATAGGTACTAGTCCCACAATTAGCAAAATCAAGTCGAAGAGACTATTTTAAGGAAAAATGTTAAAGAATTAAGTGGCGGGTACCTAGCAGCACTGAGATTTCTATTTTCTTCCTCTCCCTTGCACATGGTTTTTCGTAAATTTCTACTGAAATAGAAAGCATTAACATCTGTCCCTGACTTACAGGTCACTTGACTTTGCTAGATTTCTCCTGTAAAATGTGCTTCAAAACTCCTAATATAAGGGCAGACACAGTGGCTTATGCCTATAATCCCAGTACTTTGTGAGGCTGAGGCAGGCGAAATGCTTGAGGTCAGGAGTTCGAGACCAGACTGAGCAACATGGCAAAACCCTGTCTCTACCAAAAATACAAAAAATTAGCTGGCTGTGGTGGTGAGCACCTGTGGTCCCATCTACTCAGGAGGCTGAGGTGGGAGGATCGCTTGAGCCTGGGAGTTGGAGGTTACAGTGAGCCGAGATTGCACCCACTGCACTCCAGCCTGGGTGACAAAGTGAGACTCTGTCTCAAAACAAACAAACAAACAAAACTCTTAATATAAGAAAAAAAAATTAAAAGATGTAACATATTTTGAGTGAGCTCATCTTAGTTATTGAAAATCCCTTGGAAATTTGCCTAAACTTTCCAACATGGGTTAACTACTTCAGGTCTTCTAAGACAACTACAACTGCAAATAGTATTAGTTAACTTTTTAGTTCAAAGAAAATAGAATGGCTATCTCTTTTTGTTTTAGCTTTATTACAAACCACTGCAAATACTTTAATGAAGGGAAAAATAAAGTGAAAAAATTGGGAATCAAATGATATTCCCACATCTACAAACATATACAAATATATAACCTACGCTTTGTTAATATTAAAACATTCATGAATTCAAGACACTTCATTTTCAAAGCAGCTTATCTAAAACTTTAAGCAGGCTGGGCACAGTGGCTCACGCCTGTAATCCCAGCACTTTGGGAGGCCGAGGTGGGTGGATCACCTGAGGTCAGGAGTTCATGACCAGCCTGGCCAACATGGCGAAACCGTGTCTCTCCTAAAATTAGCCGGGCTTGGTGGTGCACGCCTATAATCCCAGCTACTTGGGAGGAGACAGGAGAACTGCTTGAACCCAGGAGCTGGAGGTTGCAGTGAGCCGCCGAGATCCCGCCACTGCGCTCCAGCCTGGGTGACAAAGCAAGACTCCACCTCAAAAAAAAAAAAAACAAAACAAACAAAACAAAAAAAAAATGACCAAAGAAAAAAAAAATTAGCCAGGCATGGTAATGCACTCCTGTAATCCCAGCTACTACTCAGGAGGCTGAGGTGGGGAATCGCTTGAACTCGGGAGGTGGAGGTTGCAGTGAGCCAAGATCATGCCACTGGACTCCTGCCTGGGTGACAAAGCGAGAGTCTGTGTCAAAAACAAACAAACAACAAAAAACTTTAAGCAAACATTTGTATCATTTGTTTGTGGGCAATGATAGAGAAATTTACCTTTTATGATATATTACTGTTACTTACCACTGCATGCAAACTGCAGTCTGGTTATCAAACAAACAACAACAACAAAGCAACCATCCAAAAACATAGGAACAGCATTTATTAATAAAAGTAAAAAGATATTGAGTTACAGTATTCCTTCAAGTCACAAAGCTCCTGATAGAATAACTTACAGTCATTTTTAGTTTGAGTCTCTTGAAGCTGCTTTTCAAGGACATTCAACTGTGAGAGAAGCTCTTCCTGCTGTTTGGTCCAATCAATTCTTTCTGATGAGAAAAGCTTTGGGAAAAAAGATAAATTTACTGGAAAAGGAATACTGGCATGCTAAGATGCACTCCAAATCATTAACCTGTTTCTTTTTTTTTTTTTGAGACAGAGTCTTGCTCTGTCACCCAGGCTGGAGTGCAGTGATGCGACCTCGGCTCACTTCAACCTCCGCCTCCTGGGTTCAAGTGATTCTCCTGCCTCAGCCTCCTGAGTAGCTGTGACTACAGACCCACGCCACCACGTCCAGCTAAGTTTTGTATTTTTAGTAGAGACGGGGTTTCGCCACCTTGGCCAGGCTGGTCTTGATCTCTTGACCTCAGACGATCCACCTGCCTTGGCTTCCCAAAGTGCTGGGATTACAGGTGTTAGCCACTGTGCCTGGCCCCATTAACCTGTCCCTGTTTTTAAAGTCTAGCTTTAACGTCTCTGACCAGAAGAAAATTGGCTGTCCCCATGAACTACAGTAAAGATGATTAACAACTATGAAGCCATGGACAGTCCATCTTGGTTTCTTCTAAACACATAGCAAGGGATCCATTTGCATTATTGACTAAGTCAGCCAGGTTTAGACTATGCATGCCTGTCTCATTATCAGAGCAGCATGCTAAGTAACAAGGTAGAGAATACAGCTCAAATAAGCCTTCACTAAGGCCATGTGACAACATTTTCTTTCTGTGATACTCTCTGAATATGTTTCATGCATACTCAAGGATGTTTGAGGATCCTTGAGGATGTTTCCTCAAGGTAACATTTGAGGGTACTTCATACATTTTCTGAGGCTGTGCTCTTGGTCTCACCTCCTGCATTTGGGTAGAATGATGTTCCAGTTTGTCAACATGCTGCTGAAGCTTTAGGTTTTTATGCTCTTCTTCATCCAGTTTGGCTTGAAGAGCACTCATTTGTTCCTGCAACACAAAAACTTCAGTCATCAAAATTTATTTTAATGGAATTCTCAAACATTCCACCATTTCGTCTGCATTAAAGAGACAACAAAACAAAACAAAACAAATTCAAAACCTCATATGAACAAAGGTATCAAAGGCCTGTTTGGAGCCAGAAAACATCATCAAAAGGTTATATACTAAATGATTGCTAATGTTTCAGATTTACACTTGTGGTCCATTAAAGTAGACACTTTGAAATACAAAGGAAAGAAGTGATTAAAATTAAAATCCTGGATTACATGACAGAGCCATCTTGAGACTTCTAAGAAGCTTCCTCAGGGCTGCAAGCGGTTACCTCCATGGCCTGGAAAGGACAAAATACTGGGGTTTGGGGTGGTCTGGCCCACTCCAACTTTTACTGGACAGTAGAAAACCTTTTTAAAAAATTAACAAACCATAAAAATTCTGGAATAATCAAATTTCACATTATTTCAAATATATTAAAAACTGTCTAAAATTTGATCTATAATAAGATTCTTTTAACTTTCTTTTTTTTTGAGACAGAGTTTCACTCTTGTTGCCCAGGCTAGAGTGCAGTGGCGCGATCTCGGCTCACTGCAACCTCCGCCTCCCGGGTTCAAGCAATTCTCCTGCCTCAGCCTCCCGAGTAGCTGGGATTACAGGCATGTACCACCACACCCGGCTAATTTTGTCTATTTAGTAGAGACGGGGTTTCACCATGTTGGTCAGGCTAGTCTCAAACTCTTGATCTCACGTGATATGCCTGCCTCAGCCTCCCAAAGTGCTGGGATTACAGGCGTGAGCCACCGCACCCGGCCTCTTTTAACTTTTTTTAGCAGATACAGCACTTTGCTATATAAACCAGTTCTGGAACTTGGAGCTAGTGGCCAACTGGTCATTTTATACACTAAGGAACAAAAACCCATGGAGAATGACTTGCTAAAGATTGTAAAGTAGAGACAAAAAGCAAGAGTGGGCTGATTTCCAATCTAGGAATGATTATAAACCCACACTTAAAAAGATATGATTTTAATACTAAGCACTTTTGAACACTGTAACTTATAGGGAATTAAAATAACAAAGCAAATGTATTTAAATGGATGTCCAGTTATTTATTTTTTCTAGAACAAAACATTACCTGCACTGTTCTAAGCTCTTCAGAAATGGCCTCAAAAGCTTGTTCATTCATCTCAGGAGGAACTGGCTCATTTAATATATCATTATCTAATATGCTAGAATTCTGAGTGTATAGAGAGCCAAAGCTTCCCATTTCAGGGCTTAATTTTGGTACTGGTCGGGAATGAAGTTGGTAGGCCTTGGTTGGTGTAGTTATAATCTGCAGCAAAAAATGATTATGGAAAACATTAGCACATATTTAAAAAGGGCATATTTAATAATTTTGTGAATAGAGAGGATAAAATTGAAATACTATTCATGAAAAGAAAGGAAAAAGTACCCTTGAGACACAGTACAAAAATGCCCAAGTGGAAATAAATTTATCAATTCAATGCAGTCCCAAGCAAAATTCTAATACAATTTTTAAAAATAAACTTAATGAGCTGATATCTATTTTCATACAAAGAATAAATGTACAAGAAGAGACAAGACAATTAAAAAGAACAAGCCAGGCATGGTGGTTCATGGCTATAATCCCAACACCGTGGGAGGCTGAGAAGGGGAGGATCACTTGAGGCCAGGAGTCCAAGACCAGGCTGGGCAACATAGTGAGATCCTGTCTCTACCAAAAAAAAAAATCATTTTAATTAGCTGGGCATGGTGTCCCAGGCCTGTAGTCCCAGCTACTTGGGAAGCTGAGGCAGGAGGATCCCCAGAGCCCAGGTGTTCTAGGTTGCAGTGAGCTATTATCACACCATTGCACTCCAGCCTGAGTGACAGACTGAGACCCTGTCTCTCAAAAAAATAAAAATAAAAAGAACAAATTAGGAAGACTTCCCCATCTGATATAAAAATACATAGGGGTATGGGAGTATGGTCATTAAAATAGTACATTACATTACAGTACATTATATTAAAACAGTACATTAGCTTATGTACATTCAAATAGAACACTGGGAGGAAATACAAAGTCCAGAAATAGAATTATTATTATTTTTTGAGACACAGTCTTGTTCTGTTGCCCAGGCTGGAGTGCAGTGGTGTAATCTTGGCTCACCACAACCTCTGCCTCCCAGGTTCAAGCAATTCTCCTGCCTCAGCCTCCCAAGTAGCTGGGACTACAGGCACACACCACCATGCCTGGTTAATTTTTGTAGTTTTAGTAGAGATGGGGTTTCACCATGTTGGCCAGGCTGGTCTCCAACTCCTGGCCTCAAGTGATCTGCCCGCTTTGGCCTCCCAAAGTGCTAGAATTACAGGCGTGAGACACCACACCCCGCCCAGAAATAGAATAATCTTTCTGTGGAAATTTTAGGTATCAGGAGTAGTTGAGACCAAAGGTGCACACCACCATGCTTGGCTAATTTAAATTTTTTTTTTTTTTGCAGAGGTAGGGTCTTACTATGTTGCCCAAGCTGGTCTTGAACTCCTAGATTCAAGCAATCCTCCTGCTTCTGCCTCCCCAAGTGTTAAGATTACAGGTGTGAGCCACTATGCCTAGCTGTATTACTTTTTTTAAGTTAAATCCCTTTCTCATACCATTCAAAAGAAAAACAGTGGATACACAAACACCTCAATGTAAAGCAAAATTAAAGGCAAAAAAGTCATAAAGATAAAAGGTCAATAAACCTGGCTACATCAAAAATATAAAACTTCTATATAACAAAAGCATCACATGCAAAGATGAAAGACAAGCAACATGATGGAGGAATATATTGGCAGTACACCTAACAAACAAATGCTTATTACATAAAAACAAAATCTGAAGAAAAATATAAAAAAACAATAGTTTTTCTTTTCAGGGAATAGGATATACAAATGGACATGAACATATGAAAAGATATTTGAAATTAGAGAAATGAGAATTAAAACCTTAACAACAAGATCTCATTTTTTACCCATCAGATGGTCAAACATTAACAAGCATGACAATCCCAGTTCCTGCGGACAGTGCTGGGAAAGGAGTGCATCTATGCATCTATGCTGCGGGAACAGGGCACTAGGAGGGAGCTTCAGCTTGACTCACTCAAATGCTAAGACATCCTAAAATGACCACTTCTCCTTTAACGGAATCCACCCCCAGAGAATGCACGCACTGGAAACCATCTACTTAAGCCATAGAAACCTAGGGTTAAAATGAGGTAGGTACCAGTTAATATGGAAAGATCCAAGGCATATCCCCCAAGGGGATATCCCTCATGGTGCTTCAAGCTCTATAATTCAAGCTCTATAATTCTTCTGTCCCTCAAAGGAGATGCCTTGGATCTTTCCACATTAACTGGTATGAGGCTCATAACCCTTGAGCCTCACGTTAACTGGTATGAGGCTCATATTCCTTGAGCCTCACATCCAAATGAGGCTCTAGGTACCAGTTAATGTGGAAAGATCTAAGGCATATCCCTGAGTTAACAAAAGCATATTGTGGAATAACACATGAAGAATGACCGTTTTTTTTTAAAAAAAAAAAAAAAAGCAAAACAATACACAATCTAGGAAACAACTCTATGTGTTTTCTCAGTCTGTATATATTAACAGTACAAAAATGCTAAGAAAAAGGATTAAACTACCTCCAGGGATTGTGGGGACAAAGGATTATATTAGATCCAGATTGGAAGTGATGCTGAAAAGGAATTTTAACTTTAACTTGAAATATGTGTCTTTCTTTTAAACAAAGAGAATGTATTCATATAGTAGTTGTCCAACTAAAACAACAACAAAGACTCTGAATTGCTATGCCCCTCCTGGCAAACCTAATCCTCTGAGTCCTGTTTGCTCAGTCATAAAAGGAAGAAGTAGGACGAGAATGCCGTGGTGCTTCAAGCTCTATAATTCCATTGTGCTAAGGGGCTACAGACACAGAATTATAAAACATTTGGCAGTATTCTGCAAGTATTTTTCAATAATTTCTTACAAAAACTTCAAAGACCACCTTTTTTAAAAAGCAACAGTAAAAAAAAATTCTGGTCAGGCATGGTGGCTCACACCTGTAATCCTAGTGCTCTGGGAGGCTGAGGCTCCAGGAGGATCACTTGAAGCCAGGAGTTCAAGGCTGCAGTGAGCCATGATCATGCCACTGCACTCCAGCCTGAGTGACAGAGCAAGACTCTGTCTCTAAAAAACAAAACCAAAAATAAATAAATAAAATAAATCAAAATTTAAAAATAATTTTTAAATTTCTACCTGTATAGGAAAAAACCCAGCATTTTCCAGGTTGAATAAATCATTATATATCCACATAACATTCTTGAGCTGCTGCCAAAACAAATAAAAAATCAAAACAGAAACAAAAAGGGGGAGAACATTTTTTCCCCTGCAGACATGGGACAAACTCTAAAATATTGCTTTAAAACACACACACACACACACACACCCTCAAGCTGTAGAATGATGTGTATGTTATGCCACCATTTGTGTAAAGTGAGAAAATACTTGGTGACATTGATTGACTTGGTGACACTGATTGCCTCCAGTTCTTGGTTGGCTGGAAGAACAACAGAAGGAAAGAGATTTGCTACTAAATGCCTTTGAAAATTTCAGTCACAGGCTGGGCGCGGTGGCTCACACCTATAATCCCAGCACTTTGGGAGGCGAGACGGGCGGATCACCTGAGGTCAGGAGTTCGAGACTAGCCTGGCCAACATGGTGAAACCTCGTCTCTACTAAAAATACAAAAATCAGCTGGGTGTTGGGGCAGGCGCCTGGAATCCCAACTACTCGGGAGGCAGAGGCAGGAGAATCGCTTGAACCCAGGAAGCAGAGGTTGCAGTGAGCCAAGATCGTGCCACTGCACTCCAACCTGGGCAACAAGAGCAAAACTCCGTCTCAAAAAAAAAAGAAAAGAAAGGAAATTTCAGTCACATAAATTACCTATTCAAATGAATACAAGTAGTCTTCCATTAAGTGACACAAAAAGCACCACTACTAAAAATAATCATTATAAATAAACATCTATTTATATTCTAAGACATATAAGGAAAGGTTTTCGGTCTTCTCTATTTCTTTCTTTTATTGAAAAGAACTTGAGGCCAGCGCAGTGGCTCTTGCCTGTAATCCTAGCACTTTGGGAGGCCGAGGCAGGCAGATCACGAGGTCATGAGTTCGAGACCAGCCTGGCCAACATGGCGAAACCCCATCTCTACTGAAAATACAAAAATTATCCGGGCATGGTGGCAGGCGCCTGTAATCCCAGCTACTCGGGAGGCTGAGGCAGGAGAATCGCTTGAACCTGGGAGGCGGAGGTTGCAGTGAGCTGAGATTGCACCACTGCACTCCAGCCTGGCCGACAGAGCAAGACTCTGTCTTAAAAAAAAGAAAAGAAAAGAAAAGAACTTGAATTCAAGCTGGACTTGAATTCCTGGGCTCAAGCAATCCTCTTGCCTCAACCTCCCAAACAGCCGGGACTACAGGCCTGCACCACCACACCCAGCTAAGGAAAAAATTTTTTAACCTTCAAAAAATTGGATACAAAAGCTGAAATCAGTATCACCTCCTCAACCTTTTGTTTTCCTTGTGTACTTCCTTTCTCTCTCCTCATTCTCAGTTGTTCACACATTTTTTTTTCTTTTATGAGGGATGTGGTTATTTAGGACAAAACCCTCTCATGTTATTTCCAGTGGCACCTGTGATCCCTTAGCGGTCTTTGCCCATTAGGGTTTCTATTCTACTGAAAACTTTGAGGACATGTTATATTGTAGTAATAGCTGCCATTTTACTGATATCTACAAGGTACCAGGCAGCTTATCTATCTCATTTAGTACTCTAAAACTCTGCAAGTAAATTACCTTCATTTCCAATTTAGAGAAAAGAAAGATAAGGCTCAGAAGTTAGGAAACCCTGACTAAAGTTAATGGCACATTCGAATTTGATTGCAAATGCTGAATTCTTTCCTACCCCACCCTACCACTGGGGGGATACATCAGTGGGATTGCTAGCAGTAACCCAAAGACCAGTGTGACACCGGTGTTAATTACCTGCATGGGATGTCATCTGCATCTGGAGATAGACCATGCAGACTCTCTCCATTATTAATAAAATGACATTGCACTGATTTAAGGTGGAGGTATTGTTCAGATGACCTACCTTAAGTGTTTCAGCATGAATTTTATTCAGCTGAGAAACTTCTTGCCGCTTGCAGGCTTTTGTTGCTTCCAAAAGGTTTTCAAGATTAAGGTTCGCTTTTTGCAAAGACTGAAGCTCTGATTCCAATTCTAGCTGCCTTTTCCTAATAGATATTGTAAAACGGAGTATTTCAGGTAATAAGTAATGTCAAACATTTATAGAATACTTTACAGTTTATGCTCTCACATAACTTTATAGTTATCTCTAAATCAGAGATATTCTCTATTCTCTCAGATTATTCCCATCATTCTCCAGTTCAGTAAACTACAGCTCAGAGACTGTTTAAGGGATTCAACTAGTAAATGGTAGGGCTCAAATTCAAAAGCCCAAACAAATAGTCCATGATTATACCATATGTGATATGTCATTTTTGAACCAAACATTTGTTTATATTTTAGGGTAAGATTGATCTTAGTTATAATATGAATGTGATTTATCTTTGTTTTTACATAGTGAGAATCAAGTAGGAATATTAACAAACCTATACTTCCTAAAAGTCTTAACAACTCTGATTATCAAATTTAAATTTAAATAATTTACTATGCAAGTTCAATAGACTCTCAACAGGAAAAAACTGCTTAAAACACCTGTATTACCTAGTTCATTGAATATATTAGTAAAGAGCTAGAAGCATGCTCTTTCTCTTCATGTCAAAGTAGTTGCTGCTATGAGAGTTTAATATTTAAAGTAAAATGCCCAATTGAATTATCGATATTAACACTACAGCAAATGAACACTGAAAGAAAATAAGTGTGCATGCATGTGTATTTAGACTTTACCTAGTAAGTTCTTTGAATTCTTCATATTCTTGCTTTGAATTATTCAGCTCTGTCTGAATTTGCAGGAGTTGTGCTTTTAACTTCTCAGTGTTTGCAAACAAACATGGCTCTTTCTGAGCTTTAGGTGAAAATCCTTGCTGATCTGTTAATAAGAAAACAATCTCAGTCTTTTTTTTTTTTTTTCTGAGACAGGGCCTCACTATGTTGCCCAGGCTAGAGTGCAGTGGCTATTCACAAGCATGATCATAGTGTACTAAAGCCCCAAATTCTGGTCTCAAGTGAACCCCCTGCTTTAGCCTCCCAAATAGTTGGGACTACAGGTGCATGCCACCATGCCTAGCTTTACAACTTCAGTGTTTGACAAGCAAAAATAACAGGACACATTTTCTAAGTTCTCTGTCAGGTATCAATTTTGGGCCACAAGGAGGAAAAGTGAGAAATGGGTTGGAAAGCGAGCCCTAAAATACAAAAGCTTATAACTCAGCAGAAGGCACAGGATGTGACACAGTGTGCCAAAGGGGATTAGAAGTCATGTTTAAGAAGCAGATGCCACAGGATGGAGAAGTGTAGTTAAGGCAACACCTTTCCCATTAGGAGAAAGAACAAACAATGACGAAAGTGTGGCACGCCTAATGCTAGACAGAGAAACAGCAGCCAGTGAATCTTGTAGGAATTAGTGCTAGCAGCTAATGTTAACAGCCAAGGAATTATTTAGAAAAGGAAACAAATAGCAAGGGCAGCAGGTTGTAAGAACCCGGTATCATCTATCAGGTAGAAAATATTAATTTTCAGGAAATGCCTAGAACACTGAATATGTTGAAGAGAGTCCACTGAGTTTCAGTGTGGGAAAAGATCATGTAAAAGTTGTTTAGAGAATGATCAATGTTTAGAAACTGATGAGATCCAGACATTAGTATCTTCTGAAGGGAGTAAGTCAAGGTATTATGGAGGCCACAACAAAATGGCCAACAAAATAAAGGGCACTGTAGGGAAAAGTAGTTTAAATAAAACAGAAAACCTAAGTCAGGCGTTGGGGCTCACATCTGTAATCCCAGCACTTTGGGAGGCCGAAGTGGGTGGATCATTTGAAGCCAGAAGTTCAAGACCAGCCTGGCCAACATGGTGAAACCCCATCTCTACCAAAAATACAAAAATTGGCTCGGTGTGGTGGTGTGTGACTGTAATCCCAGGAGGGAGCCTGAGGCAGGAGAATTGCTTGAATCCAGGAGGTGGAGGTTGCAGTGAGCCGAGATCGCACCACTGCACTACAGCCTGGGTGACAGAGTGAGACTCCATCTCAAAAAAAACAACAGAAAACCTGATAGTAATTTTGCATCTAATATCTTAAGTCTCTCCCCAACCCAGTTACTGTGACTCTTATTATTCTATTCAGTCATAACAGAATGGAAGAAGGCTTAAAAAATGAAATTTTAAAAAGCAAAGAGACAGTCTTCTTTATGAATGCAGAATAAAAACATTAGAACTTTTTCAATTTCAACCTAAAAGGAAACCAAGGCCAAGTCTATGATAAAAGACCGTGAAAATATTAACTCTAAGACTGGGGCAAACACAGACTTTGTTACCAAATCCCAGGGTATGAACACCAACAGCTGTCAAGACTGTAAGGCAGATTTAGTATTAACTAAACCACTTTTCACATAGTATGCAAACTTATGAAAGTAGTATGTAACTAGAGACTGCATACATTGGTAACCACAATACCAGGACCCAAACACAACATCAGGACCCAAACACTGTGCTATGAGTCTGACCTTTCTATATCTCTTATACTGCACAGGACTAATTAGATTGATAAACATTTCAACTCTATTTTTATTCACGTTTGATTAGTTAAAGACTTTTCATTTCAAATACTTTAAACAGGAAAATTTAGTAAAAATTTAACATAGTATCTGAATCAATCTTTTTATCAATAAAACAAATACAATGAGTATTTTCTCGTTATATCTATTAGCTTACGTAGTTTATGCTCTGTGATTTTTGAGAAAAAGAAAAGTTTAGTAAATACCTTTCTATAATATAAAAGAATATGTGTATAAGACATTAGCATAGCAGGCCTGGAGGCTAAAATGAAGACCCTAGTCACAAGGCACTAAAAATGCTCTTTAAAACAGCCCCTTCCTACATGGCACGTATATACAACAATCATTTCTTACTTTTGTCACTTTTCTCCATGCCACTTATTTCAGAGAAAGCTTTTTCTAGTTTTGCAATGGTCTGGGCATCCATTTCTTGAGCTCTTTTCACAGGCTCTAATAATCTCAGTCTTCTATTCTCCTCCCTGAGGGAATGATTTTCCATAGCATACTTTGCAACTCTGGGGTGGTGCTCTATCTGTGACATAGAAGAATTACACGCATTATATATTTACAAACATTTCCTTAGTGAATTAGTTCCTCTAAAAAGCCATTAGAAAACTAGGTATGCACATGCACTACTGGTGGTACCCTTCTGCAACCACCATGGAAAGCAACTTGGCATTTGTGATCAGTTTGAAAATATGCATGTCCTGTAACTCTCCTATTCTCAGTTGGAGTCTAGACCCTTGAAATGTTCACCCACCTAAGGAGGTAAGCACAAGGGTGTACATTGTGGCAGGCTTTTCATGCAAAGGAGACTAGTTAAATCAACACACTGAAAAGAACAAGGACCAAATTAATCTTGTCAACCAAGATTAACTGAAAAAGGCGAAGTGCAAAAAAGTGTACAGGAGAAACAAAAGTACAAATATCCACCCATATTAGTTTGAATATTCATTAAAAACTCCAGAGAGATAAACAAGAAGCTGATAAGAGATTTTGGGTTTTCCCACAATGTACCTGTATGACCTATCCATTCTCCCTAAGGAAAAGGAAAAACAACAAAAACGTTAAAAGGCACAACCCTAAAGAGCCTACTGACTCAGATAACCACAACTGCCCACTGGGTGAAATTCTGCGTGGCCTGCTAGAGTAGCATACTATGTAGCAATGTCACCACAACTTCTTCCTTCTCCCCTTCTCTTCCCTTTAACTATTTTAAAAAGACAGGTAAAGGAATTATGCAATCACACTGTCAGAAGAATTCACTTAAAACAATTTCCATTGTATTAAAGAACAAGTACTTGCTGACAAACTTAGATTTGCTTTGAACTTCTTTTATTTTTAGAAATATTATAGATGCCGTATACTCACTTGTTCTCGCAGAGTTTGAATCTCATTCCTTAATTCTGAGAGCAAACGATCCTGCTCCTCAGGCAGAAAACCTCCCCGGGATTCCTTGTGGAGCTTTTCCAAGCGTATTATTTGATCCTCTCGGAATTTCACAATCATTTTATTAGATTGAATAAATTTTTCCTTTTTGAGGGTGAGGTCTTCTAATTGGGTAACTTTTTCTATCAGAGACTTAAAGAAATTCATAATTTGGTTAAACATGAAAAATAATTTGACTTCCCTAAATTTTCGTAAGTCCAGCAACAAATACTAATTTCATATTTAATCTTAAAGGCAAAATTTGATTTTTCATAGCCTTCCATTACTTTATTGACTTGGTATTATTTATTTCACTTAGTAAGGCAATAAAAACCACACAGCAAAAAACTAACTATCTTGAATCTCCTTTATTACTAATTCCATTTCCTACCTTCTTTTCCTGTTCAGATTTCTTAAAGAATAACATTGCTTCCTGGAAATACTCCATATAGTTAGTCTTCTTTTTGTCTGTAATTGATCCAATAAGAAAGGGAAGATGAAAAAAAATATTTATCACATTGCAAAACCAAGAGAACAGATAGCCTTTAATTGATTGCTCTCAACTAATCTAAAAGAATGAGACTGTGGCCGGGCACAGTGGCTCATGCCTGTAATCCCAGCACTTTAGGAGGCTGAAGCAGACGGATATCTTTCTTGAGGTCAGCAGTTCGAGACCAGCCTGGCCAACATGGTGAGACCCCCCCCTCCCGCCGCCCCCGATCTCTACTAAAAATACAAAAAAATTAGCTGGGCATGGTGGCGTGGGTCTGTAGTCACAGCTACTCAGGAGGCTGAGGCAGGAGAATCGCTTGAACCCAGGAGGTAGAGGTTGCAGTGAGCTGAGATCACACTGCTTCACTCCAGCCTGGGTGACAAAGAGAGACTGCGTCTCAAAAAAAAAAAAAACAATGAGACCGTCATCACTAGATCACGGATTTCAAATTAACCATTCCACATATTAGTCGTTCTTCAAAGAATAAGTTTCTCTTTATTTAGTTAATATGCACAATAGATTACACATGGTGTAACAGAAGTAGAAGTAGATTTTTTAAAAAATTAGAGGAGTCCCAGGGTGCTGTGCACCTCTTAAGATCTGTTAATAATTCACCCTCTTGCCTTTATGGATTTCCAGTTAATTAATTCTCTACTAGCTATTCTTTGAAGAAAAATAAGTCTCTCTTATCCTATAGTAAACATATATAGATTACATATGCTACGTAGAAGTAGATCTAAATGAAATTAATCTCTTTTTAGCACTTATACATTATTCAAAATTATTTTAATTCCCCCTTCTCACTGCCTATGGTATCTGTATCTGATTATAAACAAACCACTATGTTCCTATATAGGAGAAATAAGCAGAAAGAGATACCTGCAGAAAAATTTGGGTTGCCTTATTGTGTTGTGTCTATCACCAAGGGCTCTTAAACTATTATTTGTACAGTCTTCCCCAAGATAAAGGACTGTGTGCTCATCCTACCTCTGGTCAGGAAGCTTTCTGGTGGTGTCTGTCCTGAAGCAAGCTCCGCCAGTTGTTCTTTGAGCCTCTTCACTTCAGCTTGGAGCTGGCTCACATTTCCTTGGGTGTCTTCATTTACTACTGCCTGTTCAGGAATTTTTTAAAAAGCATTAAAATAATGCTTTTTGAGTAGTATAGTCCTGTGTTTACATTTGTTTGGTATGATTTGTAGTGATGAACATCAAACAAAACTTCAAGACCACATCATAGTCAAAAGGACACAGGAATCACAGTGTGCTCAAGTGGGGAGGAAGCTTCCTTTTCTTGTGCCTTCAGACCTGGAGCCAGAGAGAGACAGCCCCAGCCAGGCTCTCTGCCCCCCAGCTGACTAGCCCTGAGCTTTTAGGCTGGGTCACCCTTAGGATCCGGGTGTGTTCACCTAATACTTCTTTCCCTGAGAACGACAGCCTTCCCCCACCCTCCCAATGGAGAAGAGCCAATACCTCAGTGAGTATCATTTCCCTTCTTTCCTAGCTCCCTACGGGGAAGGAGCCTAGCCTCTAAGTGCATGATGACTTGCAGGGTGGGCTTGAGCTTGGCAGAAGCAACCTTCTCCAGAGGAATCCGACCTTTATTTTTTAACAGCCCTCTTGGAAGGAGGGGTTGGTTTGACACTTCCTTTTTTTTTTTTTTTTTAATTTTTTACCACACTAAATGATTATCTTCATTTTCTTAAAGAAATGTCTTATTTAGGACAACTTCTAAAAGGCTAAAGGACTCACAAACAAAATGTGCCACTGTGGGGCAGGATGTCAAGAGTGGGGCAGGTCACACATGTGCGCCACTGCACTCCAGCCTGTTGACAGAGCGAGACTCTATCTCAAAAAAAAAAAAAAAGTTGATTAATTAAAAAAATAAAGCTTTAAAAAGGTCCACAAAGCCTAAAGGGTGATAACGAGTGCCAACAGCTGAGTACCAACCAGGTCAGAGGACTCAGTTGTGAAATACTCAGTACTCCAGCAAGGAAAAAACACCCTGTGACAGCCCCAAGGTCTTCTGTATTCTCGCTGTAAGCCCAATTTGCTCACGGAAAAATTTAAATAGCACATCCTTAAACAAGTCCCAGATACTCTGGCACTTTCCACTGATAGGCTGCAAAGGGCTTACCATTGAGAGTGACTAGTAGAAGGCTCTTGGTTTTGTTCTTTTGTGTGTTAAGCAGCCATTTCCAGTTGCTTCTGATTCTTATGGCCAGCCTCATTACAAGGTACTACTGCACTTCTGACATCACTGTCCCATCAGTGACTTCATAATTCTAATTATTGCTGCAGTTCTATATCTCCAAAGACTTCTAGTAAATCTTAAGAGACTTAGGGTCAGGAAGCTCTAATGATTTTTCCTCCTCATCTTACTAGTACTCCATAGTCCAAGGAAATAAAATAAATGACTAGATCTATAGTCTTCTGATTTACCCAGGGAAAGGGGCAACATGGACCTCCTGATTTACAGCCAGTTGGTCTGAAAGCACAGATAGGACAAGCTGGGGCTTGCAATTGGCATCAGAAGTTGGGCGCAGTCTTGTAGGACTGAGCCCTGAACCTGTGAGATCTCACCCTATCTCCAGACATAAAGTGTCAGGATGGAACTGAATCAGAAGACACTCAGCTGATGTCTGCTGCAGAACTGATTGATTGGCTGTTGGCAGGAAGAAAGACTCACATACTTAATTTGCTTTCCCTTAAGAAAAAATTTGTCAGCTGGGTACAGTGGTTCACACCTGTAATCCCAGCACTTTGAAAGGATGAGGCAGGAGGACTGCTTGAACCTAGGAGTTTGAGACGAGCCTGGGCAACAAAGTGAGATCCTACCTGTACAAAAAATAAAAAAATTAAGGCCAAGGCAGACGGATCACGAGGTCAGGAGATCGAGATCATCCTGGCTAACACGGTGAAATCCCGTCTCTACTAAAAAATACAAAAAATTAGCCGGGCGTGGTGGTGGGCGCCTGTAGTCCCAGCTGAGCAGAGATCGCACCACTGCACTCTAGCCTGGGTGACAGAGCAAGACTCTGTCTCAAAAAAATAAATAAATAAAAAATAAATAAAATAAAAATTAAAAAAATAAAAAAATTAGCCTGGCATGGTGCTGCATGCCTGTAGTTCCAGCTACACAGGAGGCTGAGGCAGGAGGATCGCTTGAGCCCAGGAAGTTGAGGCTAGAGTGAGCTGTGTTTGCACCACTGCACTCCAGCCTGGGTGACACAGCAAGACTGTGTCTCAAAAAAAAAGAAAAAACTAGTCAAGCAATAACAACCATAAGATCTAACCTAGGTCTCTAATTACATGTGTGATATAGAAGGGTAGGAAAGATAAAATAGAAATTTTGCATACAATGAGAAATAAATAAAAGTTAATGTTAATATTAGGGCAATCACAAAAATGGCATACTGTAAGCTTTAGTATTTTTCTCATTTATTTAATGAAGTATACGCCAGTATTTTACCTTGTTTTTAATCAGCTTGGCTCTTTGAGCAAAGTTAAGTGTTGATAGGGTTTCCCCAAAACACCTGGATCCAGGATGAACATTTGCAATTATGGCTGTTTTGGCATTACCTCCAAGGGAATCCTGTTTAATGATAGGAATGAACATATTTTCGGTGAGAAATCACAAGACCTTTTTAAGCAAAGAAAATGTATACTCTTGCCACCAAGGCTGAGAGACTGTCCCACTATCAACTTTAGCATAACCAAAAGGAGCCCAGGAACCCAAGGATCTACTTTACCCGTAGTAAGAAGGTAAGTTTGGAGTCTCTGTAGCAAACATGTCTCTGTTTTCCATTACCCACGTCGACAAGTGCTGTAATCACTTGGCCCAGGCAGCTCAATGATCGATTTATGTTACCTGCTTCCTAAAGTGTTGACGGAAAAGAACAAAAATTTAGGTACGTTGGTTACTCTTTGGTATTTTGAATGAAAATATATCTAGCAGAGGAAAATTCTGGATGAAAAGGCAAGTCAGGGACAATGTTAATAAAGAACAACTATTCAACAAATAAAAAAGAAGTGCTGAACTATCCCTAACCTTTTCCTATTTGATGTACACTGTAATTTTAGTATTAGAAGACAAACACAGGCTGGCACTGTGGCTCATGCTAGTCATCCCAGCACTTTGGGAGGCCGAGGTGGGCAGGTTGCTTGAGCTCAGGAGTTGGATACCAGCCTGGGCAACATGGCAAAACCCCATCTCTACAAAGAAATACAAAAAACTGCTGGGCATGGTGGCACATGCCTGTAGTCCCAGCTACTTGGGAGGCTGAGGTGGGAGGATCACTTGAGCTTGGGAGGTGGAGGTTGCAGTGAGCTGAGATTGTGCCATTGCACTACAACCTGGGTGACAGAGTGAGACCCTCTCTCAAAAACAACAACAAAAAAAGACAAACACAAAAATCATGCAAAGAAAAAAAATATTAATGTCACTTCATGATTGTAATAGTTTGAAACCGAGCTATAAAGACCAGAAAAAAATAGGGAAAAAAAAGCTAGAGTAGTGCATTAATAGGTACTTTTTTCAATCCTTTTATGCTAAAATATTTAAGGGTATAATGCCTAATAACTCACCCATACAGCCCCCAAAGCCACTGATGAACTTATTTGAGGAGAATATTCAGTTTAATTCTGTAAAGGATAATAAAAACTACTTTAAAACAGAAGCTTGGTGGGGGGAAAAAATGAGCTAAATACGTTACATTAGATTTTTACTGTAGGTAGCATATTTTGAAAACTGGGTCTGCAGTGGAAGGAGTATACAAAAAAGAGAAAAAGTCAAAATTATAATGCAAGATGTACTGAATTCAGAGTCACTGCTGTTATCATTCAGTAAATCAGAAAGGTGGTTAGTGGCATGGTTGAGAGTACTGTAGCAGCTCGGTTTGAATCTCAGCTCTACCTTTATTAGCTGTGTGACTTCGGTTTCTTTAACTGTAAAATAGAAAGAATAGCACCTACTTCCCAGAGTTGTTGGGAAGGTTAAATGAATTAATATATGTAAAGCATTTTAGAACAGACTTGGTATATGTCCTATTATAAGCATATGCTTTTTTTGACACAGAGTCTCACTCTGTCACCCAGGTTGGAGCACAGTGGCACAATCACAGCTCACTGCAATCTCGACCTCCTGGGTTCGAGGGATCCTCCCACCTCAGCCTCCCAGGTGCTAGGATTACAGGCATAAGCCACCATGCTCAACCCATATGCTATATTTATTAAGCCTCATATCTCAATAGAAATATGAGCTTTAGGCTGGGCGTGGTGGCTAACGCCTGTAATCCCAACACTTTGGGAGGCCAAGGAGGGTGGATCACCTGAGGTCAGGAGTTCAAGACCAGCCTGGCCAAAATGGTGAAACCCCATCTCTATTAAAAATACAAAATATTAGCTGGGTGTGGTGGTGGGCGCCTGTAATCTCAGCTACTTGGGAGGCTGAGGCAGAAGAACTGCTTGAACCAGAGAGGCAGAGGTTGCAGTAAGCCGAGATCATGCCACTGCACTCCAGCTGGGTGACAGAGTGAGACTGTCTCAAAACAAAAAAATATGAGCTTCAGATTGCCTGAAACTGCCTCAAATGTAGGTCAGGCGACTCAAATCCTCACTTTTAATGAAAAAAGTAGATCTCTTCCCTCATCCTTTCCAATTCCTCTCCCCTTGCCCATGTATATTCTAAACTATAGACTCTACAAATATTTTATTGACAATTCGTATTACTATATATATATATATATAAACACATATTGACAATACATATTACATAGAACCTCTGGTCCCACTGTTGATACCTTAGCCTAGGACTAGATACTTAACCCTTCATACCTGAAATATTAAACAGCGTAAGTGGTCATCTTTTTCTGTGGGCTCTCCCTTCTAAAATCTTAACAGCAGTGGGTCAGATGACTAAGTTTCTATAAAACAGGCTTTCTTCATGAATCACTTAGTTGCTAAGAAATGTTAAGTGTTTCCCAGTATTCGCAGAGTTGATACAAACTTGGCCTGGCACTCCTGGTCCTTGATAATCCGGGCCTGCTTGCCTCTCTAACCAACCCATCCATTGAGCCATGCTGAAATGCCAAATGCTACACTCATTCTGCATCCACAATAACCCTTGAGATGCCCCCCTGCCAGGCATGCATTTCCTGTTTCTCTCTCCCTACCGAAATCCTTCACAAGTCAAGAACTACTTCTTTTCCACATGTTCCACAAGCAGTCCATATTGCACCCTTCTTCCTCTGACCCCTGTTGTCTCTTGTACCCTTATCCCCTCTGGTATGAATTAAAACATTTTTGCTACTGACAGACTTGCCCTATCCCATCTATGTTCACTGTTCCACAAAAGAAATCTCTGTTCCTTTTCAATAGGAACAATTTCTTATTTCTTTGCCACCCTCAAAACACTTAGCTTGGTATGGTCATATATCAGTTAACAACACGGATACATTTTTTTTTCTGAGACAGAGTCTCTCTCTGTCACCCAGACTGGCGTGCAGTGGCGCGATCTCAGCTCACTGCAACCTCGGCCTCCCAGGTTCAAGTGATTCTCCTGCCTCAGTCTCCCAAGTAGCTGGGACTACAGGCGCGCATCACCACGCCCAGCTGACTTTTGTATTTTTTTAGTAGAGACGGGATTTCACCACGTTGGCCAGGATGGTCTCGATCTCCTGACCTCGTGATCTACCTGCCTCAGCTTCCCAAAGTGCTGGGATTACAGGTGTGAGCCACCGCGCCCGGCTAACAGGGGTACATTTTAAGAAATGTGCTGTTAGGAAATTTGATTGTTTTGTGGGCATCATAGAATATACTTATGCAAACCGAGATGGTATAGCCTACAACATACCTAAGCCATGTGGTATAGCTATTATACTCTTAAGGGACCCCCATCATAAATGCAGTTCCTCATTGACTGAGACACTGTCATGCATCACGACTGTATTGACTGCTAGTAAGAACTCACACACAAGTTGAAGACCATAATTTCATTCTTACCTTCAATCTCATCCCTTCTGCATGGGTATCTTTTTGCCTTTCAGATCCTGCTAAATCCACCAGGTTGAGTAGGGAGGTCCGTATATTCACAATCTCATTACTTTTCTCCATTGACTCTATTGTAATTGTAAAGACGGCATGAGACCTAGACGATTCTCTGTTCATTGATGTTGATGCCACACGTCTATTCCTCCATCCTCCAGACAACACCTATGCAAAAGGAAAACATATTAAAAGAAATGAGAGGACCAGTTACAGTGGCTTATGCCTGTAATCCTAGCAGTTTGGGAGGCCATGTCTGGAGGATCACTTGTGGATAGGAATTCAAGACCAGCCTGACCTACATAGTGTGAGACCTCACCTCTACAAAAAATAATAATTTGCTATGTACAGTGGCAGGAACCTGTAGTCCTAGCTACTCGGGAGGCTGAGGTGGGAAGATCTCTTGAGCCCAGGAATTCAAGGCTGCAGTGAGCCATGATTGTGCCACTGCACTCCAGCCTGAGCAGCAGGGCAAGATCCTATCTTAAAAAAAAAAAAAAAAGGAAAAGAGAAAAAAAAAGGAACAAGAATAGGTACACTTAAAATGTAAAATAAGCACTTGAGAATCACTCATTTTATTATGAAAAATACTAACATACAGCTAATTATCTACTTTCATAGGGAAAAAGAAATATATTTACATAAAGCATATTTTCTATTTAGAACAGGGGTGAGGAGTATCTATTGCCTTCCATTGTTATCTAGCTTTATAAGATAAATTATATTATCCCAAGTTCCAAATGGTACACAACAGCCACCAAAATCAGTAGGAAATTTGTAAAGGGTGGTGAGAAAGATTACTGGTCCATTAAGGAATAAGCTGAAGTTATTTTCCTTTCCTTTGTGTTCCCTTTCCACATTACAGAAACAGAACAAACAGGAAATCAGAGCGCATAGGATCTAGAACTGGTTTTGCCACGCTTTATTTGTGTTAACCTAATGTAAATCACAAAACCTCTCTGAACCCATTTCTTTACCTAGAAAATGAGAATGTTGGACAGGAAAAATCTGTAAATTATCTTTAAGCCCAAAGTTTTGTAAGCTTTTGGTCTACAAAGTATTTTTTCCCTTCTATTCCCTATGGCAAGCAGGATACATGAAAGTTCAGAATGCAGGCTCTGGAATCAGATGCATATGAGTTCAAACCATGGCTCCACTATTTACTAGGCGAGGTCTGGGGCCAGCTGAACCTTTTCAAGCCTCAGCCTTCATATTTGTAAAATGGGAATATGGGTACCTATCCCATAGAACAGAACATATAAGTTTTAGGTGCATATGAATCATCTACAGATGTTGTTAAAATTCAGATTCAGATTCAGTGTGAGGTGGGGCCTGAGATTTTGCATTTCTAACAAGCTCTCAGGTGATGCTGATGTTCTGAGGACCACATTTTGGGTAGGAGGGTAACAGTATATATAGGGTAAAATGGGGAAATTAGTGTCTTTATCTCAAAGGGCATATTGAAAATTAAGTAAAATAATGTATACAAAAGAAGTTAGCACAGTGCTTGGCACCTTCACTCAATAAATCATAGCTGTTGGCAGGGCACGGTGGCTCACGCCTGTAATTCCAGCACTTTGGGAGGCCCAGGTGGGTGGATCATGAGGTCAGGAGACCGAGACCAGTCTGGCTAACACGGTGAAACCCCGTCTCCGCTAAAAATATAAAAAATTAGCCGGGTGTGGTGGCATGCACCTGTAGTCCCAGCTACTCGGGAGGCTGAGGCAGGAGAATCGCTTGAACCCGGGAGGTAGAAGTTGCAGTGAGCCAAGATCGGGCCATTCCGCTCCAGCCTGGGCAACAGAGACTCTGTCTCATCACAAAAAAAAAAAAAAAATTCGTAGCTGTTATAACCCTATTAATCAGCAACAGTATAAAACTGAAATTATTTGTATCTTTTTTCTTTTTTTTAAGACAGAGTCTCACTTTGTTACCCAGGCTGGAGTGTAGTGACATGTTCATGTCTCACTGAAATCTCTGCCTCCCAGGCTCAAATGATCCTCCCACCTCAGCCTCCAGAGTAGGTGGGAGTACAGGCATGCATCACCATGCCTAATTTTTTTGTATTTTTAATAGAGACAGGGTTTCATCATGTTGGCCAGGCTGGTCTTGAACTCCTGACCTCAAGTGATCCACCACCTTGGCCTCCCAAAGAGGCTGGGATTACAGGAGTAAGCCACTGCGCCCAGCTATTTGTATCTGTTATGTTTCTTGGATAGTACTTTATGCTTTCTTTTTATAACATTAAATACTGTATATTACATATTAAATACATCTGATACATTCATACAGCTACAAAAAACAAGAGAGAGAGAGAGATCCTCCAAACTGAGACAAATTCCAAAATACTATTATCTAAAAAAAGCGGCCGGGCACTATGGCTCACGCCTGTAATCCCAGCACTTTGGGAGGCCAAGGCAGGTGGATTACCTGAGGTCAGGAGTTCAAGACCAGCCTGACCAACATGGTGAAACCCCGTCTCTACTAAAAAATACAAAATTTAGCTGGGCGTGGTGGCAGACAGCTATAATCCCAACTACTCGGGAGGCTGAGGCAGGAGAATCTCTTGAACCCAGGAGGTGGAGGTTGCATTGAGCTGAGATCATGCCATTGCACTCCAGCCTGGGCAAAACAGCGAGACTTGGTCTCCAAAATAAAAAAGGCAAGGTATAAAAATAGCACAGTATGCTGTCACTTGTGTAACATAAGGGGAAAAAGCAAATACAAGCATGTTTGCCTGAATACTTCTACAAAAATCAAAATAAAAAATCAAAAACAAAAATACCTGGTGAGTGTTCATAGATTGGGAGACTCAATATTGTTAAGATGCCAGTTCTACCAAAAATAATTGATAGATTCAACACAACCCCACTCAAAATCCCAGCAGCCTATTTTGTAGAAATTGACAAACTGGTTCTATGTAAATGAAAATGCAAAGGACAATGAATAACCAAAATAATTGTTAAAAAGAACAGTGTTGGAGGACTTACCCTACCTGATCTAAAGACACTACTTAGCAACAAGTTATATAATAATCAAGACCATTTAATATTGATGAAAAGAAACATATAGATCAACAGAACAGAATACAGTTAGATATAAACCCATATGTGTACAGTCAATTCACCAAAGATGCAAAGGCAATGTAATAGGAAAAAGAGTTTTTTTCAATAAATCATGCTGCATACTGGATCAAAAACAAAAAGGCAAGAAAAGAGAAGGAAGTATTAGATGAAACAGGCAAAACACACTAAGAAAGATGGTAGAAACCAGTCTAAGAATATCAACAATCATATAGTAATGTAAATAAATTAGGTAAGGTACTGTCATGAGCAGTTAAAAAAACGAGCAAAGTATAGCTATGTGGTTTACAATAAACACCTAAAACATTAAGAAACAGAAGGGGCCGGGCCCAGTGGCTCGCGCCTGTAATCCCAGCACTTTGGGAGGCCGAGGCAGGCAGATCACGGGGTCAAGAGATAGAGACCATCCTGGCCAACCTCATCTCTACTAAAAATACAAAAATTAACAGGGCGTGGTGGCGCATGCCTGTAGTCCCAGCTACTCGGGAGGCTGGGGCAGGAGAATAGCTTGAACCTGGGAGGCAGAGGTTGCAGTGAGCCGAGATCATGCCACTGCACTCTAGCCTGGCGACAGAGCGAGACTCAAAAAAAAAAAAAAAAAAAAAAGAAACAGAAAAACTGATGGGAAAACGTATACCAGGCAAATGGTAATCAAAAGAATGTTCAGTGGTAGGTGAACATCAGACAAAACAGATTTGTAAAGCAAAATGTGTTGATAGGAAAGTACAGAATCAATAAATAATTATAGGTGAAAATAAAAGGAAGATATATACTAATTCTACACTTGTATATATACCTAATAAAGGAGTCCACAGCAGGTCCTCCATTTCACTTCATTCAGTGTTATTTTGTTGTGAACTTGAGAAAATAAAATGATTTCCACCCGGGGCAACTGTCTGTGTAAAGACCAGCCCGGCCAACATGACAAAACCCCATCTCTAATAAAAATACAAAAATTTAGCCGGGTGTGGTGGCACAAGCCTGTAGTCCTAGCTGCTCAGGAGGCTGAGGCACAAGAATCGTTTGAACCCAGGAGGCAGAGGTTGAAGTAAGCCAAGATCGCACCACTACACTCTAGCCTTGGAGAGAGAGTGAGACTCCGTCTCAAAAAAAAAAAATGTCATAAAGTATATGATACTCATACAAATACAGGACAATAAACAATGCAGTATGAAAGTACTCAGTGAGCCCGCCATATTTGTTATTGTTTGTTTCTGAACTGTATGGTGGTAGGAAGTGCTCCTGACAATTTCTACTTTGCAAACATTTATTCCCGATTTAACCCAACACCATGACTGCCATCACTCACTTATCCACCAAAACCTGGGTAAATAATTATCTTAGTTGTTATTATTCTTTTTAAAATAAATGTATAGTTGACATTTATTTCAATGTTTAATATTAGAAGTGTGTTGGGTTCTTATTGAGAAGTTTGGTGATGCTTTTATGACTGGAAATATGCAGTAGGAACTTAACTCTTCTTTGTATCAATTAGCCTGTAGTAAAATTGGTTTTATTATACATCGTTTCACTTAAAGTCAGTTTCCAAGAACCTATAAGGATGTTAAGTGAGGACTTGTTGTGTTTCCATATGTGTATGTATCTATTTTATATATATATATATATATATATATATATATATATATATATATATATATAAAATTAGACAAAAATCGCAATGAAACTGAAAAACCAACACCTTAGTGGGAAATCAGTGCATCTCTCTGAAGTATCAATAGATTACACGGACAAGAAAACTAGCAAAAATATAAAACCTTGTACCAAGGATACATATTCTTCTCAAGCACACATGACACACTTAAGAAAAAGGTTATTAATCCATAAATTATGTCTCAAAAAAAACTCAAAGACTAGATGTCACATAAGACCACATTCTTCGATCCCAATGCAATTGAGAATCAATGTGAGAAATAAGTTAGAAATCCTCACACGCTTTGGAATTTAAAATCACATTTCTAAGTAATTCATGAGTCAAAAAAAATTATAGTAGAAAAATATTTGGATCTACACCGTAATTAAAATATTAAAACTTGTGTGAAGTTAAAGAAGTATTAAGAAGTAAAAATTTATAGTATTAAATACTTATATCACAAAAGAAATGCCAACGTGAGTAAACATCCAGCTTAAGAAGTTGGAAAAAGAACAGCATGATAAACCCAGGATAAACTGAAAACAAAGAAAATATTAAAGAGCAAGTCCATATAAACAATAACAACTGTGTAAAAAGGAAACAGAATGGCAGTATGGCAAAGATTGTAAAAATGTGAATACTAGGAACAACTTTATGCCAATATACTTGAAAACTAAGAGGAAATTGAAATTTTTCTAAAATACATAACTTACTAACACTGACCCAAGAAGAAATAACATGGCTGCATGGCTCTATTAAAATATTGTTTTGTAGTTAAAAATCTCACAAGACCCAGATAATTTTTCAGATGAGTTCTACTATGTATTCTAAGAATAAGTCATCCCAGGCACAAATACTTTCAGAAAACAAGTAACATTGATAATAAAACAAGACAAAGAGAATAGGGCCAGGTGCAGTGTCTCACGCCTATAGTGGGAGGCTGAGGCAAGGTGAAATGCTTGAGCCCAGGAGTTCAAGACTGGCCTGGACAACATGGCTAAACCTCATCTCTACAAAAACATTCAAAAATCAGCCAGACATAATGCTGTGCACTTGCAGTCTCAGCTACTAGGGAGGCTGAGGTGGGAGGATCTGTTAAGCCCAGGAGGTCAAGGCTGCAGTGAACCATGATTCTGCCACTTGTACTCTGGCCTGGGTGACAGAGCGAGACCCTGTCTCAAAAAAAAAAGAAAAAGAAAAAAAGAAAAAAGGAATAGGACAAAGGAAATTACAGATTGATCTCAATTTTTTAAATTTATGAAAAACACTAAACAAAATAATAGCAAATCTTAATCGAGTACTTTATCGTGTTAACATGTTAAAGAAGAAAAAGCACAAGATTATCTCAACAATGGTGGAAAAAGCATCAAACAAAACTTTAACACACATTCTTGATTTTTTAAGACAGCAAGGTGGCTGATTATAAAAGCATCTTATAAAAATCAACTGCATTTCTATACACACCAAACACTAAATGTAATTTAAAAAAGAGATTATGTGCCGGGCACGGTAGCTCATGCCTATAATCCTAGCACTTTGGGAGGCCAAGGCAGGTGGATTGCCTGAGCTCAGGAGTTCAAGACCAGCCTGGGCAACATGGTGAAACCGTCTCTCCTGAAATACAAAAAATTAGCCAGGCATGGCAGTGCGCGCCTGTAGTCTCACCTACTTGGGAGGCTAAGGCACGAGAATTGCTTGAACCTAGGAGGCGGAGGTTGCAGTGAGCCAAGATTGCACCACTGCACTCCAGCCTGGGTGACAGAGCAAGATTCTGTCTCCAAAAAAACAAATAAAAAAATAAATAAAAATGAAAATAAGAAAGAGATTATTAGAGAAACTAAAAACATAAGGTATACTGGAATAAAGTTAACAAAAAGTATGTGTGACTTTTATGATGAAAATTATTAAAATTATATTGCAAGACATTAAAGATCTAAAAAGAGGAGACATACTATGCTAATGTATGGACTGAATATTGTAAAACATTGTAAAAAGAATTGTTAATCCCTCCAGACTGGTCTATAACTGCAATGTAATTCCAATAAAAAACCCAACACAAATTTTTGAGTATGTATGTATACACATACTACGTCACATGTACAACCTATCTCTCGCCGGGGGGAGTCTCAATTTAAACAGCTGGAATCAAGAGACTTGATTCCATCTTTTATTGAAGATAAAAGAATAAATTATAAAATATCATACAGCAGTGAAAATAAATGAAATGCAACGTAGATTTCATAAACCACATTGAGTTTTAAAAGTCATAGAAAGCTAAATATGTGTTTTTCAAACTCAAAAACAGGCAAAACCACATACATATGTGATTTAAAAGTGGAAGAAAATGATAATGACATTCAACTTAGTGCTTAATTTTGGGGAAGAGCCAGGGATATGGGATAGGGAGGACAGGTATCCTATTTACCTATTTATAGCATATTTAAAGAACCAAATATCACCAGTAAATCGGATAGTACTGGTGATACCAGGGTCTTTAAATTGTCTAAAAGCCTCCTGAAAGTTCACTTTAACATTATGCTTGGTAACTTACATGCTTGTGGCAATATTTCATATGTGTCAAATGCTTCATAATAAAAAACTTTCAAATCATTAAGCCAGATCAGATTTCATAAAAACATATCTAGAATATTTTGTAAATTCCTGTCAAGAGGTTTGCTTGTCCTGAGCTGAATGCTCAAGGTAAGTTAGCTTTTGACACCTAACAAGCAAGCAACGTAGAAAAGAACAGCCAGCTGGTTTAAAGGCCAGAGTTCCCAGAAGCCCCTCAAACAGGCATCTCCCAGGAGGAACCACTAAAAACATATGGACAAGTAAGAAACTGATGATACAATGTATCATCTTATTTCTGTATAAATTGCCCTTTCGAGGTTCCATTTTGAAAGACTCTTGGAAAAGAAAATACTGCCATATTATTTTATCTTTACTTCCCATGAACATTCTGTATTATGCCTTTATGACATATTTTTGGTACCTCAATTGTCACTTTTTGGAGTTTGGGGTGCATTCACAGCAGGTTTGTTGCCTAAGCACCAATTAAGTACTCATGGCAGGGTACCTGATAGGCTTCAGCAGCTGAGGTTACCACCTGCTCCACCGCACCAACAACAAAGACTCCCTTCTTGATATGCTCCCTTAAGTACAGTCCAGCCGATGCAGAGTCCAGTAGATCATATATCTGCTCGTTGTAGATTTCAATAAAGGAACACTTACAAAGGAAACTCTTTCCAGCTCCAGCCTGTAAAAAAGAAGCCTCATTTAGATACATTATTTTCATGTGTTCATACCTAGTTTTCATGAGCATTAATTTTGCACTCGCTTCACAAGATGTAAATTTCCTATGCTATTATCCTTTAATACAATATAAGATACCTAAAAGTAAAAAAAATCTAGATAAATAGTTTTTTTGTTTTGTTTGAGATGGAGTCTCACTCTGTTGTCCAGGCTGCAGTGCAGTGGCGCGATCTTGGCTCACTGCAAGCTCTGCCTCCCAGGTTCACGCCATTCTTCTGCCTCAGCCTCCCGAGTAGCTGGGACTACAGGTGCCCGCCACCACGCCCGGCTAATTTTTTGTATTTTTAGTAGAGACGGGGTTTCACTGTGTTAGCCAGGATGGTCTCGATCTCCTGACCTCGTGATTTGCCTCGGCCTCCCAAAGTGCTGGGATTACAGGCGTGAGCCACCGTGCTCAGCTGATAACTAGTTTTAACACATCATTATATTTTAGAGCTGCATCAAACTGTGGTGCCAGGCACCCTAGAGGCCTCCACAGGTGCCTGGGAGCTAATACAGGGGGAGGAGAATTGAGCAGTCCAGTTGGGAAATTCCATTTTTGTCTGTCTTATATATTTGATGTCCTCATAAAGTTTTATTTGAAGCAAGTGTTATGTTCTTCAAACGATTGAAAATAATTTATTTTAAAAGACTTTATAGGATTTTTAACCATAGAAATGCATGGTACTAAATTATTTCACTGCCATACAATTTGTGTGTCTAATTTCAGTGTTAGGTGATTTCTGCAAAGGAGTAAATGGTAAACCAATGTTATATATTTCTTTGGTACACAAGTAATGGAACATAAAACACTAATGGTTCTAAGCCCCGAATTCACCAAGCTAAATCAGCACAACTGTGAGAAGGCCCAACCTGGGAGCCAATGCAAGAGGAAAGACCATATCCCCAGGGTGATGGAGCCATACCACATGTGGAGCACAAAGATCATGGAAGGCAGTAGCAGGTGCTACAAAGGTGGTGAGGATGAGTCCATCACTGCTGGATGTCATGAGGATTTAGGGACACCTGCAGTCACCTGTGAGCCTAGGTACAGGTAGATGATTAGGCTTAGTGTATTAATGTATCTGTTTTCCTCAGTTGAGATTTTCTTTACAGTTTCTCTCTTACAAAATCTTTTTTTGAGAGCCTCAGAAGCACTATTTTCCTTTCTTGTAAACCAGCAATTTGGGATAAAGGATAATGCATGTTTTATAAACTAAAAACTCAGTTGAGATAAAACAACTCAGAATCCTTAATATTATCC
Source organism: Homo sapiens (assembly GCF_000001405.40). Classification (NCBI taxonomy): domain Eukaryota; kingdom Metazoa; phylum Chordata; class Mammalia; order Primates; family Hominidae; genus Homo; species Homo sapiens. The sequence goes on along the minus strand of NC_000003.12, from coordinate 44,785,095 downwards.
TCAGAATTGAAAGGTTTTTTTTTATGCCACGCTAGTCTATTCATATTGTAGAGTACCATCCATGCTCCACCATGTATCATGAGCTAATTATCAGTAGCTACCTATTCAAAATTAGACATTTCATAGAACCACTTTATTTTTACATTGTTTTACCTTTTCTTTTTCACGATCAATTAAGGAAAACAAATATTCAAAACTTCGTGGGATTACTCCTCTCAGGTTATGAGAAAAATTATCAGATTCAGATGGTCCTAAAAAAATGAAAAAAAAAACACTGGATTTTTATTCTATTCCAAGAGTCTTTCAAAATGGCAATTTACACAGAAATTAGATGATACACCATACAATCAGTTTCCTACTTGTGCTCCAAGCAAGTTAAATCTAGGTCTGTGAGAGAAATTGAAATTTTTCCAACTGCCAGGTACCAAAATCTGCAGGAATATCAAATAATTGTCCTTTATTGCAGCACATTTGGTCTCATAGACTGACCTGTGCTCCAGGCCTTGGCCCCATACTGTGTGACCATAGGCTAATTACTAAATCCCTCTTAAGCTGCAGAGTTCTCAATTATAAAATGGGGATAATAATGGTAATAAATATCACATAGGGTTATTGGAAAGAATTAACTGAGAGGCCAGGCGCAGTGGCTCACGCTTGTAATCCCAGCACTTTGGGAAGCTGAGGCGGGCGGATCACAAGTTCAGGAGATCGAGATCACGATGAAATCCCATCGTTACTAAAAATACAAAAAAAAAAGTAGCCGGGCGTGGTAGCGGGCGCCTGTAGTCCCAGCTACTCGGAGAGGCTGAGGCAGGAGAATGGCGTGAACCTGGGAGGCGGAGCTTGCAGTGAGCCGAGATGGCGCCACTGCACTCCAGCCTGGGCGACAGAGTGAGACTCCGTCTCAAAACAAAAAGAAAGAATTAACTGAGAGTGTAAAGGTAAAGCACTTAGAGCCATGTTAGTGCTTTAAACACATTAAGTACTAAAAATCAGGATTAGCTAGTTGATTTTTTTAAAATTAGGCAATAAAAGCCAAGCTGGTAAGAAAAGTACTGTAAGAATATCTTACAAGATTTCCACATAGACAGAAAAATGCAGAGTCTCTATTTTGTTACACTGGGAAAAGGAAGAGTGGATATGCAAATAGCAGGATTCTAAGGAATTCTAATTCAAGTTATAGCAATATTTACCAGAAAAGTATATATAGCTAGAAAAGATCTAGATCTATTTAACAATCAAAATATTGGTGAAGTATGCCTTAGAGACCAAAGGAACTAACAAAATGCTGACATGCACAAGAAAAATAGAGAATAAATTTTAAAATATAATAGTTGTCTTTGGTAGAAGGCCTTGTACCACACCTGGAATATTTAAAATGGTCCTTGTAATCTGTAGCTTAAGAAATATATAACAGAGGTAGAAAAATGCAAGTAAATAAAGAGAATGAATATTAGAACATGTAGATAATTTTACATCATTTTCCCATTGAAGAATATATTATATAAAGATATAGTATGTTTTGCCCCAATTCTCATGTTGAAATTTGATCCCCACTGTTGGAGGTGTCGCCTGCTGGGACATTTTTGGGTCATGGAGTGTGGGGGGCACAACCCCTCATGAAAGGCTTGGTGCCATTCTCATGGGAGTGAGTTCTCTTATTTCCCAAGAGAACTAGTTGTTGGAGAGAGCCTGGCACCTCCTCATCTCTCTCTCTCTTTGTCTCTCTCTCTCTCTCACTTTCCTCTCTCACCATGTAATCCCTGCATGCCCATTCCCCTTTGTCTTCTGCCATGAGTTGAAGCAGCATGAGGCCCTCACCAGAAGCCGAGCAGATGCTGGTGCCATGCTTCCTCTATGACCTGCAGAACTGTGAGCCAAGTAAACCTCTTTTCTTTATAAATTACCCAGCCTCAGGTATTCCTTTACAGCAACACAAATAGACTAAGACAAAGATTCAACAAATCTTTAATTACCTTCATCATCTCTTGCCTAACCCACTGCAGTATCTCCTAATCCCGCTCTATCCCCTAATCGTCTTTATTCCATTTAGCTGCCTGAGTAATCCTTTTAATATCAGATCATGTACTTCCTATTTGTTTATTTTAAAAAAGAACACTTCCAATAATGTCACATCATATTCAAAACAAAATCCAAAATCCTCACCAGGCCTATATGACCTGGCCTAGGGTATAGCTCCGACTTCCCATGCTACCAGCCCCTTATCCTGGAAAACTCCACTCTCAGTGGGTCTTCTGCTGGTCTTCAAACATCCTTGGGTGTGCACCCACCTCAGGGCCTGTGCAACTGCTGTTCCTCTGCCTGTAAGATTATTCTCTTGGACAGTCTCATGGTTCACTCTCATTTCACTTAATAACTCCAAAGGTCACCTCCTGAGAGGTCTTTCCTGACCCACCACCTAAAATAGCACCCTCTACTTTTTTCCATCCCTTTACATTGCTTTATTTTAATTCATAGCACTTATTACCTTTGGCATAATTTCTAGAGGTGTATTTGCTTTTAATTGTGTATTCCCTCTGCCTGAGAATCAGAAGGTCCACAAGAGCCAGGACACTGCCTTGTATTCAAGTAAACCAACAGTGTCTTGAAGAGTGCTGGGCATACTGTAAGTACAAGTATTCAATTATTTGTTGTTGTTGTTGTTATAACCTCAGAGAGCGAGGAAGACCTTTCTTACTACAACTCACAATTCAGAAGCCATTAAGGAAAAAGAAGCCAGGTGCAGTGGCTTCTGCCTGTAATCCCAGCACTTTGGGAGGCCGAGGCAGGTGGATCACTTGAGGTCGGGAGTTCGAGACCAGCCTGGCCAACATGGTGAGACGCGCCCCCCACCCCGTCTCTACTAAATATACAAAAATTAGCTGGGTGTGGTGGCGCATGCCTGCAATCCCAGCTACTTGGGAAGCTGAGGCTGGAGAATAGCCTTGAACCCAGGAGGCAAAGGTTGCAGTGAGCCAAGATTGTACCACTGCACTCTAGCCTAGGCGACAGGGGCAGGCTCCGTCTCAAAAAAAATAAAAAGAAGAAAAAGAAAAGAAACAAATTCAGCCATGTAAAATAAAACTTTAGCATAGAAAAAAAAACCTTAAGTAAGTCAAAAGACAAATGAAAAATCTAGAGAAAAATCTGGAATCCATATCATGGACAAAAGGCTAACTTCTCTGTTTTATAAGGAATATCCACAAATGAGTAAGAAAAAGTCAAGCTAATTTTTTAAATGGGAGAAAAAAGCTTGAATGGGCATTTCAACAGACAGGGTATTGATATATCGAATTAAACCTATGAAAGGTATTCAGTTGTCAATAGAAATAAATACACAATAAGATAATACTATACATACTCAAGAATGGCTAAAATTTTTTAAATTGACAATTTCAAGTATATATAAGGAAGTGGAGCAACTGGAACTTCCATATACTACTGAGATAATCACTTTGGGAAACTGTTGGGCAGAATCTACTAAAGCTAAATATACATATATCCTATGATCCAGCAATTCTCCTGGATACATATCCAACATAAATTATTTGAAAAGACACAAGAAAGATGTTCACAGCAACATTATTCGTATGGTTGAAAAGTTGAAATAATCCAAATGTCTATCAACAGTAGACTGGAAAATGTGTAGTATATTCATACGATAATATATTATACAGTAATGGAAATAAACTACTACTACATGCAACAACATGAGTGAATCGCAGAAACTTAACACTAAAAGACATCAGAAACAAAAGATACACAACAAAATATTATTTGTAGAGGATCAAAAACAAGCAATATTAATGATGACAGAAATCAGAGTAATTGGCATTCCAGGGGACAGGGTTTGGTAGTTACTGACCAGGAATCTTGATCTGGTTAGTGGTTATACAGGTGTATAAACATATACGAATTCATTAAATCCTACTGAAAAACTGTTTATTCAGCACCACTCTGTGCCAGGCATTGAGCTGGAAACATAGCTGCAAACATGATTAACACATGGACTTTGCTAGCAAAGAACTCACAACTTGGCAGAAGCCTAGGGAATTTCCCTAATTTCAAGAGATCAACATCATATATAGAAATTATGCCTTTCCCCAAAATGTTGTAGGTTACTGTTATCACAGAAAGAGTAGATTAAGCCAACAAAAGTTAATCTTTACTTACCCATCATAGTAAATGTCTTCCCTGAGCCAGTCTGTCCACTGTAAAAAATGTTTTACATATTATTTTTACACATAAAATTAAAAGACTACTCCTCCTATTATAATACTAGTGTATAAGTTTTCTCCACAAAAAGTTAGCTTATTTTCTTTCTATTTTTAAATTCTATTAGATAAAAAGTGAATGATCTGCCTCCTTTCTCTCCAATCTCCCTACAAAGAGCTAACTGCTGTTAATTGGCAAATGCTTCTATATTACACAAACATAGCCATCAGAGTTTTCATTTAATTTTTATTTACCAAAATTGGGATGATGCTCTTCATACTGCTTTGCAACCTATTTTTCCCTTAATTTTACCTCAGATATCTTCCTAGGTCAGCAATAGAGGTCTGCCTCATTATTTTTAATAGCTACACAGTATTCCATGGTTTTGGGATCATATAGCATCTTGCAGCACCATAATTTATTTAACCAGAATCAAATGAACTTTTGTTTCCAATTTTTGCTATGCCAAGTAATACAGCATTTCCTTTCCTAAATTCTTTGTCTTTAAAAGATACTAAAATCTCTTCATTTAAATATAAAGCAATAAAAAAATTCTTATGCTATAGGTTTTTGTGCAATGTCATCTCTCCTGTTATCCCACTTAACAGAAACAAGAGTAACAAAAAACTAAAAGTAAAAACGTTGAAGCCAGGCAGTTCCAGCTACTGAGGAGGCTGAAGTAGAAAGATGGCTTGAGCCCAGGAGTTCCAGGCTGTGGTGCACTAGAATCACAGCTGTGGATAGCCACTGCACTCCAGGACTGGGCAACATAACAAGACTCCATCTCTTTTAAAAAAAAAAAAAAAAAAAAAAGTTGTATTTTAAAGATGTTAATCAAGATATCAAAAGACTTTAGCTTAGATTCACAGCAAAAACAGAAAATTTTGGATTTACTTTTTCATTAAATGCCCCCCAAAACTAGAAAACAGTATGCTATAGTTTTTTACCCCCTTCTTCTGGAAGAAAAGAGGGAAAAAAATTCTTTAGTAACTCAGAATGAGAAATGGATATTATTGAGTCCTCTACAAATAGGGTAATCCTTTTTTTTTTTTTTTTTTTCACTCTGTCACCCAGGCTGGAGTGCAGTGGCACGATCTCGGCTCACTGCAACCTCCACCCTCCGGGTTCAAATGATTCTCCTTCCTCAGCCTCCTGAGTAGCTGGGACTACAGGCATCTGCCACCACGCCCGGCTAATTTTTTGTATTTTTAGTAGAGATGGGGTTTCACCATCTTGGCCAGGCTGGTCTTGAACTCCTGACCTCGTGATCCACGCACCTCGGCCCCCCAAAGTGCTGGGATTACAGGTGTGAGCCACCGTGCCCAGCCACAAATAGGGTAATCCTATAGATTATTGTCCAAACAGGCACTTGAGAGTGAAGAGGACACTACTAATAATTACTTGACAATTGGTATTGTCCTCAGTAAACCAGACAGTATACCCACCCTGCCATGTATTACCTAGCTCTGTCTGCTGAGAAGGCCTAGAAGCAATGGCATTCCAATAGCAACAAACCAAACACACCTAGCGCCCAGATCTTGGTTTCTAAATACCATGCTCCAATAAAAGGAATTAGGGTTCATTGGTGAAATGGCTGATTCTAGGCGTAGGTCAGGGAAAACACAAGATGAGCCCAGAGCATCTTGTAGCATCATAAAGTAAGAAGGGGCTCAAAAAACAAAAGGATGAGCTATAGCAAAGGGACACAAAAACCAACCTCAAGGAGGGCCCATTGGGCAAAGCTGGAACAACAAGAACAACAAGGTAAATAATTTTTAGTACTGGATTATAACCTAAAGAATAAAATAAATGCATATCCATAACATATAAAGAATTGAATAAATGTGGAAAACAGACAAATCTTTCTTTTTTGTTTTGGTTTTTTTTTTTTTTTTTTTTTTGAGGCGGAGTCTCGCCCTGTCACCCAGGCTGGAGTGCAGTGGTGCAATCTCGGCTCACTGCAACCTCTGCCTCCTGGGTTCAAGTGATTCCTGCCTCAGCCTCCCAAGTAGCTGGGACTACAGGCGACCACTACCACATCCAGCTATTTTTTTTGTATTTTTAGTAGAGACGGGGGTCTCACCATGTTGGCCTGACTGGTCTTGAACTCCTGAACTCCAGTGACCCATCCACCTCAGCCTCCCAAAGTGCTAGGATTACAGGCGTGAGCCACCACGCCTGGCTGGACAAACTTTCTTACAAAAAAAAGTTATATATATATAGATAGACAGATACTCTGCTCTACACTACTCCTCTACCTTGGAGTGTAATCCCTGCTACCTTGATAGCCAGGAGGGGCCAATCTAATCATTAGTCCCTAAAATCAGAAAACCTTTTTTAGCTGCTGTCAGAGGGAGGTGTGACTAAGGAAGAAGAGTCAAAGAGTTACATGTTGTTGGTTTTGAAGATAAACAGGGCTGTAAGCTAAGTAATGTGGGTGGCCTCTAGCAGCTGAAAAAGGCAAAGAAACAAATTTTCCAGAAAGCAACAAGGCTGCCAAAAGAATTGCATCCCTGCTGACGCCTTGATTTTACCTGTGAGAGACCCATGTTGAACTTTTCACTTACAGAACTGTAACATAATACATTTGTGTTGTTTTAAGCCACTACGTTTGTGGTAATTTGTTACAACAGCAACAGGAAAATAATTCAAGCATGTACTATGTATAAGGACACAGTCAACAACTTACTATGCAAAGATGGTACCATTATAACCGCTCATGCAAGACTCCACAATGCTTTTAGCCACAGTTGCGAATACAGATTCCTACAAATGTAACCAAACATGTTAACATATCATAAAAATGAAAACATTTTTCCTAAATTGCATTCTACAATGTAACAGCAAAAATTGCTTAGTAATAACATGGATAACATCCACTACAGAAAAAAGGCTAAACTATCTAAGATGATTCAACTTTACACATAATTACATCTATTAATCTCCTATACACCTATAGATTTAAAGCACACAACTAAACTTTATACAGAATTTTGTAGAGCATATTGCATGTAGATATTGTACTGGTACTAGCATAAATAAACGGCTGTACATCTTCTTCAGTGATTTTTCTCATAAGTTTGCACTGAACAGTCAATACCTCCATTTTATTTTCATTTTTACCTACAAGGAGATGCAGTCTTACTACAAATGCAAGAACTCCCAACCCTACACTGTTTATTTTTATTTATTTTTGAGATGGAGTCTCACTCTGTCGCCTTTAGTGCAATGGCGCAATCTCGGCTCACTGAAACTTCCGCCTCCCAGGTTCAAGCAATTCTCCTGCCTCAGCCTCCTGTGTAGCTGGGACTACAGGTGCACACCACCATGCCTGGCTAATTTTTTATTTTTAGTAGAAACGGGGTTTCACCATGTTAGTCAGGCTAGTCTCAAACTCCTGACCTCGTGATCCGCCCACCTCCACCTCCCAAAGTGCTGGGATTACAGGCGTGAGCCACAGCACCCAGTCCTCGTTTTACTTATCTATTGGCCAGCGATGCTCCACATAAAAAAAAGATCCAAAGATCTAAATGTTGGCCCAAAAACATCCATATGTATAAGGGAATACTTAAGATCTGTGATGGGCTGCATGAAGTGGCTCACACCTGTAATCCTAGCACTTAGGGAAGCCAAGATGGGAGGACTGCTTGAGGCCAGGAGTTCGAGACCAGCCTAGGGAACATAGTAAGACTCCATCTCTACAAAAAATTTAAAATTTAGCTTGGCATAACTGAGATTTATCCTGGAATGAAAAAAAAATTAGCCAAGCATAGTGGCATATGCCTGTAATCACAGCTACTTGGGAGGCTAAGCAGGAGGATTATTTGTGCACTCCAGCCTTGGCAACAAAGCAAGACACCATCTCTTACAAAAAAAAAAAAAAAAAAAAATCTGTGATGTTCAGTATAGTAGCCATCAGTTATATGTAGCTATTTAGATTTAAATTAATTGAACGAAACTTAAAAGCCAGTTCTTCATACACACTAACCATATTAAAAGTGCTCAGGAGCCACATGTGACTAGTGCATCTGAGGCACTGAATTTTAAATTTGATTTAATTTTAATTAATTTAAACTCATATAGTCACATTTGGCTAGAGGCTATTGTAACAGACAGCACAGATACAGAACATTTCCATCACTGCAGAAAGTTCCATTGGATAGCACTAACTAGGTCTTAATTAAGTTGACCTTAATTAGAAAAGCAGTTGTTGACATCACGGTAATCCTAAATCCTTAGATTAGGCAGTTCAACAGTACTTCTCAATCATCCACTGGCTCCAAAAAGTGCATCTTCACTAACCTCCAGTGCCTCAGATGCATGAGCCACACTTTTAATATGACTAGTGTATATGAGGAACTGACTTTCAAGTTTTATTTAATTAATTTAAATCTAAATAGCCACATATAACTAATGGCTACTACAATGAACATCACAGATCTTTTTTTTTTTTTTTTAAGAGATAGAGTCTTGCTCTGTTGCCAAGGCTGGAGTGCAGTGGCACCATCATAGCTCACTGCAGCCTCAAACTCCTGGGCTCAAGTGATCCTCCTGCCTTAGCCCTCCAAGTAGCTGGGATAACAGGCATGTGCCACTACGCCCATAATTTCCTATCACTTAGTGGGGGGAAAAAAAAAAAAGAAGGCTTTTGTCATTCTGCTACAAAGTTCGATGAAAAAAGGAGAATACTATTTAATAAGATTAAATTTAAAATATTTATGGAACGTTTCAGTCTCCTTATTTGAGACGGATGAAATTAAAAAGAGACCAGCCCAGAAAAGAAATTTTTTTTTTTTTTTTTGAGACAGAGTCTTGCTCTGTTGCCCAGTCTGGAGTGCAGTGGTGCGATCTCCGCTCACTGCAAGCTCCGCCTCCTAGGTTCATGCCATTCTCTTGCCTCAGCCTCCCGAGTAGCTAGGACTACAGGTGCCCACTACCACAACCAGCTAATTTTTTGTATTTTTAGTATAGACGGGGTTTCACTGTGTTAGCCAGGATGATCTCGATCTCCTGACCTCATGATTTGCCCCCTCAGCTTCCCAAAGTGCTGGGATCACAGGCATGAGCCACCACGCCTGGCCAAGAAATGAAATTTGGAGGCTTATATGTTCCAGGTAAAAAGTAAAGTTTCCAGCGAGGTGGCTCACACCTGTAATCCCAGCACTTTGGGAGGCTGAGGCGGGCAGATCACGAGGTCGAGAGATCAAGACCATCCTGGCCAACATGGTGAAACCCCATCTCTACTAAAAATACAAAAATTAGCTAGGCATGGTGGCGCGCACCTGTAGTCCTAGCTACTCGGGAGGCTGAGGCAGGAGAATCACTTGAACCCGGGAGGCAGAGGGTGCAGTGAGCCGAGATCATGCCACTGCACTCCAGCCTGGTGACAGAGTGAGACTCCTTTTCAAAAAAAAAAAAAAGTTAAGTTTCTAATTATCATTACCTGAGTGGTATCCACATCTGCAACATGATCAAACGTGAAGGTCTTGGGCTCAGGGTTGGAGTGCAGCCGGAGACTCGTGGAGGACAGCACAGATAAGCATAAGTTCTGCTCTCCATCAGCTGACCCAGATCTTTCTGCAGGAGGACGAATTCGCACAAAAACTTTGATGGCATCACCTTCATTACTAAAGACAAAAAAAAGAAAGTAACAGTTCAGTTTATTGAAGAAGAAAACTGAAAAAGGATCCAAGTCTCATATTGCCTATAATGTTTCTATAATGAGTTTCTCCAACAAAGCCCAAGACATATCCCATACAAATTTACCTCTTTTTTTTTTTGAGATGGAGTTTCATTCTTGTTGCCCAGGCTGGAGTGCAATGGTGCAGTCTTGGCTCACTGCAACCTCCACCTCCTGGGTTCAAGTGATTCACCTGCCTCAGCCTCCCAAGTAGCTGGGATTACAGGGATCTGCCATCACACCCAGCTAATTTTTGTACTTTTAGTAGAGACAGGGTTTCACCATACTGGCCAGGCTGATCTTGAACTCCTGACCTCAGGTTATCTGCCCACCTTGGCCTCCCAAAGTGCTGGGATTACTGGCGTGAGCCCTGCACCCAGCCAAATTTATCTCTTTTTACAGAGTCTCACATGACCTATACCTTTTACTGATTTACTTCACAATAGGCACCTTCACATCCCTTTACTTGAACTCAAAGGGAGTGTGTGTTCATTGCATGGAGTTCCAAGTAGTGCTTGTCTCTCATTTCCCTCTTACTAGCAATAATAAATAAGTCATTCCCAAGGAGAATTATGCTATTGATTCTATCATTTTGCCTGGAAAGTGAGAGGGCAGAGGTAATATGCAGTTTTCCCACATTTCCAGCTGGTTGAGGACTAAGTTAAATTTTGAAATAAGTACTCTTTACTATGCTAAATGGTTATTTTAAAAATATTCCATCCCTAGTCCTTTGGGAGCTCATTGAGAATATTTTTCTCCTTACCTTGGTTGGTTAGACTGACCATTTGTCACGCTGCGTAACTCAGCTAGAAAAAAAAAAAGTTATTAAAGGTCATTTAAATTGTAATATGGAAATCCTATTCTTCTCTAACATGTTCCTGGGTTGCCTGCTACATTCAGCCTCCTCAGATCCCTGACTTTAACAATGCTGTGCTCCACAGCCCAGGCCTTGATCCTATTCTCATTCTATCCCAACCCATTACTGGTTGTAACACCTAGTCTCATGGTGATAGAGACAGGAGACAGTCAAATGCTGCCCAGGTCATTGTGCACAGGGGGCTTGCCTAAACCTGCCCACGGTGAAAAATTCCATCCCTCAACACATGCACAGTAAGGGAAATAAATCAATATGGAGTGGCTCAGACTAAGGGCCCACATGCACACTGGGAGAATGGGGTGGAACCACTAGGAATTTGTGCCTTATGCAGGGAGAGAAGCCTGGCCTCTTCAGCTGGTGTGTTGTGGCCTGGTATTCAATCTGTGAGGTGGGAGCCTGTTCGCAGGACCTCCTTTTTTCATTGAGAGCGTTCTTTTAATAAATTCTGCTCTTCTCACCTTTCAATGTATCCATGTGCCTAATCTTTCCTGGTCATGCGACAAGAACCTGGATTTTAGCTGAGCTAAGGACCAAAAAATCCTGCATCATTTTGGTGGCCCATATAAGAACATGAGTAAAGGTGAGTAAAATGTGAACCAAAAAATATTTTTCCCTCTTGTTTCTGAGGCTTCTTGTCCTCGGACTTCTTCTGAGAATAGAGGAAACTGTGCCCCCTTCTACCCCTCATCGCTCTCAGGGGTAGGGAATGTTGGCCTCATTCCAACCCAGCCTTTCTGTGGCATTTTCCTTCTTTTTTTTGAGACTGTAATGGCACCTATCTTTTCTTCTACAATGTTGGGGGTGTTCTACCCGCAACCCAGTGGCTGCAGGCTCATGCGTAGGATGGACAGGCAAGTGGGGCGAGTGGCAGTTCCTTGCATCCCTCCCCTTCTGGGTGGGGCTGGGGTGCATGGCCCAAGGGCCCCACTTGGCTGGCTGGCCAGGGTTTCCCGCCACATGCCCACAGAGTCCTCCCCTCCCCTAGCCAAGGGGCCCAGCTAGGTTCAAGCCCCAGGGAAGAAACAGCAATTAAAGATTTCTCTCCCTGCTGCAAAAACTCATTTGCATAAGAATAAGAGGTTCTCCTTTCAGGCATCTTTCAAGCCCTGCATTTAAAGTTTTTTTTTCTTTTTTCCACCAGAGATTAACTTTTATGTGAGAGGCTTTGTTGTTGTTTTTTTTTTTTTAAGATGTTTTACTAGGCCAAGACCCCAACTATCACTGTTTATATTCTCTGTAAGGTTTCAATTATGAAAAAGGATTTGTGAGGTTGGTCTTAAGCTGTAACCAAGCTGGTGTGCTTTCCATGTCTTTCTGTATGGCTCTGTCAGAAAGAGGGGTACCTTAGGATGGGATGCTGGCATAGGACTCCATAGGTCCACTGTTCAAACCAGCCCGGCAAACTGGTTAATGGCAAACTTTGCTGCAGGCCTCCATCTTGTTTTATGTCCTTGGAAGCACGGCCTGTAACCACGTGCCCAGTGCTTTGTTTTAGCCTCTGCCATTTTACAATGGTGGCCTGGATTCAATCCTGGCTTAAGGAATGAGTCCTTTCTGGTTTGATATCTGTGTGACCTTAGCTATTTGTTGATTCTCTTTCCCTCCATGAACCACCTTGAATTTTCCTTTCTCTGAGCACCTGGGAAGTTACCTTTGGTAAAGTTTGGAAGTCAGAAATACTGGCCACTTTGCATGGCTAATGTCGGGTAATAAGGGACTCAAAAGGATTTTCTTAAAAAGCGTTCAGCTTAATTGAAAGTGGATATCCAAGTTATAAGTATATTTAAAAGACCTTTATGTTTTTCTCTTCTTAGATCTTATTTTGCTGGGTAAAGGTTTTTTTCTCAGTCAACTGAATTCTTTTTCTCCATTTTGTCTTGCCCCTCTTAATGCATGCATGAGGGGCCCTAAGATAATTTCTGATGGCCTGAGACTCCTTGGGAAAAATAGAAAAGTCTCCATGGATTCCATTTTGGGAGAGACCTTTGTTTTCCTAATGGAGCCCCAGGAATTAGAGGTGGATGGATCCCTCTCAAAATCTGTTTTTGTCTTCTAGCTATACCTGTTTACTAGGCCCTAGAAACTACATGCTTTCCTAGCCCTGCTCTTAAAGGGCCCCACTGAGAGGCTAATTGTCCAGTTACGAAATTGGTGAACAGAAAATCTTACAGCTACTGGATCTTCTTCTGGCTGTGTAGTTATGTATGTGTTGTGTGTGTGATCTCTATAAACAAGAGTTCTAATTAATTGGCCTAAAGGAAAATAAGCACTTAGATCAAATATTTTTTAAAGGAAAGAAGAGCTGTGGTACCTTTTAGTTCACATGACTTTAATCTTTGAGAAATAAAAACAGCCTTAAAAATTATTGGTAAAATGCAGATGTCATCAAAATGTACATTTTTGCCTAGGGTTAAAGGACTGTTTTGAATTAGATAAGATAAAGCTAAATGTGTAAACAAGTAGTGGAAGGATTGTAAAAATTGATCTTGCAAAAAAAAATTCCTTGTGTGAACATACTGATTAAATTCAAAAGGGTATTATATGGCTTTTCCATAAATTGAGCATTGAAATAAAAGCACAACAAGGTTCTCTTAAGGCACCAATCTGCTCTTTAGCTAAATCTGTAAAGGGTTATAAAAGGTTTTTGCTTTTTAAAATTTCTGAGTCATCATTTTGACAAAATAAATAACTTACGGTAATCTGGAATTCTATTTCATAAAATCAAATGTTTTAAACCTCTAACATATTCAACAGGCTTCCCAAAATCAAACTTCAGTTTCAAAATTGTCTTTCCTGACACCTGGCTTTTGGATGCTACAGAGGGCCCCTGACACATCCAGAAGAGAGGTAAACAGGATTACCTGACATGTTTAGGTACATGGGATTGCCAAAATAATGTTTAATCTTCTTCAGGTTATATTTTAGGGAATAATATTAATATATGTTCCAAAATTGTAAAGGATTCCTAAAATTCTAGTGTCTGGCCATAAAAATGGAATCTGTGGTGCCTTTTCTGTTTTTTCCGAGGAGTCCCAGGCCATCAGAAATTATCTTAGGGCCCCATCATGAGTATATGCTATCAATCACAATTAAGGTTGTTATGTTAAGTTATTATAAACCACAGAGATAACCAAATTTATTTGTCAATTCTGTTTCTGACTCTAACTACCCTGGACATTTTGTTATTCACAGACAATTGTTGTCTTGTTTTCATCCTCTTCAAAAGATGGTTTATAATCAGCCATAGAACTTTCATAGGTGCTCTCAAATGCAGGTTTCTGATAACTTTGGAGATTGAGACATTAGAATAAAGAAAAAACAAACAGGACTCATGAAGAGCTGAAATGTTCATGAATATCAAGCAAAACAAGAGTTAACTGGATGGACTTAATGAATACAAAACTGAAGTAATCTTTTTGACTTTCGCTTGGACCATTGCCAATCCTTGCTTTGTTTTTCAGAGTGAAGGAAACTTATTTTGAACTATTTACAGCCTTTAATAATTGAGTAAGGTATACTCCTGTGAACAAAATTTGGAGCATGTTTGTCTCTCTCTCTCTGCCTGGCTTCTCCAGAATTTGGAAACTAGTTGTGAGTATACTTAACTTATGACAATATATTTGTTTGCATCAGTGCAATAAGATTCCATTTTCTTTGCAACAGGACACAACTGAAGACACTAGTTGTTTTACCAAGGCCTTTGACTGGAAGGGTATGCTTCCTTTTAAGGAGTCAAGCTTGACTTGCAGAACTGATAAAAGCTCCTTGGGAAAACTGGCCTCATACCTTGCCTACACAGTCCCTGTACAGGGTTCCTAATCTGCGGTGAGTAAGAAGTGTCACTTTTTAACAGGCCCAGGAACCCTATGCTCTTGGGACCTCAAGAAGAGAGGAGTTTACCCAACTCACAGGTATTTGAGGGTAAAAACCCACAGCTGGGTTCAGCTTTAGAAAGTCCTATCTGAGATTCCTTGTGGAATAGAGTTCCATCAAAGCCAATCTAAAAGCCCTCTGTAAAAATAAGTATTCTTGCTGCACTTCATGCAAAGAATCAAGCCAAGTATAAGACCAAAGTCTATTTTGCAAACAACTCAGTCCTATCATGGTTTGTTTTTAAGAAAACTGAGGACTGGAGAGAGATAAATTATGTTTAAAAACTTATCATCATTAAATTCTAGACCCACTAGTTGTTTTCAAGTTTTTTGCCTAGTTCGTTTAAAAACTAACCCTGCTTATGCCTGTGATCCAACCAGAGATCTCCAACTACAGCCCAGAAGGAACAAAGGGGGATGGGTAATGTAAAAATCTGAATCAATATTCTAGTTCTAAGCAATTATCCTGCAAATCCTGCTAGGTGGTGGGAATAAATACAGTGCCTGTCATCCAGAGGTTTCCTTTTTGGGAAAGTAAGACCAAGGGAGCTAACCAAAGCCAAGCTCCATGCACCCAAATCTTAGCAAACATAACTATAGCCACCAGTTATCTGGGTGTGTCACAGGGCATCCTTTTCTTTCCCTTGGAGGAGGACCCCTTTCACAGCTTCACCTTAGCATTCAGCTTATGATAAGGAGTCCATACAACCCCTGAGACATATTTTTGGTCCCAAACTCAATTCCCAACTTCAGGTCAAAGCCCTAAGAAAAAAAAAACTGGATCTGAGGGATCCAGAAGCAGACGGTAACAGAAGTTAAAAAGCACAGCACAGGTGAGCATGACTAACTCCTGCCGATTAAGCCAAGCCTCCTGTTTCATGGATAAACATCATGCTAGTATCCACGACATAAATGAGGTCTAGAGAACTTGAAGGCTACTGACAGCAGGGGAGATAGGGCGTACGTGGGTAAGCCCTGTTAACATGGGGGAAAGCCGCTTTGACATTCATGGGTGGCACCCTTTGATGATCACCCAGGTCTTGGGGATATAAGGACAGAAGAAATGAAAAGGGGCACGTCACTTTCTCCCTCCCTCACCTACCCTGGGTATTCACTAGGAAGAGAAAGGAACCAGGGACACCTGCTCCCCTCTTTCTTGATGGATTGCCATTCATCTTCAGTCTGTGGCCTTTTTGAATACATCCTGAACCCCTGGGACTCCTTTGAAAAAAACACCTTCTTTTTTCCTTTTCCCCTTGTGTCCTCTCTTCACAGATAGGTAATTGTGTCTCCTTACTACAGCACACTCCCCTTGGATCCATCCTCTAAACTGCGAAAAGTTAATTTCCCAAACCTTAAACTTGAGAATAGCTTAGGACTGGGCTTGGGGGAAGGGAACCTCGAAGACTGACAAGCCAGCAAAAGGGTAAAAATTTTTTTTAACTTTTAACAATCAGGCTTTTGGCCTCCCTCTCCCTGTGCAAACCAGTAAAAGGCCTCGGGATTTTCGAGCATGACTTCTGGCATGACTTCTGTCCTTACCCCATCCTTGTTTTGTTTTGATACATGTTTTCTAATAACTCAGTTTGTCTCTTCTCGCCTTCAGGTCATCAAACTCCAGTCGTGCAACTGGAGCCTCAGATAATGGTCCCTTTTGCCAGGAACCTTTAGATTGGCCTCTTAGGGAAATCTGACTGCCATTTTCCCAACACAGCACCCCCTGTCAGCAGGAAGCAGTTAAGATTGGTCTTTGTCCTTATCTTTATTCTAAGGGCAGTTAGATGTACTTCTTTAGAGTGGGGAATGATAGAGACAGGAGACAGCCAAACGCCTGCCGGGTCACTGAAAAATTCTGTCCCTTAACACATGCGCAGTAAGGAAAATAAATCAATGTGGAGTGGCTCAGACTAAAGGCCCACATGCGCCCTGGGAGAATGGAGTGGAGCCACTGGGAATTTGCACCTTATGCAGGGGGAGAAGCCTGGCCTCTTCAGCTGGTGTATCACACTTTTTTTCACTGAGAGCTTCCTTTTAATAAATTCCACTCTCCTCATCTTTCGATGTGTCCGCGTGCCTGATTTTTCCTGGTCATGCAACACGAACTTGGATTTTAGCTGAGCTAAGGAGCAAAAAATCTTGCATCAGTGGTTTTTTTTTTCTTTTCTTTTCTTTTTTTTTTGAGACGGAGTCTTGCTCTGTCACCAGGCTGGAGTGCAGTGCCACGATCTTGGCTCACTGCAACCTCCACCTCCCAGATTCAAGCAATTCCCCTGCCCTCAGCCTCCCAAGTAGCTGGGACTACAGGGTGCACCACCACGCCTGGCTAATTTTTTGTATTTTAGTAGAGACGGTGTTTCACCATGTTGGCCAGGATGGTCTTGATCTCCTGACTTTGTGATCTGCCCGCGTTGGCCTCCCAAAGTGCTGGGATTACAGTAGTGAGCCACCATGCCTGGCCTGTTTTTAAATACTAGGTACAAATTGATGATTCACAAATTTAAACCTTCCTGGACTGCTGTCCTGAGCTCCACACTCCTTTTTTTTTTTTTTTTTTTTTGAGATGGAGTCTCGCTCTGTTGCCCAGGCTGGAGTGCAGTGGCGCAATCTCCGCTCACTGCAAGCTCCACCTCCCGGGCTCATGCCATTCTCCTGCCTCAGCCTCCGGAGTAGCTGGGACTACAGGGGCCTGCCACCACGCCCTGAGAATTTTTTGTATTTTTAGTGGAGACGGGGTTTCACTTTGTTAGCCAGGATGGTCTCCATCTCCTGACCTCATGATCCACCCGCCTCGGCCTCCCAAAGTGCTGGGATTACAGGCGTGAGCCACCACGCCCAGCCGAGCTCCACACTCTTACAACTTATTACCTATTTGATATCTCTAACTGGATATGCAGTGGGCAATGAATCAAATTTAATGTGTCCAAAATTGAGCTCCTGATCACCCCACCTCTAGCCCAAATGT
Organism: Homo sapiens; assembly: GCF_000001405.40. Lineage (NCBI taxonomy): Eukaryota > Metazoa > Chordata > Mammalia > Primates > Hominidae > Homo > Homo sapiens. The sequence goes on along the minus strand of NC_000003.12, from coordinate 44,767,489 downwards.
GTTTCTACATCTCCGTTAACTCCATCTTTCCAGTTGCTTAGGCCAAAAACCATATAGTCATCCCTGACCCTGTTCTTTCTCACTCTTCGTATCCAATCTCAGCAAAGCTTTGGCTCTAATTTCAAAATATACCCACAATCCAACAACTTCTTGCCAAATCCACTGCCACAGTGTAGAACCAAGCCAGCAATATCTCTTTATTGTGTTATTACAATAGTCTTTCTGCTTCTCTTTCTCCCCCACTCTCATCTTTTCTCAACCTAGCGGGCAGAATAATTCTGTTAAAAAAGAGTTCAGAGATTGACTTCTGACATGACATTATGAGGAATTCCACTGACCCACTCCCCAGTGAAACTGGTGAAATTTAAAAAAAGAAAGTTGGCCGGGCACGGTGGCTCACACCTGTAATCCCAGTACTTTGGGAGGCCGAAGCGGGCGGATCACGAGGTCAGGAGATCGAGACCACCCTGGCTAACACGGTGAAACCCCGTCTCTACTAAAGATACAAAAAATTAGCCAGGCATGGTGGCAGGCGCCTGTAGTCCCAGCTACCCAGGAGGCTGAGGCAGGAGAATGGCGTGAACCCAGGAGGCGGAGCTTGCAGTGAGCCGAGATCACGCCACTGCACTCCAGCCTGGGAGACAGAGTGAGACTCCATCTCAAAAAAAAAAAAAAAAAAAAAGAAAGAAAGAAAAGAAAAGAAAATTAAAGCCTCTGGAAATGTTCCCAAAGACAAACAGCAAACCAAGAAACATCTGTTCAAGAACATTCATGAAAATTCATCAAGAAAGTTGATCCTGTGTTATTTGAAACAAGATTGCTGTCTCCCTCCCATCTCAGCAAGGCAAACACTCCACTGTAGATTGCAGCAGCCAAGAACACAGGGATCCCTCCAGCTCCTAATTGCAAGGGGTTCCTCCACAGAGTAGCAGGATGTCAGTGTATCATTGTGTCTCCAGCTAGCTACCTGATGCTCAGATAAAGTCCCAGACAAGTGTGGTTGAGAGGTGAGGGCTCTCCCTTCTCCCACACAGCCCTCATCTTGCAACTGCATGCTAAGAACACTGGGGCCCTGATCACCCTTGCCCCAACTCATTAGGCAGTGGTTCTGCACAAGGAAAGGAAAGTCTAGAAGGTGGGCTGCTACACTCCCCACCTTCCCCACAAAATGCTCAGCAACTACAAAGGGTATCACTCAGAGACAAGACTGCCATTATCCCCATCCCCAACTCAAGTCCCCAGGCTCTGAGATTTTGCCTAAAGGAAGAATCAGCCCATAAACAGATAACTCCTAATCTCTTCCCAAAGGAGCTGAATTCATTTGCAACAAAGCATAGAGAAGTTCAAACCTGTCTAGGTGTGGTGGCTCATGATGTAATCCCAGCACTTTGGGAGGCCGAGGCAGGTAGATCATTTGAGGTCAGGAGTTTGAGACCGGCCTGACCAACATGGTGAAACCCCGTCTCTCTACTAAAAATACAAAACAAAAATTAGCTGGGCATGGTGGCACATGCCTGTAATCTCAGCTACTTGGGAGGCTGAGGCAGGAGAATCGCTTGAACTCAGGAGGTGGAGGTTGCAGTGAGCTGAGTCCACGCCACTGTGGTACAGCCTAGGTGACAGAGCGAGACTCCGTCTGGGGGAGAGGGGGTGGAGAGAAGTTCAAACCTAAGGGCACTCTCAGGAACAGTGTAGGTTTTAGTGAAAGTAATTAGGAAGACATTCAAGATACAAGCTAAATTGCAGGCCTGTTCACTTGCAGAAGACAATGGGGATATAAGACAATTAGGAGTAGCTACACTGGAGTCACAAGAAATATGAAAGAAAACCTCAAAAACTACTCCTTCAATGGAGCAAGAATTGAAGTAGTTTGTAAGACAATTTATGCCCAGGGCATTGTTAAAAAACAATAGAGCAATCAGCTAACAATTACTGGAGTTTAACAGCTGTGTGCAGTCATAGAAAGAAAGAGATCCCTACCAAAACCACTGTCATCCCAGGATAAAGGTGGGCATATCCAAAGCTGGAGCTTTGGATTCCTGAGGAGCAATATCAAAGGCTTAACAGTATAGGAGGGAAATAGACTTCACTAAATTGATCCAGCCAGTTGCTAAGCAAATACACAAGCAAACAACAATAAGAAGCCCCAGAAGGTAGGCTGCCAGCTCTTCATTTCTGCAGAGATCTCTGTAACTGATCAGATGGAAAATGATTAGATGGATACTGATCTGCACTTATGTGCAACTTTCTGGTAAATCTAAAAGGAACCCAAAGTAAAATGTTTACTTGATAAAAAAAGAAGAAAAGTTAATAAGCAAATAGCGAGAGAAAGTGAAATTTAAAACTACACAAATGTAGATAGTTCTGGCATTATTTCTAATTGAGATCTAAGGAAACATCATTGAGAAGTGCTAGGATTTGAACGAAGGCATGCTAAATCCAGATCTCCTACTCTTAACCACCTCAATATGCTACCTCTTGATCAAAGGTTAAAGAGAGTATAAAAGTTTATCATGTGGCTGTCATAAAATTTTGACATTTAAAGGAAGTCTAGGCTGGGTGCAGTGGCTCACACCTGTGATCCCAACACTTTGGGAGACCAAGGTGGGTGGATCATTTGAGGTCAGGAGTTTGAGACCAGCCTTGCCAATATGGTGAAACCCTGCCTCTACTAAAAATATAAAAAATAGCCAGGCTTGGTGGTGGTTGCCTGTAGTCCCAGCTACTCAGGAGGCTGAGGCAGGAGTAATCACTTGAACAGAGATGGAGGTTGCAGTGAGCCAAGATCGCACCCCTGCACTTCAGCCTGGGTGACAGAGCAAGACTCTGTCTCAAAAAAGAAAAGAAAAAAATGAAGTCTATAGGCATTCACTGTAAAATTCTTTCAACTTTGAGGTCCTCTATGTGTCCATCTAAAAATATGCTTAAGTCTATTCTCAGTAGCTTTATTCATAACAGCCCTAACTATAATAAAAACCCAAATGTCAATCAACAGGAGAATAAACAAATCATGGTATACTCACATAATGGAACACTACACAGCAATGAAAAAGAACTGCTGCTACATACAATGATGGACAATGATCACAGACATAATGTTCAGTTGAAGAAACCAGAATAAAAAAAGAATACATACTGTACCATTTATATTAAGTTCAAGAATAGAAGCAAAACTAATCAGTGATAATAATAATCAGAGTAATGGTTGGGGATCAGGTAGTTATTGACTAGGAAGGGTCACAGGGAACTTTCTGGAGTACAGGAACAGTTCTATTTCTTGATCTGGATGGTGGTTACATTAGTGTATTTATATGTAAAAATTTGTTGAATAATATTAAGATTTGTGCCCTTAACTGCATGAAGCTATACCTCAACAAAACAGTAAGTCTTTTAAAGAGTCTTCCTGCTTTAAAACAGACCATTGGATGCTTTACTCTGCAGTCTAGATAAATACTCATCAGTCATTTGCCCAAACATGATTGGGTTCAGAAAGGGAATCTTAGGCCAGGTGCAGTGGCTCACGCCTGTAATCCTAGCACTTTGGGAGGCCAAGGCAGGTGGATTGCTTGAGTTCAGGAGTTCAAGACCAGCCTGGGCAACATGGTGAAACCCTGTCTCTACTAAAATACAAAAAATTAGCAGGGCATGGTGGTGCACGCCTGTAGTCCCAGCTACTTGGGAGGCTGAGGCACGAGTACTGCTTGAACCCAGGAGGTGGAGATTGCAGTGAGCCAAGATTGCGTCACTGCACTCCAGCCAGCCTGGGTGACAGAGCAACACTGTCTTTAAAAAAAAAAAGGGGGGAATCGTATATTTCACTTTTTCATTTCTCTGATTTCACAGTCAGCAACTCATGGTGTCAATGATGTCACTAGAGATAGCCTTCATGGGGCCGGGTGTGGTGGCTCATGCCTGTAATCCCAGCACTTTGGGAGGCCAAGGTGGGCAAATCACGAGGTCAGGAGATCGAGACCATCCTGGCCAACACAGTGAAACCCCGGCTTTACTAAAAATAAAAAAATTAGCTGGGCATGGTGGCGCGTGCCTGTAATCCCAGCTACTTGGGAGACTCAGGCAGGAGAATCTCTTGAACCCGGGAGGCGGAGGTTGCAGTGAGCCAATATCGCACCACTGCACTCCAGCCCGGCAATAGAGCAAGACTCTGTCTCAAAAATAAAAAAGAGAGAGAGAGATAGCCTTCGGGGCACAAAGTAAAAGTTGCAAAGACCACTGCACGGGCTCTCTTCTCCCATGTGTTCCCACTTCATGCTCCAGGCCTCTGGGCTGCTGGGAATGCAAGAAGCACTTTAACTGGGAAGTCATCAACCTCAATTTTGCCAACAAACTTAAAGGAGTGGAAAAGTTCCCCATGGCATCACCACCATCATAAAGGAGAGTGCTCCCACCACTTTAGAAAGGTTCTCAAATTTGGTTTTCAGACAAGAGCCCTCAGTCACATACATATATCTCATTAAATAAGCAGATGTTTTACTTATTTAACAGGCATCAAATTTTTTGCTTGAGTCCAGATTTAGTGACTGATCCATAAAGTGGAAACAAAGAACAAACAGTATGATTGTTCAGAAAGCAGGATGAACATTTCTCTCCAATAAGGTACCATTTTGTGAGCTCATAGTCCTTGAATACTGAAAATGATGAAAGGAAAAGGAATATTTTATATGCAAAAAGGTAGCATAAGGAGGTGTTCCGATTAGGTGTGATCGACCTAAAAGATTAATGAAACAACAAACCCATCAAAAACGACTACAATTGACAGAAAGCTAGAAACATTAACGGCGTTGGAAAGCTCAAATGACAGAAGTTCACAAATTCTTAATCATCTAATCCAGGCCTCTCCTCATTACCATTCAGACCACTCACAAAGATCCCATTAAATCAGCTCATAATCAGGTTTACAAAAATAAGACTCCTTAAGAGATGTGGCAATGTGAGAAGTGGAGCACGTACACAGGCACAGCAAATGACTACGTTAGTGAAAACTGTAGGGTTTATCATAAGCAAAATGACAGTGCTCTCCTCCGTGAAAAAGAGAAAGAAATCGGACGGGTCTCCTTTAAGTGAAAATAGAGACTGTGAGAACATAAAGACATTGCTGACATCTGTGTTTTAACATTCCATTTATTTAAGGAAAGAGGAGAAAGAAATGTTTGGAATATAAATAAACCCTTCCCTATAGGAAGGTCAGAAATGTAGAAATACGCAGAAGCTGGTGGGAGCAAAAGCCGATCCTGAGACAAGGATATCTAGAGAGGTAGCCCTGGTCGGGATGTGGGAAGAGGCCTGCGAAGAAACAGCAGAACCAAGGGAAAGAAAGGGAAGAACGTCAGGTCCACTGCTCATCCCGAGCGCCTAGAACTGCGCCAGACTCCTGGCATGCGCACAGGACACTGAAGGAAGGGATGAGCTTTTCGGCTAGCGTATTGTCTTTGAGCGACAGAGCGGGATTCCCAAACGTCCCCGCCGGTCACTCAGCTCCTGCAGTTCATGCCTAGCAAGAACCTTGCGGGCGGTCCGAGGCTGCCATCCTTTCACAGCTGTATTTGGGGGCAAAAATAGGGTAACGAAGCCGGGGGCCCAGACTTACTTTTGCAGCCGGGTGCCATAGCGCCCTCACCCCTCGATCCCGAAAACAATGCAGCCGGTGCCTCCACCTCCCGACTGCACCGCGCGCGACTGAATTCCGCCCGCTCAAGATGGCCGCAAATTTGAATTTGGCGCTTGGATCGGACGTTGACGCCCGCATGGAGGCCGCCATGTTGCCCGGCCTACGCATCGGGGGCGTGGCCCAGTGACGTCACAGCTAAGCGCCTCTGTATCGTCGCGAATCCGTCGCGGAACCTGTCTTCTGTCTTTACCCAGAGCTACCATGAGCAAGCGGAACCAGGTATCGTACGTGCGGCCAGCCGAGCCGGCGTTTCTGGCCCGCTTCAAGGAACGGGTCGGCTACAGGGAGGGACCCACCGTAGAGACTAAGGTGAGCCTTCGCCAGTCGTGTTTCTTCGGAAGCGCAGCCAGCCCGCCACTTTCAACTTTTGCCTCTACTTGGAGGGTGGGTGCTGTCGGGTCCCTCTTTTCACCCGCGCTCGAACCCAATTCCGGTGGAACTCGGACCCCCAGGCTGGTTCTTTTCAAGCGACCACAGCCCCCTACGCCCAGGAAGCTCTGTAGTTTTCAGAGCGCTGCTGTGTTCCTGAAAATGAACTGACGTGTAAACCACCTGGTCCTTGGTAGATGGTAAAGAAAGATCACTTTATTGTCTCTTCTTTCTCACTTGTTTACCTCAAAAGCTGTGAGTTCGCAGGGTGAGTTAGAGTTACAGCGTCGTCCCGTATTCCAGATAAGGACACAGGCCACTCGATCAAATGACCCCCGCCCCAACCATGTCCTAGGACTCGAGTCTGGAACGTCTTCGGAGGAATGTCCTGAATCTGTTTCTATGCTTTGTTAATTAAAAATAAATAAAAATAATATAGAGAAGGTCGGGCACAGTGGCTCACGCCTGTAATCCCAGTACTTTGGGAGGCCTAGGTGGGCGGATCACCTGAGGTCAGGAGTTCGAGACCAGCAGAGCCAATAGCCAATATGGTGAAACCCCCCGTCTCTGCTAAAAATACAAAAATTAGCCGGGCATGGTGGCACATGCCTGTAGTCCCAGCTACTCCGGAGGCTGAGACAGAATCGCTCGAACCCGGGAGGTGGACGTTGCAGTGAGTTGAGATGGCGCAGCTGCACTCCAGCCTGGACAACAGAGCGAGACTCCGTCTCAAAAAAAAAAAAAAAAAGCCGGGCCTGGTGGCTCACGCCTGTAATCCCAGCGCTCTGGGAGGCTGAGGCGGCAGATCACGAGGTCAGGAGATCGAGACCATCCTGGCTAAAACAGTGAAACCGCGTCTCTACTAAAAATACAAAAAATTAGCCAGGCATGGTGGCGGGCGCCTGTAGTCCCAGCTACTCGGGAGGCTGAGGCAGGAGAATGGCGTGAACCCAGGAGGAGGAGCTTGCAGTGAGCCGAGATCGCGCCACTGCACTCCAGACTGGGCGACAGAGCGAGACTCCGTCTCAAAAAAAAGAAAAAAAAGAAGAGTAAGCAGAAGCCGTAAATATCCTGGGTCTAAATAGAAGAAGAGGAGCTTCAGGAAAGAGCCACACCTGACTATTGTTGTCTAGGGCCGGAGGGATCAGTATTGAACACATGAATGACAAGAAAGCAAAACAGCTACATTGCTGATACAGAGAAAGTTTTAGTGGTCTGGATAGAAGAGCAAACCAGCCACAACATTCCCTTTAACCAAAGCCTAATCTAGAGCAAGGCCCTAACTCTTAAATCCTGTGAAGTCTGAGACATGTGAGAAAGCTGCAGAAGAAAAGTGTGAAGCTAACAGAGGTTGGTTCATGAGGTTTAAGGAAAGAAGCCATCTCCATAACATAAAAGTATGAGATGAAGAAGCAAATTATTCAGATCTAGCTAAGATAGTTGATGAAGGTGGCTACACTAAACAGGTTTTCAATGTAGATGAAACAGCCTTCTATTGGAAGAAGATGCCATCTAGGACTTTTTTTTTTTTTTTTTTTTTGAGATAGGGTCTCACTCTGTCGCCCAGGCTAGAGTGCAGTGGTGCAATCACAGCTCACTGCAGCCTTGACCTCCTGGGCTCAAGTGATCCTCCTGCCTCAGCCTCTCAAGCAGCTGGGACTACAGGCATGAACTAACGCATCTGGCTAATTTTTGTATTTTTTTGTAGAGACAGGATTCCACTGTGTTGCCAAGGCTGGTCTCAAACTCCTGGACTCAAGCAATCCTCCCACTTTAGCCTCTCAAAGCCTCTCAAAAACCACTATGCCTGGGCCATTTAGGACTTTCATAGCTAGAGAGAAGTCAGTGCCTGGCTTCATATTTTCAAAGGACAGGCTAACTCTCTCATTAGGAGCTAATGCAGCTGGTGACTTTTAAGTTGAAGCTAATACTTACCATTCCAAAAATCCTAGGGTCCGTAAGAATTATGCTAAATCTACTCTGCCTGTGCTCTAGAAATGGAAAAACAAAACCTTGATGACAGCACATCTCTTTATAATATGGTTTACTGAATTATTTTTAGCCCACTGTTGAGACCTACTGCTCAGAAAAAAAAAGATTCTTTCAATATATTATTGCTCATGGACAATACACTTGGTCACCCAAGAACTCTGATGGAGATCTACAAGGAGATTAACGTGGGGTTTTCATGCCTGCTAACACAACATCCATTCTGCAGCCCATGGATCAAGGAGTAATTTCTATTTTCAGTCTTATTATTTAAGAAATAACAGCCAGGCGCAATGGCTCACACTTGTAATCCCAGCACTTTGGGAAGTCAAGGCAGGTGGATTGCTTGAGCCCAGGAGTTCAAGACCAGCCTGGCCAACATGGTGAGACCCCATCTCTACAAAAAATACAAAATTTAGCCCAGTGTGGTGGCATGCACCTGTGGTCCCAGCTACTTGGGAGGCTGAGGTGGGAGGATTCCCTGACCCCAGGTAGGTTGAGGCTGCAGTCAGCCATGATTGCACCACTGCACTCGAGCCTGGGTAACAGAGCCAGACCCTGTCTCAAAAAAAAAAAAAAAAGTCAAAACCATTTGTAAGGCTACAGCTGCCATGGATAGTGATTCCTCTGATGCATCTGGATATTGTAAATTGAAAACTTTATGGAAAGGCTTCACCATTCTAAACACGTTAAGAACATCCATGATTCATGGGAAGAGGGCAAAATATCAACATTAACAGGAATTTGGAAGAGGTTGATTCCAACCTTCATGGATGACTTCGAGAGATTCAGGCCTTCAGTGGAGGAAGTAATTGCAGGTGTGGTAGAACAAGCAAAAGAACTAGAATTAGAAGTAGAGCCTGAAAATGTGACTAAGTTGTTGCAGTCTCATAAAAATTGAACAGATGAGTTGCTTCTTATTGATGAGCAAAAAAAGTGGTTTATTGAGATGGAATCTACTTCTGGTGAAGATGCTGTGAACATTGTTGAAATGTCAATAAAGGATTTAGAATAAACTTACTTGGTAAAGCAGCAGCAGGTTTAAGAGGACTGATTCCAATTTTGAAAGGAGTTCAGCTGTGGGTAAAATGCTATGAAACAGCATTGCAGCATCACAAAAGAGAAATCTTTTGTGAAAGGAAGACTCAATGCAGCAAACTTCATCGTCTTATTTTTAAAAATTGCCACAGCCACCCCGCCTTTCAGCAACCACCACCCTCATCAGTCAACATCCATCAGCATCAAGGGCAGACCCTTCACTGGCAAAAAGATTAGGACTCACTGAAGGCTCAGATGATTTTTAATGTTTTTAGCAATAAAGTATTTTTAAATTAAGGTAGGTACATCTTCCAGACTCCTGTTAATGTTGATATTTTGCCTCCTCCCATGAATCGTGTACTTAATGGGATCTAGATTTTTTTAGACATAATGATATTGCATACTTAATACTAACTGTAGTTAGTGTATAGTGTGAACATAACTTTTATGTGAACTGGGAAACCAGAAAATTTGTGTGACAATTTATTTTGATACTTGCTTTGTTGTGGTGGTCTGGAACCAAATCTGCGGTATCTTCAAGGTATGCCAGTAGAATGAGTATGTGCTAACCCCATGCACTGTCGCAGGCTCTGAAAGGACGAAGAGATGGATCTCCAAAATGCCATGTTCTTTAACACTTCCTGCCCTATTTTCACAAGTTACCATCTCTCCGAAACCCTTCAAAGCTCTCCAAACAGTTACTCTTTCTGTTTTTCTCTTTACCTTATCCATATCTTATCTATAACATTCATTTTATATTGCAACTACTTGCTTTCCTGTTTATCTTCACCACTAGATTGAACTCTTTAAGTTAGTATCTTAATCCTTCCGTATTTTCCCAGCACCTAGCACAGTGCCTGGCACGAAGTAGTGGGTAACAGTTGTATTTGTTGGTGACTGTGCTGTTATCAGGTTAGACTTCGTGGAGGAGGGATATTTAGATAGACTCTCGAGCATGGTTAGGTCAGCAGGTAGAGATGAAGAGAATGGCATGGGTAAAGGTGTAGAGATTTGAGAGTCATGGACTGTATGTAGAAGTGTTAGAGGGGCTAGTGGAGGTGAGGCCATGTGGACTATTTAGTAAGCAACAGGGAGCCATTTTTTTCTTAGAGGTAACACAGGGAATGACTGATCCCCATGACTAAAAATAGGGATGATGACAAAGAGGGTAAGGTTTGAGAAAAGGGACATAGATTGAGCGATGAGGAGAAGATGAGACCCAGCTTTACCTTGCTTGAGGTCCTGGTGATGACCCTGTATGCACAGTTGACAGCTTGAAGGTTACAGCTTGGAATGCTATCTTAAGAGAACTTCGGGAATCCTTTCCAAGTAATATCAGTGATTTTCGCTTATTTATGTACTCAAGGGAATTTCCCTTAGAGAAGTACGCCATGTTTCAGTGTGAGAACCACTTCATTTTTAATCAGTTTGGCAATATACAGTATTCCCCCATTATGTTCCAAGACCCCCAGTGGATAATACTGAATTCTATATATACTATGTTTTTTCCCATACATATATACCTATGATGAAGTTTACTATATAAATTAGGAATATCAGCAGATTAGTAACTAATAATAGAACAATCATAACAATATACTCTAGTAAAAGTTGTGTGAATTTGCTTGTTTGCTTGCTGTCTCTAAATATTTTATTGTACTGTACTCACCCTTCTTTCATACTACAGTTGACCACAGGTAACTGAAATTGTGGAACATGAAATTGAGGATAAGGAGGGGACTACTGCAGTCAGGATTTTAGTCATCTATTAACAAAAAGAAATGAGTTTCATGGGAAATCATTCCATAATTAAGCTAAATCATCCTATTCACTTTTATTTTTTTTGAGGCGGAGTCTTTCTCTGTTGCTTAGGCTGAAATGCAGTGACTCGATCTCAGCTCACTGCAACCTCCACCTTTTGGGTTCAAGCAATTCTCCTGCCTCAGCCACCCAAGTAGGTGGGATTACAGGTGCCCACCACCACACCGAGGTAATTTCTGTATTTTTAGTAGAGACGGGGGGTTTCACCATGTTTGCCAGGCTAGTCTTGAACTGCTGACCTCAAGTGATCTGCCTGCCTAGGCCTCCCAGAGTGCTGGGATTACAGGCATGAGCCACTGCGCCTGGCCCTATTCACTTTCTTGAGAGTTAATTCAGAAATGTCTCTGAACAGTCATCAGTGGCTACTGCCACTGTCCTTAGACTATTTCTCTTGTTTTCCAGGCAGTCACATTTAAAAAGAAAAAAAGAGAAGAGAGTCAGAATTAATTATTCTCAATTTAACAAACAAAAGGAATGATTTTATTTCACTTTCCCATATTTTTGGCTAAAAATACTTACTACCTATTTGTGGTCATTTATTGGAGACTTTCAGAGAAAAATTGGCAGAAACTGATGAATAATCAGTGAACTAACATAGATACCATTAAAGAGAATGTACTTGTGCAGTGATAGAGCAGACTTGAGAACTTGAGTTATAGTTAAAATGGCACAAGCAACTTGCCAGGGCTTCATGTAGTTCATCATTTTCCATTCTGTTGGTCATTCATGAGTAGATCAACAAATATTTCTGGAAGTCCCTGCTGTTTTCCAGGCTTTGTGCCTCTCCAGAAGGCACTTGCCCAGTGGAAACCAGCAGAAAAACATTGGTACCACAGTGCAATACATGCTACCTATGAGCTATGCACAGTGTAAGAAACAAGAGAAGGTGAGATTTAGGTAAGCACTTCTAGAGGCTCTAAATCTGGAAGGCAGCTTGAGTAGGAGTTGCTCAGGGGCTGTGGGGCTTAATAAGCCGTAGGAATTTGTTCAGAGACAGGGGAAGCAAAGGAGCTAATATATTTATAAATCTCCAAGTACTCAAACCTTGCCATGCCAGAGTCTAGATGCCATGAGAGAGTGGTACAGGATAAAGCTGTGGTTATGGGCTGAGGCTAATTCTTGCAGGGCTTTGTCGCCTTGTTTGGGAGACCAGGAAGTCTCTATGAGAAGTGGAGTAATGAGTGATTGTGTTTGAATAACATATGAAAACATATTTTGGTATGCATACCTTTCAACCCAACAGTTCCACCTCTAGTGAACTGTTAACATTAAAAGTTCTTGCATACAAGTTCCCAAAAGTGAGCAAAAATGGGTGCATGAGGTTTTTTCATAGTAGAAAAAAATCTGGAAACGAGCAAAATTTGTATTTACAAGATGCTGGTCAAATAAATCTTGAGGTGACCATATATGTAATTAAATGCAAGGCAGTGATTTTTTAAAAATCAGATAATTCTATATCTTAAAGTACTGTACAAAGATATTTTTTGAGTTAAGTTGTGGGAGTGGGGCTCTTACGGTGTCTCACATTTCAAAAATCTGAATCAACTGGCAAAATATTACCATCTGTTACACATATACAGGGAGTACATGGTTTCTGTTATGTTATTCTCTGTACTTTATGTTTGAGAAATTTCATAAATAGGGAAAAAGCAAGTCACAGGAATAAGTACAGTGTTGTTGGTATACAAAAAGTTTTATGTACCTACATAGTTGTATAGACGTGGAAAATAGCTGATAGAATATCCACCAAACTGAAGCTATTAGGAGGGGGAAAAGATGAGCAGAGGTGAGAGAGAGAGTACGTTTTACTTGCTGCTTTCTGTACTTTGATGGTGTTTATTTCTTGTCTAACTCAGAGAAGAGACAGGCAAAAAGTGCTGATGAGGAGCAAACAACTGACATGGCACAGTGCTGCCCTGAGTAGGCTAGGAGTGACAGCAGTACCCAAAGCAGAGGGTCCCTCACACTAGTAACTACAAGCTGGGTCCTGCTGAGATGGAAATGAATCCCACCGGACAGGCACTCCAGGCTGAATGGCAGTTAAACCTGTTCCCTTGTGTGGCAAGCTAAGTCTCTTTGGAGTTACCTTAAAATTCATTGCCCTTATTTACTCAATAAAGATACCCTTCTCATAAATAATTACAGTTTCTCTTAGAGGCAGTGGTTCTGTTTGTCTCAAGATCAGTGATCTACACATTGTATTTGTGTTTTTCCCTAGAGAATTCAGCCTCAGCCCCCAGATGAAGATGGGGATCACAGTGACAAAGAAGATGAACAGCCTCAAGTGGTGGTTTTAAAAAAGGGAGACCTGTCAGTTGAAGAAGTCATGAAAATTAAAGCAGAAATAAAGGCTGCCAAAGCAGGTAGGTCTAAAAGTAATCTGGTTTTTCTAACAATTTAAGGAGCCCAGGGTATGAAATTGTTTATTTTATTTAGTAGTGTGGTGTGTTTCAAGGTGGCAGTTCCGGGTTCAAGCCTTAGCTTTGACACTTACCAGATGTGTAACCTTGAGCAAGTTATTACACCTCTCAGCCTCGATTTCCTCATCAGTAAAATGGAAATAATTGTACCTATTGGGTTGTTACCAGGATTAAGTGTGAATTTAAGTAAAAGCATCCTATTTTTTTTTTTTAAATAGATGGTTAGACTTATAAACCAGTCAAAAAAGGTGTATTTCATTACTGCCTGAAGTTTGGTATGATATGTAGTATATTTTTCATTATTTCTGAACATTTACTACATTGCTTTAGGGGAAAATGCTGTAGTTCCAAACAGTCACTTTTCAAACTACTTAAAAATACAACCTGATTGTAATTGGGAACTGACAATATTATAGAATACTTTAGCATGTGAGTTTTTATTAAGTAACTGCATGCCTTGAGGGCAATATAGCTAGAAACAATGGAGAAGACCAGACTGAATCAGATTCAGGGATATCCTTAAATACAATATGAGATTTTCTTATTATTTGCTTCTAAGGTAAAGGCAAAATAATGAGGAGAAGAAAGTTCTTAAAAATTCTGTTTTTGCTCAGATGAAGAACCAACTCCAGCCGATGGAAGAATCATATATCGAAAACCAGTCAAGCATCCCTCAGATGAAAAATATTCAGGTTTAACAGCAAGCTCAAAAAAGAAGAAGCCAAATGAAGATGAAGTAAATCAGGACTCGGTCAAAAAGAACTCACAAAAACAAATTAAAAATAGTAGCCTCCTTTCTTTTGACAACGAAGATGAAAATGAGTAAGTGTAAATATTTTGAATTTAGTCTACTTTGAAAGTATATGGAGTGTTCATTAAAATCACATTTTTTCCTATTATAAAGATACTACAAGTTCTTTATAGAAAGTTTAGGAAATAGAGAAAAAAATTTAATAAACTACATCTATTCATCAATACCCCTCTGACTTAAAATGCCAACTCTATAGAAATTAGCTAGTATTAACATTTTGTTATTTCCCTTGTGTGGTTGTATATATATGTAAATTATATTTTTAAGCAAAATACATTTTTTGTGTGTAAACAAAATTTTATAAATACAACTGTATTGCAAATGTTCTTTGTCCTGCTTCTCACTTGACATTGCATTACGAGTATTCTTCCAGGTCAGTAAATTTCAAAAACCTGACATTAATAGCTACAGATAATTTCATAAACATCTCATTGTATCTTTTTCATTAGCAATAGCTCCACTTTGGGTGGGGGAGATGATAATGTGCCTTGTTAAAAATACCTCCCCAACTCCTGCTAAGGGTGGCCATGAGACTCAGCTCTGGCAAGTTAAGAAATACAGGTGGAATTCTGCTTGATAAAGCTGCTGGGTTTTTTGTTACAAAAGGACAGACTTGGCAAACATGAGCCTTTGCTCTTATCTTTTCATCCTACTTGGAGTGCAGAGATAAAACCTGAGTACCAGAGCCACTTTTAGGCATAAGGAAGGCAGCCATGTGCTTTGGGTCATGTTAGTAAAAAGACTCAGAGCTTGGCTCCTTGCTGACATGCCTGGAGGAGCTGCTACACCAGCTTGGATTGCTGACCTCTGACTTCTTGGTAGTGAGAAGAATAAACACTGTGCTTAATTAGGCCTTGGTCAGGTTTCTTTTATATGCAGCCAAATGCAGTCCTAAGTAATACAATAAATAACTGGTCAAACTGTTACTGGTGGAGGGTGTCCAGGTTCTTGGCATTTTGGACAAATAATTGAACAAAACGCACAAAGCAATGAATATCCTCTAGAGGTTTGCCATTGGTTACTTGGCGTACACCCTGTGTAAATGAAGTAGTGGCCCGTGACCTGTCTGATTGGTGCAGAAAGTGACCAATCAGAGGCTGAAGTGAAGTTACAAAGTTATACTCCTGTGTAAATGAGGACTTGGCCTATGACCAGTCTGATTGGTTGCAGGAGGGGACCAATCAGAGGCACTTTCATTTTTCATCTGCAATGCAGAAAAGGCAAGGGGATTGCAAAGGGAGTAGCCTCTGATCCTTTTGTTACTTAGGTATGGAGAGGTGGGGTTTTCCTTTTGATTCAGTTCTAGGAAGTCAATGTGAATCAGCCTTAGGTTCCCTGTCTCCAGACCCTATTCTCCTGCCTCATTTTCCCCCTGAGAGACGTGATCCTCGTAAATCTTTATGGGAGGCTGAGAGACTGAGGGTCTTTCTTCTGTAACTGCTTCATGCTAACTTGGGACACAGTCCCTACCTATTGGAGATCACGTAACTCTCACCCTGCTTTGTCTAGGGGAGACAGGGTAGCTTCTTGATGGCCGGTGGTGTCTTCTCCTGAAACTGGCTAGAAATCTTGTCACATGATCATCTAACTTGGTGGTCTCTAGGCAAAAGGAAATGGATTTGGTTAAAAGATTTAACAGATATGGTCCAAAAACCAAGGCAAATATAATCATTAATAATGGGCTGGCCAAGGGAGGGAGCCATGAAACCCAACTTAGTGCCCTTTAGGTGCCCCAGCTGTTGTCATATTTTAGAGGCCCAGTCAGCTAGTTTTCAGGTGGTGTCCCTTACTAATCCTGATTGGTTGACATCAAAACAGCATTCTTCTTCTAGGAAAATACATAAGCCACCTGTTTCAGCAGTTAGGAGATCTAGTCCCCTTCGATTTTGCAAAGCGACCACTGCCAAGGAGCCTATCCGAATTTGTAAGGTGACAATACTTTGAGCAATGTTATCCAGGCTTTCCATAAAATCCTTGGACAAGCGTTGGTAATAGGATAGGGAAGTTGCAATCCCGCTAACTCCCATTCCTACCTCTGCTGTTATTCCTAGCCGTTGTGTCTGGTGGTTGCAGTTAAAGGTATAATGAGGGATTGGTTGTTGGGAGCTATATTAATTTAGGGACATACAATATTTCTGTCTCCAGTCTACCACTTCCACCAAAGACAAATCACAGCAGAACCGACCTAACTTCAAAATAAACTGCAGTCCCATATACTGGGCCTGATTACCCACACAAAGTGCAACAAGAATCATTGTCCATATAGACTCTCCTAGATTGGCTTTGCTAGAACATTTCACAAGGCCATTTCAGTCAAAGTCCTGAGAAAGTAACCGGTTTCAATTGTGCCCTATTACAAAAGAAAACGTGGTTATTAACTTTATACAGACAAATGCCATGAATTAAGAATATTCATAAATAGTTTACAAATTCTGGAGAAATTAGAATACTCAATACACTTAAAGTGTATTTCAAGGCTATAAATAGCTCAAAATAAAAAGATTATTCAGACTCTGAAAAAACAAAAAGAAGTAGCAATATTTCAAACAACAAAAGCCATACAAATTATTTCAGTCTTCCATTAGTTCATTTCAGTCCATGTAATCAACTCCTGCTCTACTTCATATTCATCTTTATGAACACATCAGCCTTTCAATTAGTGCCTTGGAAGTTTTCTGTCTAATCCAATGGCACACTCTCCAAAGTTACCAGAAACCTGCATTCAAGAGTTCTTTTCATGAACTCCAAAGAAGTAAGCCTTGGACTGTAGCTGATTATAAGTCACTTTTTTTTTTTGAGAAGGATCAGAGCAAAACATCAATTATGGATGACAAAAGTCTTAAGACAGCCATAAAGACACAGTTGACAAATGTGGCTATTTCTGTGGCTTACAACAATTTAACATAATCATTACAACATATATTAAGACATATCAGAATTTTAGAACTCTCATACAATCCTGGAACACATATTAACAACAAATCTCTATCAGTATAACCCAAAGGAAGCTAAACACCACCTCACACTTGACAATGTTTCCTGTATAATTCAAACATTACAAATAAGCCTAATATAAGCCTAATATGTCACTCTTGAACTTCAGGAAGCCTAATATCCAAAAAGTTAGTTTAAGGTCAAAAGTTTTTGAATTAACTTTTTTCCATTAGTATGGTCATATCTTTCTTACTAATTTGTAAGTTATGTAATTTATCAATTTTTTTTTGTTGTTCTGTTTCCCAACCTCTATGTCAGATAAAGAATCACCCAGGCCAGACACAATGGCTCATGCTTGTAATCCCAACACTTTGGGAAGCCAAGGTGGGAGAATTGCTTGAAGCCAGGAATCTGAGCCCAGCCTGGGCGACAAAGCAATACCCCTATCTCTACAAAAAATAAAAAATAGCCAGGTGTAGCGACACACACCTGTAGTCCCAGCTGCTCAGGAGGCTAAGCAGGAGGATGGCTTGGGCCCAGGAGTTCAACGCTGCAGTGAGCTATGATTGCACCACTGCACTCCAGCCTGGGCAACAGAGTAAGAACTGTCTCAAAAAAAATAAAAAATAGAAATAAATTTTAAAAAAAGAATTACCCATATTCTCTTTGTTTTTGTTTATTCACATTAACCTTTATTCTATCTGGAATTTATTAGAGTATACTTTTTTCTCAAATAATCAATTGTCCTAGAACCATGTGTTTCTCATTTATTTGAAAGGCCATCTAGTGAGAGATTTCTCCAAATGTTGGGGTAGGGAAGGGAGGGGAAGCACTTTAAAGTCTGAGCCTTTAGAGGTGATTCCTCAAGACCCTGCTTAATCCTAACAATTTTCCTCATTAGTAAAAGTCAGCCCAAACTGGGGGCTTGTTAAGATCCTTACCAGCCACATCCATCTGAAATTATGAATTTCAAAGTATCTTACAAATTTGGTGCCACATTATCTTTTTTAAGTTTGTTTTGTTTTGTTTTTTTGAGACAGAGTCTCGCTCTGTCACCCAGGCTGGAGTGCAGTGGCGCGATCTCAGCTCACTGCAAGCTCCGCCTCCTGGGTTCACACCATTCTCTTGCCTCAGCCTCCCAAGTATCTGGGACTACAGTCGCCCGCCACCACGCCCGGCTAATTTTTTTGTATTTTTAATAGAGACGGGGTTTCACTTTGTTAGCCAGGATGGTCTCAATCTCCTGACCTCATGATCCACCTGCCTCGGCCTCCCAAAGTGCTGGGATTACAGGCAGGAGCCACCGCGCCTGGGCCTTTTTTTAAGTTTTAAGTACCTATAAAGAACACTGAAAGGTGATGTGTGTGGATGAGCTAGGAAGACCTGAAATAGGCTCTCTCTAAATTAATCAAATTAATCCTGAAGCCATTCTGCAATACTGTCTTTAATGTATACTCACTTGTTATAGAAGCCAGGGTTTTTTCCCCTAATTTGTATCATTGCTATATGTGTTATTGTACCAAACTACACTGTTTTAATTGCTGTAAATTTTAATATGTCTTAGTATCTGGGTGTGGGAATCTTGAAAGCATGGAGTTTGTGTTATTCACCACTGTATTCTCAAATATCAGAAGAGTATCTGGCCTACTAAGTGCACAATAAACATAGTTAAAATGAATGAGAGTGTTGTCTGTAATTTTCTTTTTATAGATGAGTAGGTCTCATGTGTAGACCCTGTACCATCAGCATCAGAACCCCTTAGAAACCTAAAAATTAAAATCTTGGTCCTTGCCTGCTGAATCAGAAACTGTATGTAAGGCCCAGTAATCACTGTAACATGCCAGCCAGGTGGTTCTGATATTCACTCACGTTTGAGAACCACTGATAAAGACTATAGTAGTCCTCCCTTATCCATGGGGAATACATTCCAAGACCTCCAGTGGATGCCTGAAACCACAGGTAATACTAAACTTTATATGTAGTATGTTTTTTCCTATATGTACATACCTATGGTAAAGTTTATAAATTAGGCACAGTAGAGATTAACAATAATAATACAGTAGAACAATTATAACAATATACTATAATAAAAGTTATGTGAATGGTTTCGCTTGCTAACAACAATAAAATAGAACAATTATAACAATATACTATAATAAAAGTTATGTGAATGTGGTTTTGCTCACTCTCTCAAAATATCTTGTTGTACTGTAACTTGGGTATAAACCACAGAAGAAAAACCATGGAAGACTACTCTATTAGAACTATAATAAAAAATGAAATGGGCCAGGTGCAGTGGCTCACACCTATAATCCCAGCACTTTGGGAGGATGAGGTGGGGCAATAGCTTGGGGCCAGGAGTTTGAGACCAGCCTAGCCAACATGTTGAAACTCCATCTCTACTGAAAATACAAAAATCAGCTGGGCACAGTGGCTCTTCCCCGTAATTCCAGCTATTCAAGAGGCTGAGGCAAGAGAATCACTTGAACCCAGGAGGCAGGGGTTGCAGTGAGCCAAGATCACACCACTGCACTCCAGCCTGGATGACAGGGTAAGACTGTCTCAAAAAAAAAAAAAAAGATGAAAAATGTAAACAAGGAATATGAAAAACGTTTAAAAGTTCTTAAATCTTGAAACACATCATATTGGTGAAGGCTTTACTGCAGGTGATATTTCTAGCAATGTAAACATAAAAGCTATCAGCCAGGAAGCACATCTTGTTATGAAAGACAAAGACCAAGACATGGTGGCACCTGAGATGTGCTTACCATCCTTAGGGAAACTGCTTCCTAAGAACAGTGGGTTCTGTTAACTGCAAGATCTATTTTGCTAAGAGTGGTGAGTTTGGAGTCAAGAGAAGAGAGGCTCAAAGAAGAAAGACGAGGCCTGTTTCCTCATGCTGCTTCTAAGCAATGTTGAACATGTATTTGAAGCTCCAGAGTAAAAATAGTAAATTTTGGTGATGTCCACCTGCTAATTCTGCAGGCTTGCAGGAAAAAAAAAAAAAAAAAATGTGATGTTTGCCAGCCTCCACCAAAATTTCAAAGGATGGCTGCCCAGGCAGAGACTTGTTGCAGGGGTGGAGCCGCCCCCAAAGAGAGTGCCCCCAGTAGAGCAACACCGAGCAGAGATGTGGAGCTGGAGCTACTGCAGAAAGTCCCAACCAGGGCAATGCATCGTGGAGCTGTGGAAGCAAGGCCACTACTGAGAGTCCTCACTAGGGCCATGCATAGTGGAGCCATGGGAACAGAACCATCACCAAGAGCTACAGAATCACAGGCAGTATGCAGCACCTGCTGGGGAAAGCTGCAGGCACCAGACTCCATCCTGTAGGAGTAGCCATGTGGGCTGCACCCAGCAATGCCATAGGGGTGGGCTTGCCTGAGGCTTTGGCGGCCCAATCCCCGCCCCAGTGTGTCCAGGAGGAAGCACATGGAGGCAAAAGGGATTATTCTCCAGCTTTAAGATTTGGCCAGGTGCAGTGTCTCATGCCTGTAATCCCAGCACTTTAGGAGGCCGAGGTAGGAGGATCACTTGAGGTCAGGAGTTAGAGACCAGCCTGCCCAACATGGTGAAACCCTATCTCTACTAAAAATACAAAAATTAGCTGGGTATTGCTGGTGCATGCCTGTAGTCCCAGCTACTCCGGAGGCTGAGGCAGCAGCGGCAGAATCACTTGAACCCTAGAAGCGGATGTTGCAGTGAGTTGAGATCACACCACTGCATTCCAGCCTGGGCAATACAGTGAGACTCCGCCTCAAAAAAAAAATAATAATGTCTACCCTCCTGGGTTTCAGACTTCCTTAGGGCCTGTTACTCCTTTCTTTTTGCCTATTTCTCACTTTTAGAATGGGAATCTGTCTTTTTCCTGTACCACCAATGTATCTTGAAAGTAAATAACTTGTTTTGATTTTATAGGCTCATAGATGAGACTCTGGACTTTGGACTTTTGAGTTGATGCTGGTTGTTAAGACTTTTGGAGTTACAGGGTTGTACGTGAGAAAGACGTGAGTTTGGGGAGGCCAAGGATGAAATGCTATGGTTTGAATATTTGTACCCTCCAAAATCATGTTGAAATTTAATCCCCAATGTAGCCTTTAAGAGGTTATTAGGTCATGAGGGCTCTGCCCTCATGAATTGATTAATTCATTCATGCATTAATGGGTAAATAGGTTCATGGATTAGTGGGCTCTCATGGGAGTGGGGCTAGTGGCTTCATAAGAAGAGGAAGAGAGACCTGAACTAGCATAATCAGTCCCCTCACCATATGATACACTGCATCAGGACTCCAGAGAGTCTCCACCAGCAAGAAGACCCTCACCAGATGTGGCCCCTCTACCTTGGACTTCTTAGCATCCAAAACTGTTAAGAAGTAAATCCCTCAGACCAGGTGTGGTGGCTCACACCTGCAATACTAACATTTTGTGGGGCTGAGACAGGAGAATTGCTTGAGCCAGGAGTTTTGAGACCAGCCTGGGCAACATGACGAGACCCTATCTCTACAAAAATGAAAGCATTAGCTAGGCACAGTGATGTGTGCCTGTGGTCCCAGCTGCTTGGGAGGCTGAAGTGGAGGATCACTTGAGTCCAGGAGGTCAAGGCTGTAGTGAGCCATGTTTGCACCACTGAACTCCAGCCTGGGCAACAGAGCAAAACCCTGTCTCAAAAATAAATAAATTCCTCTTTTAAAATAAATTACCCAGTTTCAGGTATTCTAAGTAACAAAAAATGGATTAAGACAAGCTTGAACTGCTCATTATAAACTTTCTTTTCAACCTTTAACCTAATAGTTGGACATCCAGTTCTTTTTTATAAAACTCCTTATGTGATTCTTATGTATAGCTAGGTGTGAGAAACAGAGCCACTAATACCCAAACCACACCTACATTAATTAAATTGGAAACTCTGGTGGTGGAACCAGTAGTTCTGAAAGCTCCCAGTGATTTCAAATTGCAGCCAAGAGTGTGAACCACTGCCCTACAACCTAGGAGACTCTCACTTTTAAGAGGAAAGATGCTCTTTGCTAAGCATGAGGCAGGCAAGCCAAAGGCTAGGCAGGGAGGCAACTTTAGGAAATCCCATGAGAACTGGGCCATGTTAGTGTACAGTATTTCCCTTTTTTTGTGGCCCTCAAACTGGTAAAACCTTATCAAATGTGACAGTCAAGATTTAGCTAGTCTTTGGGAATTAAAGGTAGTAGCAAGGTCCTAGGTTGGGGTTGGAATTGGATAGGAGAGATATGAGCTCCCAGTGTTTATAACACTGATGGTGGCGGCATTGCTTAGAGAGTTTCTAAAGATCATTCTCCAAAAAGAAACTAGGGTTCCTTGGAGAAATAGTTGATTCTGAGGGCTAAAGTGGAGATAGTAAAAACTGATCCTGGAACCTCTTGTGCCAAAAAATTAGGAGGTGTTTAAAAAATGATGAACGGCTGGGGGAGGTGGCTTACGCCTATAATCCCAGCAATTTGGGAGGCCAAGGCAGGTGGATCACTTGAGCCCAGGGGGTCAAGACCAGCTTGGGCAACATGGCAAAACCCCATCTCTATAAAAAGTACAAAAATTAGCAGTATCTAGTGGCGCACACCTGTAGTCCCTGCTACTTGGGAGGCTAAGGTGGGAGGATTGCTTGATCCCAGGAGGTTGAGGCTGCAGTGAGCTGTGATCACAACACTGCAGTCCAGTCTGGGAGACAGAATGAAATCCTGTCTCAAAAATATAAAAATGATGAAGGCATGTCAAAAGGATACAGGAGCCAACTAGCAGGAGTTACCAATGGCCAAATCTGGGGCAATTTGAACAAGGAATTAATGATAGTAGATAACAACTCATAAAATTCTTATTGATATAAACAATATATATATATTTTGAACACATGAGAAGGGCTAGGTCTTCCTTATAGTAGAATTTTAATAAAGTTAGGAGGAATTATGGAAATAGAAACAGTATTTGGCAAATTCCACAGTAAAAAAATTTAGCGGGCTGAATGATGGTCCCTAAAGACAACGGGTCTTGATCCTGGAACTTGTGAATGGTAACTTACGTGGTAGTTTTTGCAAAAGTGATTAAATTAACAATCTTGAGATAAGTGGATTATCCTGGATTATATAAGTGGGTCCTAAATGCCATTACACTCACACCTTTCCTTATAAACGACAGATAGAGGGAGATTAGGCACAATAGGAAATGTGAAGATGGAGGCAGAGACTGGAGTGATGTGGCTATAAGCTGAGGAATACTGGCTGCACCAGAAGCTGGAAGAGACAAGCAATGGATTCTCCCCTAAAGCCTTTGGAGAGAACATGGCCCTGCCAACATCTTGATTTGAGCAGAGTAGCTGATTTGAAACTTCTGGCATCCAGAATTCTGAGAGAATAAATTTCTGTTGTTCTAAGCCACCAAGTTTGTGATAATTTTTTATAGCGGCCATAGGAAACTAATACACAAGTGCTGTTGGAAAGACTCATCAAAGGATGCCAAAATTAGTGGCCAAAATTATGCTCAAAACCAGAGTATTTTCACAGTCTCAAAGTATCTCCCCACAAGACACTAATTACAAAAGAAAAACTAGTGACCAGGCGTGATGGCTCATGCCTGTAATCCCAGCACTTTGGGAGGCTGAGGCGGGCGGATCACAAGGTCAGGAGATCGAGACCATCCTGTGAATGGTGAAACCCCATCTCTACTAAAAATACAAAAAATTAGCCGGGCGTGGTGGCGGGCGCCTGTAGTCCCAGCTACTTGGGAGGCTGAGGCAGGAGAATGGCGTGAACCCGGGAGGTGGAGCTTGCAGTGATCCAAGACTGCACCACTGCACTCCAGCTTGGGGGACAGAGTGAGACTCTGTCTCAAAAAAAAAAAAAAGAAAAGAAAAGAAGAAAGAAAAGCTAGTAACATTACAGTGGAGAAACTAGGCAAATGTCACCTTAACTGCCTGATCAAAGTTAATATTACCAGTAATAAGTCATACTGATGCCAGACTCACGCCTGTAATCCCAGCACTTTGGGAGGCCAAGGCAGGTGGATCACCTGAGGTCGGGAGTTTGAGACCAGCCTGACCAACATGGAGAAACCCCATCTCTACTAAAAATACAAAATTAGCCGGGCATGGTGGCACATGCCTGTAATCCCAGCTACTTGGGAGGCTGAGGCAGGAGAATCGCTTGAACCTGGGAGGCAGAGGTTGCGATGAGCCTTTGCATTCCAGCCTGGGCAACAAGAGCAACAGTCCGTCTCAAAAAAAAAAAAAAAATGTCATACTGACATCATGACCTACTGATATGCACTGAGAAGGACACCTCACTCCCAAAGGCCACGAAGATCCTGCTAGGGCCTTCCTGATGTCCTTTTCAAGGATAGGGCACAAGGGCAACCGATGTCCAGTACTAAAGAGGCCAGAATCCTAGGGTATGGCAATGGCACATAAATGCCAATACAGACTCCAGGGCTTGTCTGGGGTCAAAAGGGTCAGTGTAAAGGTGTCAAATTATCCTCTCTTCTGAACGAGTCCTTTATTCTGAGATTATATCTTTCTTGTTTCTTTGAAGTTAAAATATACTTTATTTTATGAAATAATGATTTTGACAGGTGGTAGTTTATTGTACTTACTTTGCCAAAAGGTTGAAAAATCTATACCAGCGTCCAAAAAATATGTTGAAATTTACTGTCTGGGACTTCCAAACATCAAGTCCAAGTGTTGTCCAATAGAACATTCTGCCCTAGCCACCTATGGCTATTAAGCACTTGAAATGTGGCTAGAGCAACCAAGGAACTGAATTTTTCCTTCTACTTAATTATTTAAATTTAAATAGCCACAAATGGGTCGTAGCTACTGTGTTAGCGCAGTTCTAGGTATTAGTGGGATTTTTTTTTTTTAATTGTTAGGAGTCCTGCAGCCCACAAGGGATTCCCTCCCACTTTGTAAAGGTCAGAGGTGTTCTGATGTTTGACACAAAACAGCACAACATACAGTCATATCTGGCTGGATGGCTCAAGACAACCAGGGCCAGACAGTCACATTGGGAAGGAAGACACATGTCTGAGTTTCCAGGCGCCTGTTTCTGTGGCCCTTTCCCCACTCCTGGGCCTGCTCTCTCCCCCAGAAAGCAATAAACTCTACTATAGAAACTATCTTTCAACTGACACCTACTCTCACCAACCTATGGCTTCTCCCAGATCATGCATGGAGTCTTTCAGGGAGGAGAAAGAGCAGACAGAAGGCATCTGTCCAGGTTTGACGTTAGGAATCCTCCCCATTGGCCCCACAGTCATTCTTAGGCTAATGGCAGCTCTAGGTTTAATATGACTTAGGCATATATGGTCCTAGAAGCTGGGGTAGAAGGGACCATTTAGTATCATCAATTTGAATGTTGTCTTAGAAAGTGGCAATGGCTAAGACAAGCCTGGTCCCTGGAGCTGTTGAGGGACAGCTGACTAGGTTCTTTAGCTACAGGATGAGACCCTGAACTTTGTATTTTTAATCATTGTTTCCCCAAATTCTCCCATGCATAGCCATAACTTTTCTCGCTACTCAGTTGATCATAGCCTCTATTTTCTCCAGAGCCTAGATCCTTCTTAATCTGCGGTGTAGGGTCCTAGAATGCAAACCATCTTCCCAGTTGCTCTGAGACTCTCAATCCTTACCAACCTTCTCCATTCTGCACCAATCCAGCTGGACCAGTCCACTTTTCCCCTCACACCCTGTGCAGATGGTGGCTTGGCATCAGTTTTCCCTTTGCCCTTGCTTCTCCCTGAGTCATCAAGTCAACCTGAGTCTCTGGCACAAATGCAGCAGGACCGTCTGCCTCTCAGAGGAGATTCTCTGTAACCCCATAAGCAACGGAAGCTGGACTTGGCAGAATGGAAATGGTGATGGGCAAGGCAAAAACGGAGCTATGGCCTGGGCTTTGGGGCAGGTAAAGGATTTAAGGAATCCCAGCTGCAGGGGTATAAGCTTGGTGTCTTGACTTCTCCCTGTCACCTCATGTATCTAGTTACTGCTGTGCCTCTTTTGCAACTCAACATGTTCCCTGTCTGGCCTTGCAACTTCTGCCTTTCTCTTTCCAAATATCATCCTATTTTACTGACCTGGCGAATCATCATCCAAAGTTCTAGCTTTCTTTAGTAGCCGCTCCCATACAGTGAGAGGGTCTACAACAAATGACAGACATTTGGATTGGTTCCATTTTCTGGCTATAACAAATAAATTTGCTATGAACATTCACGTGCAAGTCTTTTTCTAAACATGTTTTCATTTCTTTTGGGTAAATGCCTAGGAGTTGAATATTGGATTGTATTGCAGGTATATAATCTTTTGAAAAACTGCCATTCTTTTCCAAAGGAATTGTACAATTCATTTTGCTTTCTGCCATCAGTGTATTAAAATTATTACTCTCCAGGTGGAGGCTCCATCTGTGAATAAGTTGTGAGATTTCAAGTTCCAATACTTACTATCATAGCCTTTTAAATCTATAAGAATATATTTAAACTCATTTAATCCTTAGAAAATGTTCATGGTGAGGCATAATATAAATTATTGCATGTGAATTATAATGATATAATTAACATATGTATCTTTGGTGTTCAGTTTGGTAAGTTTTGACAGTTGTGTTTACCTGTGTAGTCACCACACAAACAAGAAACTATAGAACATTTCAATCATCCCAGAAAGTTCCCACGCTGAGTGTGTATTGGTAATTTTATTGCTGTGTAATACTTCATTATATGAATATAGCATAATTTCTTTTTTTTTTTTTGAGATGGAGTCTCACTCTGTTGCCCAGGCTGGAGTACAGTAGCACTATCTCCGCTGACTGCAACCTCCACCTCCCAGGTTCAAGCAATTCTCCTGTCTCAGCCTCCCGAGTAGCTGGGACTACAGGCGCACGCACCACTACACCTGGCTAATTTTTGGATTTTTAGTAGAGACGAGGTTTCACCGTACTGGTCAGGCTGGTCTCGAACTCCTGACCTCAGGTGATCCACCCGCCTTGGCTTCCCAAAGTGCTGGGATTACACATGAGCCACCATGCCCGGCCATGCATAATTTCTTTATTCACCTATTGACAGACATTTGGGTTGTTTCCAGTTTTTCACTATTAGAATAAGGCTGCTATATACATTCTTCTGAAAGTTTATTGTGAACATGTTTTTATTACTCTTGGGTAAATAAAGACTAGAACTGCTGGATCATAGGCTAAATGTATGTTTACCATTTTAAGAAACTACCAAATAGTTCTTCAAAATGATTATACCATTTTATTTTATTTATTTATTTATTATTTATTTGAGACAGGGTCTTGCTCTGTCACCCAGGCTGGAGTGCAGTGGCATGATCTCGGCTAACTGCAGCCTCTGCCTCCCAGGTTCAAGCGATTCTCCTGCCTCAGCCTCCCAAGTAGCTGGGATTACAGCTGTGTGCCACCACACCCAGCTAATTTTTGTATTTTTGGTAGAAACGGGGTTTCACCATGTTGGCCAGGATGGTCTCGAACTCCTGGCCTCAAGTGATCTGCCCACCTTGGCCTCCCAAAGTGTTGGGATTACAGGCATGAGCCATCATGCCCGGCCAAAATGAGTATACCATTTTAACTCCCATAAATAATGTTTGAGAGTTCCAGTTGCCACACAAATTCACCAATATTTGGGGTTGTTAGTCTTTGTTTTAGGGATTTAAGAATGTATGAGATGTATCTTGTTTTAATTTGCATATCTCCCATGACTAAAGATGCTGTATTATCATGCATGGTTCTCCACAGAAACAGAACCCATAGATGGGGATAGAAAGAGAGAGAATGATACACATTGATTTTATTTTAAGGAATTGGTTACATGCTTGTGTGGGCTGGTGGCTGGCAAGTCCAAATTCTGCAGGGCAGGCCAGCAGGCTGCAGGCCCAGGGAAGAGTTGTTGCAGCTCAAGTCCCAAGGCAGTCTGGAGACAGTTCTTTCTTCTTCAGGGGACGTCAGTCTTTTCTCTCTTAAGGCCTTTAACTGATTGGCTAAGGCCCATCCATATTATAGAGGGTAATCTGCTTTACTCAAAGCCTACTGATTTAAATGTTAGTCACATCTAAAAACCACCATCTAGACTGATGTTTGACCAAACATCTGGGCACCATAGCTTACTTAGTCAACTTGATACATAAAATTAATCATCACAGACACTGAGCATCATATTCATGTGTTAATGGCTAGTTGTATATCTTTGTTTAAATGTCTCTTCAAGTCTTTTGCCCATTTTTAATTGGGTTGTTTATATTTTTATTTTTCCTTAGTAGGAGCTGTTTATAAATCTTGGGTACAAATCCCTTGTTAATATATGTTATAAATATTTTCCGTGGCCGGGCACAGTGGCTCACACCTGTAATCCCAGCACTTTGGGAGGCCGAGGCGGGCAGATCACAAGGTCAGGAGATTGAGACCACGGTGAAACCCCGTCTCTACTAAAAATACCAAAAATTAGCCGGGTGTGGTGGCGGGCCCTTGTAGTCCCAGCTACTCGGGAGGCTGAGGCAGGATCGTGTCACTGCACTCCAGCCTGGGCGACAGAGCAAGACTCCGTCTCAAAAAAAAAAAAAAAAAAAATTTCCCCAGCCTGTGGCTTGTCTGCTAATTTTCTTAAAGGTTTCTCTTAGTGACAGAATATTCTTCATTTTCATTAATTTATTGATTGTATGAAATTATTATATTTTTAATTTTATGGCTAATGTTTTCTCCTGTCCAACAAATCTTTGCCTACCTAATGTTTGCAAAAATAATGTTCTAAAATTTCATTTGGAGTTTTATGGTTCTGGGTTTTATGTATACATCTAGGATTCTTGTGTATTTCTTTTTTACAGAAGTCCCGGAGTATTATTAATAGTATCTCATTTCCATTTTACAAATAAAAGGGGGCAATGTTCAGAACTTTACCTAAGGCCATACTTCTAGGGCTCAAACTCTAGTCTCATTATAGCACATTTTCTGCATTCTCTAATATATGCCATGAAGCGTTCACTAAGCCCCCATCAAACCCAATGCCCTACAGAGTTTTTTTGAGACAGAGTCGGACTGTCACCCAGACTCTAGTGTGGTGGCAAGATCACAGCTCACTACAACCTCGAACTCCTGCACCCAAGCGATCCTCCTACTTCAGCCAGTCAAACACTGGAATTACAGGTGTGCACCACTGCCACCAGCCTACACAGATATTTTCATAATACCACCTTTACTACCCTAAAATGAAAATCCTAGGAAATATAAACCACCTACATATATACATTATTAAAAATTAATAAATCACCTAGCTTAATATGAAAAAGTCTTAAAAACAACATAATTTATAATAAAAACGATATATATTTCAGTATGTACAGGCTTGGGCATGACTGCAATAGAACACATAGGGAGTAAAATGCTTGATCCTATGCAGAATCACTAAGAATGTGACAACTACATTGCAAATGGATTCAAGTGTGTTATGCTGGTTACTCAGATAACAGGTGGAAATTTTTTATTTTTATTTTTCAATTTTTGTAGGCACATAGTAAGTGTATATATGTATGGAATAAATGAGATATTTTGATACAGGCATAAAATGCATTAAAATCACATCAGGGTAAACAGGTTGTTCATTTGTTTTTGAGGTCTTGCTTTGTTGCTGAGGCTGCTCTCGAATGCCTGGGCTCAGTTGATCCTCCTTCCTCAGCCTCCTAGCTAACAGGTGGAAATTCTGTCAACAATGTGGGGTGAGTTGGAAATTCAAAAAAAATTTTTTGGTACCAAAGAATTGTTGAGCAATTGTTTATTTGCTTTACTGAGCAC
The DNA here is from genome assembly GCF_000001405.40 of Homo sapiens. Lineage (NCBI taxonomy): Eukaryota > Metazoa > Chordata > Mammalia > Primates > Hominidae > Homo > Homo sapiens. The sequence goes on along the minus strand of NC_000003.12, from coordinate 44,737,619 downwards.
ACCTCTCATCCATTGTTAGTGGATTAACTAAACATCTGGGAGGTCACACTCTCTATCAAAGCTACCAAGGCACATACTTCTTCTTCTTCTTTTTTTTTTTTTTAAGACGTAGTCTTGCTCTGTCGCCCAGGCTGGAGTGCAGTGGTGCAATCTCAGCTCATTGCAACCTTCATCTCCCAGGTTCAAGCAATTTCTCCTGCCTCGGCCTCCTGAGTAGCTGGGACTACAGGTGCCCTCCATCATGCTGGCTAATTATTTTTGTATTTTTAGTAGAGGTGGGGTTTCACTATGTTGACCAGGCTGGTCTCGAACTCCTGACCTCAAATGATCCACCCACCTCGGCCTCCCAAAGTGCTGGGATTACAGGCATGAGCCACTGTGCCCAGCCTGAGAATTACCTTATAAATATCTTGCACATGTGCCTAAAGACAAGGATGCTGTATATGCAGTTTTGCTTACAACAGAAAAATAAAAGCCATTAAGTGTCCACCAATAGGGAACTAATAATGGTCTATTAAGACAATGACACACTGGGCAAGGGTGGGGGAAAGATCTTTATTTACTGATACAGAACAATCTGTGAGATGGTTTAGTCTTTAAAAAATGGACAACTGTGTATATTATGCTACCATTTCTTTAAAAAAAGAAAAAAGAAAAAAAAAGTAAAGAGAAGGAATCAAGGATTGAGAAAATAAGCCACAGCCTGGGAGGAAAATATTTGCAAAAGACCTATCTGATAAAGGTCTGTTATACAAAATATACAAGGAACACTTAAAATTCAACAATAAGAAAATGAGCAATCCAATTAAAAATGGGCAAAACCTCTAACAGATACCTCACCAAAGCTATACAGATGGCAAACATATGAAAAGATGCTAAATTCATATATTATTGGTGAACTGCAGATTAAAACAATTAATACCACTACATACCTATTAGAATAGTTAAAATCCGACCAGATGTGGTGACTCACACCTGTAATCCCAGCACTTTGGGAGGCTGAGGCAGGCGGATCACTTGAGGTCAGGAGTTCGACACCCACCTGGCCACCTGTGTCTGGTTTTCACAGATTTGGCATCTCACACCAACAGGAAGGTTCAATGGTGGGAAATTACCTGTATGTGACTTTGGTATTATATAAACCAGAACTGCAAATCTATAAAGATATAGATTTGAGATTCAATTCTGACATTACCTGCTTGACTTTGAGCAAGTCAAACATCTTCTCTTTTTCCTTGACTCTAGGATGTGAATAGTAACTCCTACCTTTCTTGCAAGGGTGCTTTTAGCGTTAGAGGTGCTTGTTTACATTAAAAGGCTTAGCATAGCCTAAAGCTCCATCAAAAGTATTCTTTGATTTCTTTGCTTTTTCATGGCTTTTAATGAGCCATTAGGCACTCCAACCCATCAGCATCCCCAAGACACTGTTCTCTCCTTCCTCTGACAAGTGGCTAGTTGTTAGTCAGTGGCATCAGTTGCTGGAACCTGGGATCTTAACATCTTCTACCCTCATCTTCCCTTAAGAGACCACATTTGGTGCTGTGCTCCTAGAACTCAAAACAAATACAGCCACATCCTCATCTACATGCTTATATTCTCCTCTATATTCCAGTCCTCTCTACTGTCATATGCCTTCTCCTAATCACCTGCTGCCAACCCTAAACACACACAGAAGTCCCACAACATGAGGTTTTATTCAGTTAATGTCAGGGAGGCTTTCCGTTTAATGGAAAAGTGAAACTTAGAGCTTAAAATCAAATTAGATCTAGTAATAGAAAGTATCAAAATTTAAATGAAGATCTTGAGGGTATCCAGAAATACACCCCACAATGTCCACTCAAATCCCAATCAGTACATTTTTCTCTGATTAAATCTGAAATTTCTCAAGGACAAACCAGTCTTAGATTGTATTATCCTATTTAAACCAAGACATTATAGTTTAAATAGACGTCTGTAGATCATAAAATCATAGCCCAATTACAAAATGTTCTTAAGAAACAATACATTATGAGAACCAAACAACAATGCTGATTTACTTGTCAGATTTTGATATTGTAAATAAACTTTTAGAACGGCTAATTAATTAATGGCAGTTAACTGTCACACAGAACTCATTTTATTCTCAGGACAACCCTAGGAAATATCCCCATTTTTCTATTGGGGGGAATGGGGAAACTGAGGCTCAGAAGGGATAAGGTTACACCCACTGAGCAGCAGATAAGGCATCAAACTCCAGACTAGGACACATTAGGACACAACATTTCTTGTTCAAAATACAAAATATTCATACTAGCTACAGATTGAGTCTTACATTCCTAGGAATTTAGGAGAAAAAAAAGGTGCTTCCATACAAATCTTCCCATACTCATTATATTCCAAATTTTACTCTCCAGCATGAAGCCTCTGATGTCGAAGAAGTGCTGAACTGTGCCTAAAGGATTTCCCACATCCAACACACTCATAAGGTTTTTCTCCAGTATGAATTCTGTAATGCTCACTAAGGTGTGCTTGTTTGCGGAAAGTTTTTTCACACTCACTACACTTATAAAGTTTCTCTCCAGTGTGAGTCCTTTCATGTTCAACAAGGGAAGAGTTCTGAGTGAAGGCTTTACCACATTCAGTGCATGTGTAGGGCTTCTCTCCTGAATGAATTCTCTGATGCTGCATGAGACATGCACTCTGATTAAAGGCTTTCCCACATTCATTACACTTAAAAGGTTTATCTCCAGAATGACTTCTCTGATGACGAGTAAGGCATATGCTCTGACTGAAGGCTTTGCCACATTCTGTACATTTATATGGTTTCTCTCCAGTATGAATTCGCTGGTGTTTAATAAGGGATGGGCTCTGACAAAAGGCTTTTCCACATTCATTGCATTTATAGGGTTTCTCTCCAGTATGAATTCTCAGATGCTGAACAAGAATTGCTTTTGTTTGAAAGGCTTTCTCACATTCATTACATTTATAAGGTTTCTCTCCGGTATGAATTCTCAGATGTTGAGTAAGATTTGACTGTTTACGGAAACAACTTCCACATTCACTGCACACATAGGGCTTCTCTCCTCTGTGAATCCTCTGGTGCTGGGTAAGAGATGATCTCTGAGTAAAGAACTTCCCACATTCACTACACTTTGAAGGTTTCTTCTGCATGTTAACTCTCCCATGTTTCATTCTGAGTGATATTTGGCTGGAATTCATGCTGCTTGTAACACCAAATTCATACTTACAAGTTTTTTTTCCTCAAAGGTGATTATCATTAGAGTAATACAGTTCTCCTAGGAAAGGTTACTGTGTGTGTGTGCTCACACACATCACACATGCATTGCTGTCCTCTCATTCATCCCTGCAGGATTCCCCTTCCTCTTCCTTGTTCAGCCTGCATTCTCAACTTCTCTGAAAGTGAACCCCTGATGATCAGCCTCTCTGAAGAGATTAAGTAGTGACAGGTATTAGGAATTCTATAAAATTCCATATCACAATTGATTCTGAAACAATCAAATACTAAAAACTAACCCAGGTAATTTGGGATCATCCAGATTTGCACCCACAGTGATAAATAACTGGAAAATATGAAAGGAATAAGTATCCTAGACTTGGGCATATAAGTGTTACGGAAACTTACTGTCCACTTAGTCTCTACTGCTCAAAAAACAGAGGAATAATAACTCTATTTCTTTAGGTTACCTATAATCATGGCAGGCTAGTGATAGTCAAAGAGTTTCCTTTCTAAAACTTCAAATGTGATCCAGGCTGTAACTTTCACTAGGCCTATCTCACCAATCCTTCTTCATTCAGTCACCTTTACAGGTGCCTCATTGGATCTCTCTTTCTCTCCAAAACATTCACCATCTATAATTCTCTCCCTAGGCCCAACTGGAAACCTATAGGTTTGAAAACTAGAGTCCTGCTTACTGAAAGAAAGTAAGATATCACTGTTTTGTTTCAGGAAAATTAGAGAAGTGGTCCTTAAAGAAGAAGGTTTAATTGGACAGTAACTTGACTACAGCATCATGGTCCAGGTGCTGGCCCTCACCTTTGTAGCCAAAGAAATCTGAAATATACTAATCAGATTTATAAGGGGAATGAGAGAGAAAATAAAGTCACTTCATTTATTTACAATGAAAAACTTCTGTGCTTAATATAGAGCTGGTTAACATATTCTCTGGACTTTAGAAAAACAGTATGTGAACCAAATCACTGTCATTAGAGCACTCTTTGGGAAACAAAGAACTGGAGAAAGAACAAAATATTTAATTGATCATAACTAAATGATTATCAAATTTTGAAACCCTGGTGCCCTAAATAAGCCACACAGAATTAAAGAATGAATATTCAGGTGCTGCACGTCAGAGCAATCTCTTCCCTAGTTGGTGCTGGAGACACTAACACATGCTTCTTCTCTGAGGCCCATTTTTGTCTGTTTTCTAATCATGTAAATTACACAACTATATATCCTCACTTTAAAATATTTAGATAATATGGAAGTATATAAGATAGGCCAGGCATGGTGGCTCGCACCTATAATCTCAACACTTTGAGAGGCTGAGGCAGGAGGATCACTTGAGGCCAGGAGTTTTAAGAGCAGCCTAGGCAACATAGTGAGATGCTGTCTCTACAAAAAATAAAAAATTAGCTGGGTGTGGTCATGTGCACCTGTAGTCCCAGCTACTCAGTAGGCTGAGGTGGGAAAATCACTTGAGCCCAGGATGTTGAGGCTGGAGTATGCCATGATCATGCCACTGCACTCCAGCCTAGTATACAGAGCAAGACCCCTTCTCTAAAAGAAAATTTTTGTTAACAAAATAAACCTATTCCTTTCCCCAGAGATTATCAAGTTTGAAGTATCTTCCTTCATTCCTTTTTTCTTCACATTTTTCTATACACATATATCACTTGATTCTCTTTAAATAAATGAAATTGTTCTACAGGTTCTGCTCTGCAATTTGCTTTTATTTCCCACTAAAAAATGTGTCTTAGAGATCACTTCATGTTGGTACATATGGATCTATTGGGGCTGAGAGTCAAATGATACACACTGCTATATCTGTACAAATTGTTCACGACTACCTGCTTGGGCAATGCCTGTACCATACTGTTTGTTAAATATGTGGACTATCTTACCTAAACCTATCTTTATCTGATGTATTAACTTACAACATGGATATGCTATATACAAAAACAAACTCCAGTTGGTTTAAGCAACCAGATGTAAAACCAAAACTCTAAGCACATTTTTAATTCCTTTACTCTCATTTTTCCAAAATAAAAAGGTTTTTTTCTTATCATACAAAGAATGCATGCTCATTCTATTAAATGGTCAGCTACTCCGAAGAGGAAATCACTTGAAACCCAGCCACAGAAAATAATAGTATTTTAATGGACCTTCTTCTAGGTATCTCTTGATGCATATAAACATAAATACGTACATAAGTGTACATATATTATGCATACATATTAAACTAATCCAAATTCTTCAGGACACAGTCATATTCTCTTCACAGAGTTCCCATAACCTAAGAATACAATTTACCCAGAATTATTTTACTGAGTTTGACAGACACCCAGGCTCCATGTTGCCTTTTGATTGCCAGTGACAATGTCAGCTGCAATAACTTAAGCTCTTGTTCTAAACATGGCCAGAAGCCCATTCCATATTCTCTGAGGAAATACCTAATCACATTTGCAATGGGTTTTCCAATAATTTACTACCCATATTCCTTGATCCAACCACTACACCATTAAGGCATCATACTGAGCAGTTCAATAAGTGGTTTAAAGATGTGCTACCAGATGACTGTAGAGTCTTCAGTTCAGGTACTCTGATAAGAACTTAGTGCACTCTAGGACCTGTCCCATAACCAATTATTCCATAGCCGTTTTCACAGTGGGCCACCCTCACTGATTTGAGTAAAATGGTATCCATTTCTGTGTGGTCCTGCATTTTCTGCTGGGTCCACATTTAGTGGACATTGGTGGGTCCCACCATAGGTCTGCCATCACTTCTGATGGTAGTCTCACAACCACCACCATCCTGGGCTCTCTAGTTAGAGTTAACTTACCAAGAGACAGGTTGTTAGGAGCACAAGCAATACTGGCTTTTCTCCTGGGGGCTCTTCTCTTGAGGAAAGGCAGGAATTTGAGGCACTGAGGGAGGAAAAAGAGCCACTCATAAATTGCCAGCCTACTTCCTACACCTTCTAGATTCAGGGTAACTCAAGAACATCCCATCTCTAACCAAATGACCATTTTAAGTTCAAATGAAAGAATATCGTTATTATCCTAGAGGAGTATCTCCAGTGACAAAAATTAGTGAGTTGGCAGACTTCAGAGAGATGTGACAATGTACAAAGAGGGCAGGTCCTTCCTAGGACTAAGCATCTGGGCGTAAAAATTTCTTTATACGACATCAGGTTGGAGCCCAATGGCTCCCCTAAGTCTACTGGAAAAGCCATTGATTTCAAAAGTCAAATGCTGCAGGGCTACAATAGAGGGCAGTAGGACCAGTAATGGACTCAGTCAAGAGGTGTGGATTCTAGTCTCAGCTCTGCCACCAATTTGTTCAATGACCTAACACAGGTCACTCAGTCTCATCCATTTCTTATTTGTTAAATGAAATTGAAAAGCTAGATAATATTTAAAGCTTCTTGTAATATCAACATTCTACAAAGCTTTGATTCTATATACAGATGGGAAAAGAGCAAAAACCTCAAATCAAGCCCTTCCAGTCCATCTTTGATTGAATCTGTTTATTCATTTATTTGAAAAGTACTAAATGAGCTAGCCGTGAGGTGAATGGGTCTTGTTAAGAACGGGCTGAATCAACAGCAGGGAAACTTCCTGTCAGTTATCCTCCTACAATTAGAATTGGGGGAATTTCTCGAAAATAACAAGAGGATTGCCTTTGTGTAAGGAGTATCTGCTGTAAGATGTTAAGGACTCTTCATAAGGGAAAGGTTTCAAGAACCCTCCTAATGCAAAGAACACTGTATTCAAAGGCAGGAACCTGGTTTCCTGTCTAATACATCCCAATCCACTAGCATCTCTTAACTGACACTGAACAAACTGTTTAATTATTTTCAAACGTCTCTTTTATTTCCTCATTTGGTCAAATAAGCCAGCAATTATTTTCAAGCTTGCAGTCAACCTTTAATATTTAGCTCAAATGTGAAACTTCACACCTCTTCCTTGTGGGAAAATTTTGACTTTTCCAAGGCCCTTCCTCGTCTACATTCTCAAAGAATTTTACAAGTTTCTACTGTAGGACTTTCTAGTCTGATTACATTCTGTCTTCCACCAGCAAACTTACAAGTATGGCATGGGCTCCAGGACTAGGACTTTTGAACAAGTTACCTAACCTTTTTTTGCTCCAGTTTTTTCAACTGTTAAATGGAGACGATACCAGTAACTACTTTATAGGGTTGTCGTAATGAATAAGTGGGTTACTACATGGCAACTACTTAGAAGAATGCCAGCTGGTAAGCATTCAATAAATAGTGCCTGCTGTTAAAGTATTGAGTCTACATGTCTTCATACGGTACCTATTTTGTTGTTGTTAGAGAAGAATAAATAATGAAGGGAAGGCACTAATTCTTGCATATACTTACTTCAACCCGCACAACTTTGGGAAACGGCAAGGCAGGAAACAGTATTTACTTCTGGAAATCAGAAAACTAAAGTGCCCAGAAGTTCACTGACATGCTTAAGTATGTATAAATCGAACCCAGGTCCTCCGACTCCCAGCCTAGGGCTCTCGAACAGCCTCTCCTTTCTTCATGGCAAGTTTGCCCTAGGCCTCGGGCCTCCGCTCCACAGGCCCTCCAGGAAGAAAAACGCCCTGCTTCCCGAGGGAGGAGCTGGAATCGACCCGCGGCAGCCGGGCACAGCAGAAACCGCTCACCATGCGCTTCCCGCGGCGCTCCCCGCGGCGCTCCCCTCTCGCACCTTGCAACACTCAGGTCCCTGGGTGCTGCCCTGCGGAAAGGAGTAAGTCCCGGACGCGCCCAGCCGGCGTGACGTCAGCAGTCCGCGCCTCGGCTAATAACCACTACCGTCTCCTCTCTAGGAAGGTGGGAGCGGCTTCCGCTCGGTGGTTCCTTCCCGCACGCAGCTACGGGTTTCGGTGCTGCGCCGGTTAAGCCGGCACCAGAAACAACCTGCGACCCCACCTGGCGTGCGTCTTCCAGCACAGGGAAACGGGATGGAAGTCAGAAGGGTCGACCACAAGGAGCTCTTACTGTGCATCAGTTCATCCTGCAAGTCCGCCACATTTAGCTTCCTATGTTACTGTCCTTTGGGGATTCTCAAGGCTTTTCACAAAACTGGCTTCCACCTTCCTCACACACATCCTCATCTGGAAGAAAACTGACCTCTTCACAGAAACCCCTGACACCTTACTGACCCAGGATCTTTGTTCAGGTGGCCAAAAGAAAAAGTTCTGCAGGCCAGGCGCGGTGGCTCACTCCTGTAATCCCAGCACTTTGGGAGGCCGAGGCGGGCGGATCACCTGAGGTCAGGAGTTCAAGACCAGCCTGCCCAACATGGAGAAACCCTGTCTCTACTAAAAATACAAAAATCAGCCGGGTGTGCTGGTGGGCGCCTGTAATTCCAGCTACTCCGGAGGCTGAGGCGCGAGAATCACTTGAACCTGGGAGGGGGAGGTTGCAGTGAGCAGAGACTGAGCCACTGCACTCCAGCTTGGGTGATAGAGTGAGACTCTGTCTCAAAAACAAAACAAAACAAATCAAACACTGCTTTGGGCTCAAATCCCTGATTCTCAGTGTATGAACTTTGCAACTTTACCTCTCTGTGCCTGCTTCCTCACTTACCAGGTATAATAATGGTACCACAGGGTTGTTGTGAGGATTAAGTGAGGTTAATACGTGTGAATTACTAAGAACATCTAGTATTTTTTAAATCTTCAGTAAATGTTAGGACTATTGTCTGTGTCTCAAATCCCAGCTCCAGTACCTATTGTTCTGCCCTGACTTCACTGACCTTTCAGGGCCTCAAGGTAGCACACCCATCCCTTTCTACAAAACTTCAGATCTTGCTGGCTCTAACTCAGGAAATATTTGCACACATGGGCTCATCTTGACAGGTAAAGTCCAGAGATAAAGGCATGAGTGGAGAGTACCTTATTCACTTCCAAGCATTCCTACTGATCTGCAATCTCAGGACAATAGGGCTGTGTGCACACCATCATATCCCTAGTGTGCAGCATATAGAAGTGAACACTTGCTGTATAAATTAATGAGATGCAGCAGAGAAATTATCCATTCCAGGCCAGGCATGGTGGCTCACACCTGTAATCCCAGCACTTTGGGAGGCCATGGGGGGCGGATCACGAGGTCAGGAGTTTGAGACCAGCCTGACCAACATGGCGAAACCCCGTCTCTACTAAAGATACAAAAATTAGCCGGGCGTGGTGGTGTGCCCCTGTAATCCCAGCTACTCAGGAGGGTGAGGCAGGAGAATCACTTGAACCTGGGAGGCGGACTTGCAGTGAGCCGAGATCATGCCACTGCACTCCAGCCTGGGTGACAGAGCCAGACTCCATCTTAAAAAAAAAAAAAAATATCCATTCCAATCTTCAGATTGGCTGTTTTCCCAAAATGGAGTCCCTTTTGGACACAAATCAGGAATGCTGGTGCCACAGACTGAGGCCATCGCTATCTTTGGCTAAAAAGTGACCCTTTGTAAAATTGTCAGTTGACATGCCATGTAACAATAATGTTAAGTTTCCCTCTCCAGGTGTCACATTCTCAGCACTTCTTTGGAATCAGATAGCAAGTTCTTCCCTCCAGCCCTAACATCTCACAGGCCAGAGACCCTAGGTCTAATTATTCATTCCCCAAACATTAGGCTTCAAAGAGTCTCCAAATCAGCAGGGTGTAGTGTGTGGAGGACATTAAGTCTGGAGGGAGGCACCTGAGGTTACTAGAAACCGTAATCTGGAGTTTAATAGCAGTTTGGGCTGAGCTTCTTTCAATGAGGTGGAAAACGGATGGTAGGGATGGACACCAAAAACGTTCCAAAACACTAAAATAACCTTAGCCCTGATGTGGCCACTGGATAAATGAAACTAATGCCACATATCGTCAAGATTAGGTTTCTACCTTATGTAGAAAGTAGGGGTCAAAAGGTATCATCAACTTACTTGTCACCCTCACACTCAGGAAAGTCTGAGATTTTGAGAACAAAAAGCTTCTCAATCTTATACAAGTGAGCTCCTCACATCCTCAGGATAAGGAAAAGATTGGAGCACTAAGTGGTCAATTCTAGGCTGGATGCAGTGGCTCAGGCCTGTAAGGGAGTCCGAGTTAGGAGGATCATCTGAGGGCAGGAGTTAGAGATGAGCCTGGGTAACATAGCAAGAATCTGTCTGTACCAAAAAATAATATTAAAAAACTTTTTTTTGAGACAGACTCTCACTCTGTCACCCAGGCTGGAGTGCAGTGGCATGATCTTGGCTCACTGCAACCTCTGCCTCCTGGGTTCAAGCAATTCTCCTGCCTCAGTCTCCTTAGTAGCTGGGATTACAGGCACGCGCCACCATGCCTGGCTAATTTTCATATTTTTAGTAGAGACGGGGTTTCACCATGTTGGTCAGGCTGGTCTCAAACTCCTGACCTTGTGATCCGCCTGCCTTGGCCTCCCAAAGTGCTGGGATTACAGGCGTGAGCCACCGCACCCGGCCAGAGAATACTTTTTAAAAATTAGCCAGGCATGGTAGCTCACGCCTGTAGTCCCAACTGCTTGGGAGGCTGAGGTGAGAGAATCGCTTGAGCCTGGGAGGTCTAGGCTACAGTGAGCTAGGATCACGCTACTGCACTCCAGCCTGGGCAACAGACCGAAACCATCTCAGAAACAAAAAAAAGTAGTCAGTTCTATAAAAAATAAAGAGGCATATGGAATAGAGGTATGACCAATACAGGGAAAAGTAAATGAAATGCAAGGACACTGCAGTTTAAACCTCATCTGACACTGGTTGTGTGGTCTTGAGCAACCCCAACATCTTTTCTCTTTTGTTCTGAGGATCTGACGTGGCTCCATCTGTGTCCTTCTAAAGTCATGAATTAAATTTCAGTGCACAATAAGCAAGACACTCAAATTCTTTATCATCCCAGGGCCCAAAATCTCAGGAAGTGCTTCCACTTTGGTACTTTTTTTTTTTTTTTTTTTTTTTTTTTTTTTTTTTTTAAGAGAGAGGGTCTCACTCTCTGATACGCAGGCTAGAGTGCAGTGGCATGATGCTAGCTCACTGCAGCTCCCAACACCTGGGCTCAAGCGATCCTTCCACCTCAGGCTCAGCATCCAGAATAGCTAGGACTACAGGCATGCACCACCATACCTGGTTTATTTATTTATTTATTTATTTATTTATTTATTTTTTTTAGACAAGGTCTTGTTATGTTCCACAGGATGCTCTTGAACTCCTGGCCTGAATCAATCCTCCCACCTCAGACTCCTGAGTAGTTGGGATTACAGGTGCAAGCCACCATGCCTGGCCCAGTTTGGGATTTGTAAACTGCAAATGCCCTCCTGCTAGGCCAGCATTACTCTTCAGTTCCTGCTATTTCATAGGTATTCCAGTTGACACAGGTGTGTTTCTGCAGTTGCATGCATTTTCCTCCTGTTGACCCTGACATCAATATAATTGAAAGCGTTTAGTTAAATTGTGATAGGACTTTTAAATCTCTAATTGAAAAATATTGTTTCTTATGGGATCTTCTGTTTAATACAATCTTAGGGAAAGTTTCAGAACTGTTGCTCCTGGCAGACACTTCGTGGACACGCATACTCACCATGCCTCCTTCCTGCTGACAACTGGGGACTTAAGTCACAACCTGCAGACTAGCACAGAGAAATGTCTGACTCTTCAGTTGAGTTCAACAAATGCTTATTGAGCACCTCCTAAGTACCAGGCACTGTTGATACAAAGGTAAAGAAATTTCACATTGTTCCTTCCCTAGCAAAGCTGACAAAGGGAAAGATGTGTGAACAAACCATTATAATGTAACATAATAAAATGATGAAAAATACAAGACAGAATAAAAAATACATGAGGTTAGAGACAGCTTTGAGATATTGCCTGAGCACACTCGTAAGTGAAAAATGGGAGTTTTGCAGGCAAGCAGAAGCAGGGAAAAGGAACTGAGGCAATAGGAACACTATGTGCGGAAGTGCCAAAATAGAGTCCAGAGGTGATATTCCAGAATCACAGGAATTTGAACTATGGAATAGAACATGCCAGGCAAGGAATGGCAGCTAAGGATGGCAATTCAGGCATGGGTCAGATGAGGGGCCTCACCTGCCTCTTTAAAGGACTAGTGCTTTATTCCGAAAACAATAAGCAGCCAGTTATGCTTATAAAGATCAAGAAGAAATGTGAAAGATGGCCTAGTGGGGCAAGAAACTGGAAGACTGGTAGATAAATTTTAAAATAGGAAGTCCAGGCACAGTGGCTTATGCCTATAATCCCAGCACTTTGGGTGGCTGAGGCAGGCAGATTGCTTGAGCCCAGGAGTCCGAGACCAGCCTGAGCAACATGGTGAAACCCATCACTACAAAAAAATATAAAAATTAGCCAAGGATAGTGGCACATGCCTGTAGTCCCAGCTATTTGGGAGGCTGAAATGGGAGGATCGCTTGAGCCTGGGAGGTGGGGGTTTGCAGTAAGCAGAGACCATGCCATTGCATTCCAGCCTGGACAACAGAGTGAGATCCTGTCTCAAAAAAAAAAAATTAAAATTAAAAATAAAATAGTCTAGAAAATAAATTAGGGAGTAGGGGACTGGACTACAATAACTGCAGTGGAGATGGCTTCCAGAGATAGGAGATAACTTCAACAGGACATAGTGGTTGAATGGATATGAAGATTGAATAAGAGGGAAAACTGAGGGTGAGGGCAATGACTAGGTTTGGGGCCATGCTGGAGAGACTAGGTACATCATGGGCCAGCAACTGAGAGAAAATCGGGAGCACATAAGTCCAAGTGTAAGAATATGGGGTCAGGGTAGTGGAAAGAACAGTTATTTAACTGTTTCCCCAGAAGGTAAAAACATGCCATATTTTCTCAGCCTGAGAAAAATTCAGGATCAAGTCTGTTTCACTTGAGAAAATCTTTCCCACAAGAACTTATGGATATCATTTTTTTTTTTTTTTCTAGAAAAAGTCTCACTCTGTCTCCCAGGCTGGAGTGCACAGGCACAATCTCGGCTGGCTGCAGCCTCCACCTCCCAGGTTCAAGTGATTCTTGTGCCTCAGCCTCCTGAGATATCTTTAAAGTTTTCTTGTTTCTTTCTTAAGAAAACTCTCCCTATTCTAATCTCCACTCATAATTCTCAAGATGGTGTACAAATATTGCTATAAATAACTATTCATCAGGAAGTTCCAAGAAAGGTTCTGTTGGGCAATAGTTGATATAACTCATGAAATAAATATTTACTGAACATGTATTATGTGCCAGTAATTAATTATGCAGTTTTTATCTAGGAGGTATAAATACATTTTTGCTTTTGGTAAAATAATATTTTCACAAACATATTTAGAAAGGTTTTACAGCATTATTTTTACCCATAGTGTATTAATTTTCTCAATTATGACTTCACTGGTGGTAGGTTTTAAGAACATAATCTTCATAGAAAGTGAAAAAGATATATATTTATACCATACTCCCATTAATGGTAATTCATGGCCCAAACCTATCCCTACAAGGCAACTGCTCTAGAAAAAAAAAAAAAAAACAAAAACAAAAAAAAAAAACGATGAGTTCCAAATAACCAAGCATTCCAGAATCAACTTAGTGTTTTTAATAGCCATACTTTAAAAATGCTATAAGCTTCACAGCTTAGAAATTATTTTAAATACCAATCAAAGGCTATCCTCAATCTTCTGAAGCTCAATTTCTGGGTAGCAGTTAAGAACATGAAAGGAATTTGGGAAATAAAGGGAAAACTATGTCATTTCTCTCAAAAGAATAAAACACTGTCACAGTCAGTAGCAAAATGTGCTATCCTGATTTTCAGGGATTTGAAAAAGATTCTTTTAGAAGTCTTTCCAAAGTCATTCCACGACAAATGTCAACTTTCTTAAGAGCCCCAATGTCCAACCAAGTGAAAATTCTTTCTTCTTTCATTACTAATGCTTTCTCCTAAAGACCAACAAACTAAGTACCATTTTGTTAGGACATTGTTAGTCCTAGTGTGTCTCTCTCCTCTGGTCTCTGTACACCAACAGCCTAGGCAAACTTACAATAGACAGGTGTACACCTTAGTACAGGCAGGGTTATGTAGGTGACTTGCTCAGTCACATGCAGGCTTCCTGTTCTGAGTCTTATCACTCTAGCAGACCATTTCTTTCCTGGGTAACCATATTTCCTCTGAGATAGATATTGAGTCTTCCTGGTTCTCTGAACAGGTATGACTGCCTCCCCATAAACCAGTATCATGAATTCTAACTTGGTCTCCTATTTCATTCTTAGCTCTGAGTCACCTCAAAGCTTGGAAGAATCAGGAAAGACCTTCACCCTGATAATGAAAGAAAGCCTTCTTTACTGGCAGATCTATAGAGGTCAGCCCAGTTGTTGCTTTATATCTCATTTTTTTAATGAATGGATATGGATTTTTTTTTTTTTTTTTTTTGGCTCTTACTTGTTTCTGTCTCCTTTTCACAGGACCACTTCCACAGGTTGGGAGCCTCCCCCATGGTAGCATGGTCAGGGCTGCCTCAAATCTGGAGGCTAGACTTAGCACTACATCAGAGCTGTGCCACTTCACACTGACAGGCAGTGTTTAAGAAAAACATCTCAACCTGCCAGCCAACGAAAATGGGTGACAAGTCAGAATGTGGGGCAGGATGTAGTAAAGTGAACAGAAGTGCTAACAAATGCCTCCTCAAGCTGTAAGAGTCACATGGGGAGACAGTGGCAATGTGTAGGCTTTATCTGAAAAGCAGGAATTTCTTTCTACCCTGTATTCCCAGATGCCCACCTCAAGTAGGCTCTGCATTCCCTAAGCTCCCACCTCCATTTCTGGAAACATTCCTCTCAGAGTACAGTAGCCAAGGCTCCTTCATCCTTCCCTCCAGGAACTCTACCTGCCCCTCTACTCCCAGTCAGATTCGTAGTCATCCTCGCTAGAGAAACTGTCATAACCTAAATGGCAGCATTAGTCACCACTGTGAAGTTTCTGATGTCTGAAAAGGACTGAACTATGTCTGAAGAACTTTCCACACTCAATACACTCATAAGGCTTCTCACCAGTGTGAATTCTGTAATGTTCACTAAGGTGTGCATACTTGCGGAAGGTTTTCTCACACTCACTACATTTATAGAGCTTCTCACCAGTGTGAGTTCTATGATGTTCAGTAAGAGATGAGCTATGAGCAAAGGCTTTCCCACATTCTTTACATTTATAGGGCTTCTCTCCAGTATGAATTCTCATATGCTGAGTGAGGCAGGTGTTCTGATTAAAGCCCTTTCCACATTCATTGCATTTATAGGGTTTTTCTCCAGTGTGACTTCTCTGGTGCCGAATAAGGCAAATGCTCTGAATGAAGGCTTTACCACATTCACTGCATTTGTAGGGTCTCTCCCCTGTATGTATTCTCTGATGTTTAGTGAGTGGGGTGCTCTGAGTAAACGCTTTGCCACATTCTTTACACTTATATGGTTTTTCTCCAGTATGAATTCGCTGGTGTTTAATAAGAGATGGGCTCTGACAAAAGGCTTTGCCACATTCTTTACATTTATAGGGTTTCTCTCCACTATGAATTCTCTGATGCTGAGAGAGGTTTGCCTTTGTTTGGAAAGTTTTCCCACATTCGTCACATTTATGGGGTTTTTCCCCAGTGTGAATTCTCTGATGTTGCGTAAGATTTGAGTGTTTTCGAAAAGAAGAGCCACATTCACTGCATATGTAAGGCTTCTCACCAGTGTGAATTCTCTGATGATGAATAAGGTGTGTATTCTGATTGAATGCCTTCCCACACCTATTGCATTTATAAGGTTTCTCTCCAGTGTGAATTCTCTGGTGTTCAGTGAGATGTGAGTGATTGCGGAAGGAATTCCCACATTCATTGCATTTATAAGGTTTCTCTCCAGTGTGAATTCTTTGATGCTGAGTAAGAAATGATCGACATCGAAATGTTTTCCCACACTGCTCACATCCATATGGTTTCACTCCAGTGTGAATTCTTTGATGTTGAACAAGGAATGAACTACGACTAAAGGCTTTCCCACATTCCTCACATGTGTAGGGTCTCTCTCCAGTATGAGTTCTCTGATGTTGGGTAAGGGATGAGCTCTGAGTAAAGGTTTTTCCACATTCATTACATTTCCAAGATTTTTTCTGTGTGCAGAGAGTTGGACATTTACTTTGGTCTGAAATATCATTGGTTTGTATATTACTTGTTTCCCACTGATGCAGACTCTCTTCTGTAGAAACCCTGAGACGTGTAACAAGGCTTGAGGTCAAAAGCAAGCTTTTCTCAAAATTATATCCTTGACTAATAATTTCAGGGGGTGCTTCTTTGTGGATGAAAGTTATTCTCCCAAAACCTCCTTCCTGGAAAAGGCATGATTCAGCAATCTCCCTAGGAGAGTTTTCCTTCATGCCCTCACATGCATATTTTTCTTCAAATGTAGAATCTTGGTATTCATCCTCTTGGAACCTCTTTACTACTATCCCTGATGAGTCAATTTTACAGACATCCTGCTCCAGAGCAGGCTTGTTCTTGTTTACCCAGCCTGAAAGAAAACAGCAGAATGAATATCTCCTGTACAGGGCAGAGTGAAGGCCCCTGAAACTGTAAGACCTTAACTTTTGGCAGACCTCAGTAATGGCCTATGATGAAGGGCCAGTAACAGCAAGTGTGGCAAGTAAGTTAGAGTTGTAACTGGTAGAAGAGATATGCATTAGGGTAATGTGATCACCATTAACGAGGAACTCCCATGGAAGGGGTAGCTACAGACACCCAAGGAGCAAGAGAATGAGACAATAGAGATAAATGAAAAACAACACCCAACACACAGGCTGAGATTAGGGCAAGACAGGAAACATGAATGGTTTGTATCCAGAGTGGAGAGTGGGAGAATGTAAACAGGAAAATGCTAGAAATGAGAATGATAAAATTAGTACTGGGGAAAAGTTGGCCCCAGACATGTTCACCCACCCCTGTCCCCAACATCCCTATAAGAGACAGTTATTTTATCTCCTGAGCCTCACCCAGCTTGTCCTCTAAAATTTCCAAAGGCTTCCTATTGGCTGACTATTTCTCCCACTGCTTGTCCCTTGCTCACTCACCTGGACAAGTCTCTCTTCTAATGTCTCTCTCTTCAGCTCCTTGCATATTCAACATCCACAGATCGTCTCTTCGCTTTGATTGGAAAACACTTCAGGTCTGGAAAACTGGGAACCCTGCTCATGGGGAGAAAAGGTGCAGGGAGGGAGGGAATATTACTGTCCCAGTAAACAGAACGAAAACAAAGAGCTGTTGCCTAGGGACACTATCTAATAACACACACAATAACTCTCAGGATAACAATGTGGAAGCATCCGCAAAAATCAGCATTGGCTTGTAGCCTCCTAGGTTCACACCCCATTTGCCAGCTGTTCAAGAAGTGGTAACATCAGACTAACATACTATCAAATATTTAAGCACTTGATAAGTAAATCAGAATGTTATTCATTACCTTTTTATAATTATAAAGATTAAACGAATAGGAATATTCACATCAATTAGTACACTCTGGCCATCATACAATAATCTATATGAAAAGCCAGTTAATATAGTTAAAAGTTGTATAGCAAAATGTCCTCATAGCAAAGCTTGTGCATTAAGTCTGATTTACCCACTTCTACCAAATGCCAAGGAGCTGAGATAGTGTTAGGGAATGCTATCTACTTGATACAAACTAGAGACACACTGATTGTCCCTTCTTCAAGATGTCATATCAATTAAACAGTTTTTCTTCAGGTATAGCTCAGTGTCAGAGAACAGGCTGCAGTTAAAAAGAAACAGAAATAAATTTAACTGTGAAATAAGTTTTGACTTACAAAAAAGTTGCAAAAATACCAGTTTCTGTAAATGCTGCTTCTTAAAAATATCAATACCAAAACTGTTCACTCAAAAATATCTCTCCATTTAACCTTGAAGTGAGAAGCAGAACTGGCAGCATTATTCAAGGAAAAAGGGAAGATCCAGATATGATTTTACCAGAGTCAAGAACTTGGAAGACATGAAAGAATAAAATAAGTCTGCTCAAGTACATAATAAGCTTGGTCTTGTGGACTTCTTAGTGAAGTCTGTGCTTCTGCATTGAGTTTTAAAGATTTAAGAAGATCCTTGGCCTGGAGCAGTGGCTTACGCCTGTAATCCCAGCACTTTGGGAGGCTGAGGCAGGCGGATCACCTGAGGTCAGGAGTTTGAGACCAGCCTGGCCAACATGGAGAAACCCTGTCTCTATAAGAATACAAAAATTAGTTGGGCATGATGGCAGGTGCCTGTAATCCCAGCTACTCGGGAGAATGAGGCGGGAGAATCACTTGAACCCAGGAAGCAGATGCTGCAGTAAGCTGAGATTGCGCCATTGCACTCCAGCCTGGGCGACAGAGCAAGACTCCATCTCAAAAAAAAAAAAAAAAGAAGATGATCCTACCTGGTTTTCCTGATTCTGATTCTCATTCACAGGAAGAACATAAAGGAACCTGTAAGCTACTATACAATCCTACAGAGACTCAGAGACTCATGCAAGCAGAGTTGCATTTGGGTGACTAATCAGTGCTAGACGCTGGAAAAAGAAGCCAGACACCCTATCTGGCTCCAACTTGTGTCATAGCTGGACAAAGACATTAAATGAATCATTTCAAATATGGGAGTTACAAAACTGCAAGTATGGGGTGCTACAGAATGTAAAGCACAGGGGACCTAATATAGTCTGGGTCCCCTTTAGACGTGTGAAAGGGAAAAGAAGAGAGACAAAATGAACATACAAAAGGAATCAAGCTCAGTACTTTGGAGGAATAAAGGAAACATAGTAATGCCCAAGTATTAAACACCAGAAATGAGACATAAAAGCCTGAGGCAAGCCAGTTCAAACAGAACCCTAAAAAACATTTTAAGGACTTTACCCTAAAGTGAAGAGAAAGCCATAATAAGGATTTGAAACAGTTTGATAGAATACATGACATGATTAGATCCACTGTTTTAAGGAAACATATTCCTCTGTCTACAGCAACAGATAATCTGCGTAGTGGTGAGGAGTGGGAGGGCAAGGTGAAGGCTTGAAGATCCCTTGTGAGGCTATTTCAGTAGTCCAGTATGGGGACTGGATTAAGAGAAAGGTTCAACCAGAATGAATGAATATTGGTGGGAAGGGTGAGAGAGGGAGATGTCAAGGATAATTAGGCAGTTTTGGGAGATGACAGTGATCTTTAGTGACACTGGTACACTGGTCTGGAAAGGAATAAGTTATCTTTAGTCTCAAATATCCAAACAGAAAGTAGAACAGGGCATACACAGCTGAAAGAGAGGAGAGAGGTGTGGCCTGAAGAGTTTTAGACATAAAAAAAGTACTTGAAATCACAGGAGTAACAGATAAAATCTTTAAAGCAATGTGGCTAGGAAAACTCCAACAGTGAGTCTAAACACTTAAAAGATCTCTAATCCCAGCAAGGTGAGGTAGCTCACACTTGTAATCCTAGCACTTTAGGAGGCCAAGGTGGGAAGATCACTTTAGGCCAGAAGTTTGAAACCAGCCTAGGCAACATAGAAAACTTCACCTCTACAAAAAAAAACAAAAATTAAGTTGGGTGTAGTGGTGTGTACCTATAGTCATAGCTACTAAGGCGGGAGGATCACTTGAGTCCAGGAGTTCGAGGCTGCAGTGAGCTATTAATATGATTGCATTGGCCGGGTGTGGTGGCTCATGCCTGTAATCCCAGCACTTTGGGAGGCTGAGGCAGGTGGATTACTTGAAGTTGGAAGTTCGAGACCAGCCTGACCAACATGGAGAAACCCTGTCTCTACTAAAAATACAAAATTAGCCAGGCATGGTGGCACATGCCTGTAATCCCAGCTACTTGGGAGGCTGAGGCAGAAGAATCCCTTGTACCCGGGAGGCGGAGGTTGTGGTGAGGATGGATCGTGTCATTGCACTCCAGCCTGGGCGACAAGAGCGAAACTCCATCTCAAAAAAAAAAAAAAAAAAAAAAAGATTGCATCACTTCACTCCAGCCTGGGCAACAAAACAAGATCCTGTCTCAAAAATAAATTAATTAAATAAAATATCTCTAATCCTCTAAGAGATGTAAATAAAAATAATTTAATATATGATAAAAGCAGCATTTCTAATCACAAAAAGATAGATAATTCATAAATCAAGTTGGCACCATTGCTAACTACCTGGAAAAAAAAGTGCGATTACTATATCATGCCACACACCAAAATAAACCCAAACCAATTAAAGGGTTAAATAAAAAAAGTAAAACCACAAAATAAAGTATGACCAATAATTCATTCTAGGGTTAGCACTTTCAAGCATGATGCAAAATGGATAGGACAAAAATTGATAAATCTGACCACATAAAAACAATACTCTGTATATCCAAAATACAAAGAAAATGAAGAAAAACAAGCTTTAAAAAAGTATTTTTCAGTTATATATCAAGGGATAGACAGACCTAATAAAGACTTCTTACAAATGAGTAAGAAAAAAAGATGAACTGAGAGAAAAATGGAAAATACAAAAAATACACCAAGAATTACAACAGGCCAGTAAACATATCAAAACAATGTTCCATCTTTATGGTAAACAAGGAAATGGAAACTGAAAGAATGAAGAATCAATTTTTACATCAAACTGGAAAATCTATCTTTAATGCTACACTCAAGATTCACAAAGGTACAGGGAGTTTCTCACATACCGGTGCGAATGTAAGTTGGTACCATCTTTCTGGAGCTAATCTGGCAATATACATCAGGTGTGAAAGTTGTAGCTTCAGTTATAGTTAGGATGCTGTGATCAACATTTTGTGGATACAGGAATTCAGAACAGAATGCTCATTTTGTATATACACCACCTGTAGTGTACCTCAGAGTCATCAGTATGCCATAAAAAATGACTATATTCGGCTGGGCGCAGTGGCTCACACCTGTAATCCCAGCAGTCTGGGAGGCCAAGGCAGGTGGATCACCTGAGGTCAGGAGTTCGAGACCAGCCTGCCCAACATGGTGAAACCACGTCTCTACTAAAAAATACAAAAAATTAGCCGGGCGCAGTGGCAGGCACCTGTAATCTCAGCTACTCAGGAGGCTGAGGCAGGAGAATTGCTTGAACCCAGGGGGCAGAGGCTACAGTGAGCCGAGATCACGCCACTGCACTCCAGCTTGGGCGACAAGAGCGAAACTCCGTCTCAAAAAAAAAAAAAAAAGACTATATTCTTTGACCTAGTAATTCTACAAATAGAATTTTCTCAGAAAGAAGTAAATTTCCAGAGAGAAGAGAAACAGAATTCTTCTGTTACTTGTAAAAATATCCCCTGAAATGTACATGGAAATAAAAGTTTTTCTACTGGTGGACACTGAGGATTAGCAAATTATGGTACTTCTAGTTGGTGAAAATTATTTAGGCATTAAGATCATTAAAAATGAAAATATGTGTTTATTGGGAAAAATATTTATGCCATATGTTGAAAAAATCCAGTATAGTAAAATTTCAAGTAGTAATATAATGTAAAATATATGTTTGTTAAAATATACATGTGTCGTGCTTGTGGTTTCAGCTACTCAGGAGGCTGAGGTGGAAGGATCACTTGAACATGGGAGGTAGAGGTCGCAGTGAGCTGTGATAGCACCATTGCATTCCAACCTGGGTGACAGAGTGAGATCCCTCTCAAAAATTAAAAATTAAAAATACATCTGAATAAGATCAAGAAGGAAAAATAATCATCACTGTGGTAAAATAATGAATTGTGAATAATTTCCTCAAATGTCCTCTATTATCTATATTTTGCTCCACTTTAAAAAAAAAACAAATCTATAAGAATATATAACAAATTATTTATTGTGATCATATCTGAAGAATAAAATTATGGTAAACTTTTGCCTTAAGGCCTATCTTTTTGTAATGTTTGAAAATTTTCCCATAGGAATAACTAACTTCTGTAATCAAAGAAAAAGTGAAAAAGCATAATCAGAGATGGCCAGAGATTTATGTACAAAGATCACACTATTACTACAATTGTTAAATAAACAGGCAAATAAACATTGATAGACTAGCAAAGATAGCTTATGAAGGTATCAAAAATCATAATTTCAAAGAATATTCATGAGAAAATATAATATGTTAAAACAGGAAGATACAAAACACTAAAAAACAAGAAATATGCACACATATACTGGCATTAAGCACTCAATAAACAGAAACTATTGTTAATAAACAGATAAAACACACACATTTAAAAAAGACATAAAGAAAACCCACCAAAATATTAACACATTTATCTCTAGGTCAGTTAATGGGTCACTTTAGTTTGTCCTTTATACTCTTCTATATTTTTACTTCTCCTTCAATAAACATATATTACTTTTATAGGTAGAAAAAGTTACTTTTTAAAAACCCAGAAACAAAAACAAAAACAAAATGCCAGATCCAATGGCTATGGTATTGGCCTCCCATTCACAAGATGATAGTAGACTGGATTGGGACTCAGGAAAGTTTGCTCTGCCAATAGCCCATGTGAGTGGGCCTACATGACAGGCTATTTATCTGAAAAGGGTGACAAATTAGACAATATTTACGGGTCATTCCAGCTCTGATAATCTGTGAATCCTTGATGAGTTAATTCACATAAAGCATTCAAAAAGATATCTACTCGATGGCAGGCACTCAACAGGGGTTAGATGCTATTATGGTTGATACTAAAACCTACGGAGAAAGAAAGACATCTTGGTGATGACCACATCCTTCCAATCATGGATCATCTGAGCTGTCAGCAGTTTGTCAATGTCAAGGGTCAGCAAACATTTTCTGTAACAGGCCAGAAAGCAATTTTTTTTAGGTTTAATGGGTTAAATGGAAAATATAGTCTCTGTCTCAACTATTCAACTTTGCCTTTGTAGTCTGAAAACAGAAACAGACAATATGTACTGAATGAGCTTGCCTGTGTTTTAATAAAACAGTTTTACCAAAAAAAGTGGCAGACCAAATTTGGTCCATATTTGCTGACTCCTAGGTCTATAAGTTGCCCAGAAAGTAATGTACAGGTGCTTCTACAAATGCCTATTGTGGAATAATCTGGCTGTTAGTGATTTTAAGATGCTAAAAAGATCCCTCTGCAGATCTGGGGAAAGCTGAGTATTATGGTGAAAGGTAAAAAGGAAACAGGCTCTTAATAGCCCTATCCTGCTAACCTATTAGAGAGCTGGCTTCCTCCCTCTACCTTGTAAGCTTTTCCCCAGATGCCACCTCCTTACCCCTCAATAATTAGCTAAAAGAATCTAAGCAAGCTAGATGAAGTTTTTCAAGAATTTTTAACAATCCCTCCAACGAGACCACATTGAAATGTACTCCTCTCTGAAGCCCTTCTTGGTCTGCATTTTGGCACCAAACAGTGCACTCACCCAAGCTGTGGCAGTACACTTTATCTCTTATGCAGCCTTGGGTCACTTAGCAATGTGATCTGGGACAAGTTTTCTGTTCTCTCTGTACCTCAGTTCCCTCACTTAAAAACTACACATAGGCCTGGCGCGGTGTTTCACGCCTATAATCCCAGAACTTTGGGAGGCCAAGGCGGGTGGATCACTTGAGGTTGGGAGTTCGCGACCAGCCTGACCAACACTGTGAAACCCCGTTTCTACTAAAAATACAAAATTAGCCAGGTGTGGTGGCGCATGCCTGTAATCCCAGCTACTCGGGAGGCTGAGGCAGGAGAATCGCTTGAACCCGGGAGGCAGAGGTTGTGGTGAGCCCAGATCACCCCGTTGCACTCCAGCCTGGGCAACAAGAGTGAAATCCCGTCTCAAAAAAAAAAACAAACCAAAAACCAAAAAACAAAACTGTACACGCAATACGCTGTTGTGAAGATTAAATCAATTAGCACAAATGCTTCAAATAGTGCCTGGTATACAGTAAGTGCTAAATAAATGTAGTTTAAAATATTACCACCAAAATCTGCTTATGCCCTTATCGTCCTAAACAAGACTGGAAGCATCTTTACATGTGGCAGTCTCCGATGTCACTCTTTTGTAGCCTAGCCACTAAATTCGGGGTAATGTTTGGCATATAATGGATAGTAATCCTTCATTGGGAGGCATTAAGGTTTGCATACATGCTATCACATACAAGCTGTCAACTGAGCTTTGTGAAGAAGCAAGGAACAGACTTCTAGACAGTACTTTAGAGATTTCTGTACCCTCCAGAATTGTAACTCAGGTCTCAAGACTCCCAACGAGTGCACTTTACGCTATTTGCCGTCTCCTATAAAAACAGGCTCTAAACAAGTTTCGGAGCTACAGGATCAGCCGGGGGAAGAAACTGGTA
The DNA here is from genome assembly GCF_000001405.40 of Homo sapiens. Taxonomy (NCBI): domain Eukaryota; kingdom Metazoa; phylum Chordata; class Mammalia; order Primates; family Hominidae; genus Homo; species Homo sapiens. The sequence goes on along the minus strand of NC_000003.12, from coordinate 44,713,078 downwards.
TCTGATCCCCAGGACCTCGTTTCCTGACATGGGTCCTAGGTCTGTCTTGATCATCTATCCATCACTCATTCACTCATTCATTCATTCACTCCGCCATTTTCCTAGGCATCTCCTCTGTGCCGGGCACTGTGCTGGGCCTTGGAGTCTGCAGTGCTGAGGCTGCAGGCTGGGCGGGCCGAGCCGCTAGGAGTGCCCTACGTCCGGGCAGCACGCGTAGGCAGCAACGTGGAGAGGACCGAGGCCGGGGCTGACTTCCCAGATAACCCTCCAGCCCGCCGCCCCAGCAATGGCTCGCCGGGGTCCTCTCTTTTCCCCTCCCTGGGTCCCAACTCGCTCACTGTGAGATCCACGGACTCTCCGCGGAGCGGCGCAGGCGCTCCCAGAGGTGGACTGGGGCCAGGACACCAGCCTTAACTTCTGAAACCGGAAGAATGGTGGCGCGGCCGGTAGTGCGTCAGCAGCGAGCTCGCGCATCCATTCTCTGATTCTCTAGGAAGCGGGAGGAACATCTCTATGGGACCCTAGAAGAAGGCATTCCCTCCAAACCCAGCCTGTAACTCCAGCTTTGTTTCCCGCCAAGCCCAGCCTGTAACTCCAGCCTTGCTTCCCGTCAAGCCCAGTCGCGTTCCTGATATCCCATTAACAACTATCTTGGCCTGAAACACAGTGGCTACCTCAACCCTCAGGAAAACTGTAGAGGGAGACGTTAGGGATGGAAAGGATGCTGGGTAGGAGCCGGAATGGGCCATCTCAACAAGAAACTAGTATATTCTACCTGCTTAAAATAGTCTCTATTAAGAACCTTGAGTGATCCCCTGTTATGTTAGAATAAAGGACAAACTCCCAATCTAGGCCCACACAAACTGACCTCAATATCAACATCTCTTATTTGGCTATCATATACATTCTGCTCTAAAGTTACTGAATTCCCATTGGCCCCCTGAAATCCCTTGCCTCTTCCTGACTCTAGATCTTTTTCCCAGGATTTTCCCTTTGGAATACTCTCCCTTCCTTCTACCTGCTCTCCCTAACCTCAGCTATCCAATTTATCCTGGTTCTTCAAATCCCAATGCCAATTCTCACTTGACCACCTAGACTGTTGCCCTTATGGGTCTTTACACTCACATATCACTATTAGTTATTCTAGCTCTAGCTAGCCTTCTATTCAGTGCCCCCCTAAATGCATACACTTGTATTTCTTTCGTAGGTATTGTTAGGAAGATACACACAAGTAGCATCCCACCCAAGGACAACTGTGAAAGACCCAATCAGTTCATTTTTATACAACTCTAATCAGCTATATGGAGCTATTATTTATCATTATATCTCAATGTTTAGCACAATGATTGGTAGAGAAGGCATTCAATAAATACTTGTTGAATTCGTTAATCAGAAACAGGTGAAATTTAGATTATTGGCATTTTTGATAAACTGAAAAATGAGGATACCATAGATTAAATCCAGAAAGCAAGCTCTCTGCACATCTGAAAGGATGTACCACGTAGCTGGCATATTCCCGTTTCTTTGGCTCACTCTATCCAATTGTTATCTCCCTTGGTAGAATGTAAGCTGTATGAAGGCAGGGGCCTTCTCTGTTTCATTCATACTATATCCCTAGCACCTAGAGCATGGCTGACATACTAGGCATTCAATCAGTATTTGATGAATGACTAGGTCACCATCAACTTCCAACAAGTTACAGGAAATAGTTACTCCACATAGATGTATACTGCTTGTTTGAGAGCTAAAACTGCTGGAAAATTATCTTTCTTCCCCCAGATTACCTAAAGTGTACATTCCAGAGATGAATGTTGCTTCCCTGTGAGAAATAGAAACTCCTTCTAAATTATATTTACCTGACCCCCACCAAAAGAGATTATATGAAGGTATTTTCCATTCTGGGCGGCGGGGTCGGGGACGGGTTGAGAGGAGAGGGAAGGGGAAACCGGTGCAGAGGGGGAGGCACCAGGGAAGGTGGTAGGGGCCTGGTGGGGGCATCCGGTGGAGCTGGGGTCCCCAGGCTCAGTCCGGAGGAAGCGAGGCTGCGCTCGCTGGGCAGTCGGAGGGGACGGGACGCACCAGAGGGTGGGTGGACTCGCCCTGTAGGTGACTGCGCCGTCCAGGCCCGTCCTGCCTGGCCTTAGGTGTCCTGGATGAGGCTGCCCCGTGCGCCCCCGATGATTTTATAATCAATGGATAAAGTGGGGAAAATGTGGAATAACTTCAAGTACAGGTGTCAGAATCTCTTCGGTCATGAAGGAGGAAGCTGTAGTGAAAATGTTAACATGAACTCCGACAAATGTCTGTCTGTCAAAGAGAAAAACATCAGCATAGGAGACTCAACTCCTCAGCACCAAAACCGTCCCTTAAGAGAAGATGTTGCCTTACAACTGGGATTAAGCCCTTCAAATAATTCTTCAAAGAGAAATCAAAATTGTGCCACCGAAATTCCTCAAATTGTTGAAATAAGCATCGAAAAGGATAATGATTCTTGTGTTACCCCAGGAACAAGAGTTGCACGAAGAGATTCCTACTCTCGACATGCTCCATGGGGTGCGAGGAAAAAACATTCCTGTTCTACTAAGACCTAGAGTTCATTGGATACTGATCAAATGTTTGTTAGAACTCGAAGTGGACTTCAAAGGAGAGAGAGGCGCTATGGTGTAAGTTCTGTACACGACATGGACAGTGTGTCCAGCAGAACTGTAGGAAGTCGCTCTCTGAGAAAGACGTTGCAGGATACTGTGGGCTTGTGTTTTCCCATGAGAACTTACAGCAAGCAGTCAAAGCCTCTCTCTTCCAATAAAAGAAAAATCCATCTTTCTGAATTAATGCTTGAGAAATGCCCTTTTCCTGCTGGCTCAGATTTAGCCCAAAAATGGCATTTGATTAAACAGCATACAGCTCCTGTGAGCCCACATTCAACATTTTTTGATACACTTGATCCATCTTTGGTTTCTACAGAAGACGAAGAAGTTAGGCTTAGAAAGACAAGACGGCTTAGTATTGAAGAAGGGGTTGATCCCCCGCCCAGTGCACAAGTACATACATTTGAAGCTACTGCACAGGTTAATCCATTATATAAACTGGGACCAAAGTTAGCTCCCGGAATGACTGAAATAAGTGGGGACAGTTCTGCAATTCCACAAGTTAATTGTGACTCGGAAGAGGATACAACCACCCTGTGTTTGCAATCACGGAGGTAGAAGCAGCGTCAGATATCTGGAGACAGCCATACCCATGTTAGCAGACAAGGAGCTTGGAAAGTCCACACACAGATTGATTACATATAGGTCTCGTGCCTGATTTGCTTCAAATTACAGGGAATCCCTGTTACTGGGGAGTGGTGGACCGTTATGAAGCAGAAGCCCTTCTTGAAGGGAAACCTGAAGGCACGTTTTTGCTCAGGGACTCTGCACAAGAGGACTACCGGAAACTCTGTGAGTTTCCGCCTCTACAATAGATCCCTGCATGCCCGAGTTGAGCAGTGGAATCACAACTTTAGTTTCGATGCCATGACCCGTGTATATTTCATTCCTCCACGGTAACTGGACTTTTAGAACATTATAAAGATCTCAGTTAGTGCATGTTTTTTTGAACCATTGCTTGCTATATCACTAAATAGGACTTTTCCTTTTAGCCTGCGGTATATCTGTCGCACAGTAATCTGCAGATGCACTACGTATGATGGAATTGATGGGCTCCCTCTACCCTCAATGTTACAGGACTTTTTAAAAAAGTATCATTATAGAACGGGTGCGGTGGCTCACGCCTGTAATCCCAGCACTTTGGGAGGCCGAGGCGGGAGGATCATGAGGGAAGGAGATCGAGACCATCCTGGCTAACACGGTGAAACCCTACTAAAAATACAAAAAAAAAAACAAACATTAGCCATGTGTGGTGGCGGGGGCCTGTAGTCCCAGCTACTCGGGAGGCTGAGGCAGGAGAATGTTGTGAACCCGGGAGGCGGAGCTTGTAGTGAGCCGAGATTGCTCCACTGCACTCCAGCCTGGGCGACAGAGCGAGACTCCATCTCAAAAAAAAAAAAAAAAAAAAAAAAAAAAAAAAAAGTATCATTATAAACACAAAGTTAGAGTTTGCTGGTTAGAACGAGAACCAGTCAAGGCAGAGTAAACTCTCCTGTCCCCAAAGGGTGTTAACTAGGTCCGCTTTCATGTGCATCAGGCAGTACACCTACAGCAAACACACGTAGCAGTGTTAGGCTTTTTCATACAGTATGTAAGCTTAGTGTTAGTGTCTGTCAGATGCGACCTACTGTTATTTGTTCAGATAAACATGGTGCCTATTGGAACAACAGAGGATAGAGCTACAGGTGTTCAGTAAGACTACAAACACATTTTGCCGATTTCACTAACAATTTGGTTTTTAATGGCTGTAGTATTTGAGTGAGGCAACACTGGGGCATTTGTTATGAAGAATTCTATTTCTTACTGAGGAACAAATTATTAATACTGAATGAGTATTTCAACAGTGTGACTAATGTTTGAAATTATTTTTTCTAAGAGTTTTTCTACAATCTTCCAAACGTAATGATGTTTGTATTTACTATAAATCAAGCTTTGGAAGTCGAAAAAATAAATAAATAAAAGACTGCCTTCATTTTAGAAAAAAATGCAATTTTCTGGCCACAAGGGCATAGTGCAGTTCACTTAACTGTTGATGTAGTTTATAATCAGACGCCTTTTCTCTTCTGCAAAAGGTACTGTTAAGAAAACCAGATTTTCTAAATAGCCATTCTTAAAATTTCAGACTTACAAAGCTAGTAGTAGAATTTTATTGAAAGGCCCTAGGTTTTTTTTTTTTAATGAGTGCTTTAACTTAAAACAGGCATTTGAAATACCTGTTGCAATGCAGTCTTGCGTGTGATTTTTTTTCAGTTGATGTACAGTCTAATTGTTTCATAAAAGTTGGATCTTTTCCTATGTCCAGGATGATTTTGTGAACTATGAAGTACATGAGACTAGAAGATGCCCAAGCAAGTCAGATAATAGTAACTACAATGGTTGCTGGTTGCTGATATTGAGGTTATTGTTGAACTGTAATTAATAATTTGGATGGCAGTATTTATCTCTTTTTTGTAAACTCTCATACCTGAATTGCTTAAGTATAATTTATAGAATTTCAGTGCAGTTAATTCTTTTTTTTTTTTTTGAGACGGAGTCTCTCTCTGTCGCCCAGGCTGGAGTGCAGTGGCGCGATCTCGACTCACTGCAAGCTCTGTCTCCCGGGTTCATGCCATTCTCCTGCCTTAGCTTCCCGAGTAGCTGGGACTACAGGCGCCCGCCACCACGCCCTGCTAATTTTTTGTACTTTTAGTAGAGACGGGGTTTCACCGTGTTGGCCAGTATGGTCTCGATTTCCTGACCTCGTGATCCACCCGCCTCAGCCTCCCAAAGTGCTGGGATTACAGGCGTGAGCCACTGCGCCCAGCCCAGTGCAGTTAATTCTTAATGGAAAATCAGAAACCTAAATTGCAGATTTAAAAGGTACTGTACAGCCATTATATCTGTAAATAACTTAGCACGTTTTTGTCACTTAGAATAATATGTGCTACTACGTGAGTGAGCTCTTTTGGAAGTTATATCAAGTTCTAGTGTTTGTTTCTTAATAACTGAACTGAATTTGCAGTCCTAGACATTTTGCACTAAAGTAGCCGAATCCATTCTTGTGCCTTTTTGTTAATGTGCTCTGTATCACTGGTGAGTGCTTCATAGTTTCCTTACCTGCTGCTACAGAATGTTATTTTACATCTTTATGGCTATCGCCAAGGCTGCAAAAAAGAAAAGCTATATTTGTATACAACACTAACCCTTTGACTGCTAATGTATGTTTTTGCTTGCTGTGCCTTGTTATGACTGCTTTTTTGTGCTAATAAAGTATGTTTGGTGTAAAAAAAGAGATTATATGAAGAATATGCCATAGGGAGGTCGGCTGTTTTTCTATGCAAGATGTAACTATTAGTAAGTTTGCATTTGCTTATCCAATATCCATTCTCCCTTTCTTTCTAACATTCCATCGCCATCTTACAGACAACGGTAACAGGCTTATAGAAGTTAACTCAACCATCCCGGCTAAAACGGTGAAACCCCGTCTCTACTAAAAATACAAAAAATTAGCCGGGCGTAGTGGCGGGCGCCTGTAGTCCCAGCTACTTGGGAGGCTGAGGCAGGAGAATGGCGTGAACCCGGGAGGCGGAGCTTGCAGTGAGCCGAGATCCCGCCACTGCACTCCAGCCTGGGCGACAGAGCGAGACTCCGTCTCAAAAAAAAAAAAAAAAAAAAAGAAGTTAAGTCAACCAGTGTCACACAGTTTGTACATTACAGAATCAGGTCAGAAAGCTAGAACTTTGAATTCCAAGCCCAGTGTCCCTTGAAGGCTACAGCAGACAATCCTCTTTCCTTTTCATCATTTCAGTTGTCCTTGTCTAAATTTTCTCCTTTTTCCCCACACCATCTGTAAGCGAGTCAGAACTATATCCATGAATTTTAGATCCACTGGCCACCAGTTTAGCAAGGATATCATGGCAAGTACTGCAAGTTGCCCACAAAATATCTATTCTCCTCATCCTCCTTATAGCCAAACTGAATTTTGTTCAGAGTGGCACTGTGCCCAGATTTCTCAAGTTCTTTCTCAGCTAAAGCTGGCCATATGATACATCTCTAGCCTAGAACATATAAATGGAGGGCCAGGCATGGTGGCTCATGCCTGTAATCCCAGCAGTTTTGGAGGCCGAGGCAGGCAGATCACCTGAGGTCAGGAGTTCAAGACCAGCCTGACCAACGTGGCAAAACCCCATCTCCACTAAAAGTATAAAAATTAGCTGAGCTAACTGTTGTCCTAGTTACTTGGGAGGCTGAGGCAGGAGAATCGCTTGAACCTGGGAGGCAGAGGTTGCAGTGAGCAGAGAATGTGCCACTGCACTCCAGGCTGGGTAACAGAGCAAGACTCTGTCTCAAAAAAAAAAAAAAAAAAGAAAAAGAAAAAGAAAAAAAAAAGAAAAAGAAAAGAAAAGAAAAAAGGAAAGAAAGAAAATATAAATGGAGAGCTTATAGCTTATAGATGGGCCCTCCAGGAATGTTGCTTTTTTCCTAATTAGAAAGAACAGACTTAATTGGAAAATGTTTTTTGTCCTTTGCACTTTCTCCTTCTCCTTTTCTGGAACACACTTATGAGCCTGCTGATGCAGCAGCCATCTTATAATCAAGAAGTGTCAAGCATGAAACTACTAAACATATTGTAAGGTGGCAGGACTTGAGGAAAAAATGAGCCTGGTTCTGGAGCTGCTATAGCAGCCCTCAACTGCCTCCCCTGGGAACCTTGTTAAATAATAAAAAATAACCTTTGGACTATCCACCAAGTTGGATGCTAAATGCTTTCCCACCTGATTACCTCTCCAAAGGGAATATATAAAAAGGGACATTCTACAGACATGAAAGTTGTGACTTTAGGAGAGCTAAAACTGCTAATAATTCATCTTTCCAATCCAACAGATTATAGGAAATACAAAGTCCATACGAGTGAATTTCCCTTCTTTTCTTTCTTTCTTTTTTCTCTCTATTTTTTTTTTTTTTTTCTGAGATGGACTCTGGCTCTGTCATCCAGGCTGGAGTCTAGTGTCATGATCTTGGCTCCTTGCAATCTCTGCCTCCCAGGTTCAAGTGATTCTCCTGCCTCAGCCTCCTGAGTAGTGGGGATTACAGGAGCACATCACTACACCCGGCTAATTCTTGTATTTTTAGGAAAGACGGAGTATCACCATGTTGGCCAGGCTGGTCTCGAACTCCTGCCCTCAAGTGATCCACCCGCCTTGGCCTCCAAAGTGCTGGGATTACAGGTGTGAACCACTGCACCCAGCCGAATTTCCCTTTTCGGTGAGATACCACTACTGGAAACTCAGTTTTTCACTCCAGCAGATTACATGAAGAAAAGATTGTTTAGAAATATATATTATTAACCTAAGTGATAAATCCTTACTAATAACTCATCTTTCTTCTCCATGAAGGTAACACAATTTACAGAGGCAGTGCAAGATTAAGATTTTTTGAGGCTCTAAATATGAAAAATGCAGTGAGCCACCCGAACTTCATTACACAATTCAAAAGAAAATAACCATACGTTTAAGGAATTCAATCAAGTTTTGAATTTTCTCCTACTTCAAAGCATTATTAAAAATACTAAATTCTTTTTGCTTTTCCTTTTTCTTTGGGTTCCTGCTTGGTTTATAGCCAAAAAACATGCTTGATCTACTTTTTTTTGAGCAGTTAAGCACTGAACACAATGCACTAAGAAGAATATTGCTTTTCTGGGTGAAATGGAATTCTTCACAACTTGGCATTTTTCCCATGAAAGTTGTAAGAGTTACACACTCCACAAAGCTATGTCACTTCTCTGCATGAGACAGAAATACACCTAACTTTATTCCCCTCTGCAGATTATGTAAAGAAAGCAAGGCCCAAAGTTGTATGTTTAATCTCTGACAAACAAGTATTTTTATCTTTGTCTTCTTACATCGGGGTACACGTAGTGCCCAATGCACAGTAGTGTATTATTACCTTTCTCCAGGAAATACAACTGCTGGTAACTCAGATTTCCTCCCCAAGAAAATTATATGAAATGTACAATACAAATGTGTACATTGGGTGACACCTGATTGCGTGAACTACACTCTGTACAGCATTGCACATTGCTTCTCTGGTTGATGGATTGGCAAACTGTAGGTCAAATCCAGCCCATTGCTTGTTTTTCAAAAAAAAGTTTTACTGGAACACAACTATGCTAGTTTATTTCCTTTCTTTCTATTGCTACTTCCACACAACAATGGTGGAATTGAGTAGTTGTGACAGAGATCACATGACTCTCAAAACCTAAACTAATCACTAGCTTTCTGTAAAGGGCCAACCCCTGCTACTGTGAAATCCAAGTTTTGGTAGCTCAGCTGCCCTCCCAAAGCATACTACAGGACACACTCACTACACAGAAATATATGTTGGTTCCTATGCCTAGTCCTTCTAATGGTAACTTTGTTTTCCTTCTTAAAGAAGCAACATAAAGTTTGGTGTAGAGTATATTTAGTGAATTAGTAGTTGCCAAATTCAACAAGCATTTTCTCCCTCTTTTTCTTCCTGTCAAAACCCCATTTTGTTTTGACAAAACATGGCTTCTTCCATGCAGCCATGGTCGTCATGGAAACAACTTAATCCCAACTCCAAAGGGGTCTCTTGATTCACTTAAGAGTAATGCAATTCCCCTTGCCTATGACTGCCTCAGAAATGGGCATATATCAGTTAGCTTTTGCTTCTTAACGAACCACTCCTAAACTTAGTGGCTTAAAATAACAAACATTTATTACTTCTCATAATTCTGTGGGTCATCTAAGTGGTTTTCATATCTGGGCTGGCTCAAAGTCGGTTGTTTAGGACAGCATGGCCTCATTCTCACATCTTGTTGGTTGGTGAGGGTTGGGGTGGGGGGCAGTGCTCAGCTGGGATGTCTTGTTTCTGCTCCACATGGTCACTTGTCCTCCCTCAATCACAGGCTTCTTAACATGGTAGCCTCAGAGTTCCACAGATCAGCAAAAGATGGCAAGCTCCAATGTACAAACACTTTTTAAGTCTCCGCTTACAACAAATTTACTAATGTTTCACTGGCAAAAACAACTCACGTGCTGAGACCATGTTCAAGGGGTAGAGAAATAGACTCTACCACTTAATGGGAAGAGCTGCAAGTGGCATTCCAGAGAGGCGGGGGGAAAATGTATAGTGGTTTTTGTCATCTGTCCAGGATGTATGACCCATTTTGGGCTAGGGAGAGAGAAAGGAGGCACCTGAAAAAGATTTTTTGGCATTCTGAGCAAGCATACAGAAACAGTTCTGTCTTGTAGGGGACAAAATTGTGAGTGGCTATCAGAGACAGAACACCATAATCATGTTGCTCTCTGCCTGGGGATGAAGCCAATACCTAGAGGAGGGCAGAGCAAGAAATTCAAAGTGTAACAGAGCCAGAGTTACTGGCCTTAGCTAACCCTGAAGCCCACCCTCCCTTGGTTGTTCAGTAACCCATACCAAAACATTTCCTTTTTCATTAAGCCATTTTGAGTTGGGCTTTCCATTTATCAAAGATAGCATTCTCTAAACTTTCCACTTTCAATAGCACTTGCCTAGGACTGTTTTTTCTTAAGAGACAGAGTCTTGCTCTGTCACCTAGACTGGAATGCAGTGGCACAATCATAGCTTACTGCAGCCTCCAGCTCCTGGGCTCAAGGAATCCTCCTGCCTCAGCCTCCTGAGTAGCTGAGACTGCAGGCATGTGCCACCACACCCAGCTAATTAAAAAAAATTTTTTTTGTAGAGGTGGGGGTCTTAATATGTTGCCCAGGCTGGTATCCAACTCCTGGACTTAAGCAATTCCTGGCTCTTGATGAGTTGACAGATGTTACTGATACTGCTCTACTGATCAGTTGTTGATATTCTAGAAGTCAGTGCTGAGTTTGAAGTGACTAAAGAATTATCCTTTATGAGTAATACGCACATAACAACTGCAGGTAAGAATATTTTCAACGAAGCTGAGAAAACACCAATTCAGTACAACCTAAAGTAGAATCTGCTAAGAGTGATACAAATGACAGTAAAACAAAACAAAAAAAAAATGTGTGAAGCAGGAAAGTCTTAGTCGATAAATGCACAAGGCTTGTGAGCATGTAGGTTGTTAAAAACACATGGTTATTCATAGAAGATAGTGTGTGGAAATGCCTTAGATATGTTGTTGAACCAGTAATGTCAACAGTGAGCTTCATTTGCTCTTGTAGACCAAATCACTGTCAGTTCTGTATATTTTTGTCAGAAATAAAAGCTAGATATCCCAACTTGCCCTACTATATGCTAGTTGAATGACTTAGGAGTGATAAAGTTTTATTATGATTTTTTGAAATCAGAACTAAGATTGAATTTTTTCTAAATAAGAACCATCTTCAACCATTATCAAAACTGAATGGCAGCTGGGCGTGGTGACTCACGTCTGTAATCCCAGCACTTTGGGAGGCTGAGGCAGGTGGATCACGAGGTCAGGAAATCGAGACCATCCTGGCTAACACGGTGAAACCCTGTCTCTACTAAAAATATAAAAAAATTAGCTGGGCGTGGTGGCGGGCGCCTGTAGTCCCAGCTACTTGGGAGGCTGAGGCAGGAGAATGGCGTGAACCTGGGAGGCGGAGCTTTCAGTGAGCCGATATTGCGCCACTGCACTCCAGCCTGGGTGACAGAGTGAGACTCTGTCTCAAAACAAACAAAACAAAACAAAAGAAAATGGCTTTGGAGGCCGGGCGTGGTGGCTCACGCCTGTAATCCCAGCACTTTGGGAGGCCGAGGCGGGTGGATCATGAGGTCAGGAGATCGAGACCATCCTGGCTAACAAGGTGAAACCCCGTCTCTACTAAAAATACAAAAAATTAGCCGGGCGCGGTGGCGGGCGCCTGTAGTCCCAGCTACTCGGGAGGCTGAGGCAGGAGAATGGCATGAACCCGGGAAGCGGAGCTTGCAGTGAGCCGAGATTGCGCCACTGCAGTCCGCAGTCTGGCCTGGGCAACAGAGCGAGACTCCGTCTCAAAAAAAAAAAAAAAAAGAAAATGGCTTTGGAAACTGGATTTTTGTTGTAGACTTGATAATGTTTCCCAATGAATTACAAGGCAAAACAGTTCTTATATGTGAAACTTATACTGTAGTAAAGTTATTCTGACAACTGACATAGTCTGAATCACAAGCAAAATCAAGCTGCTCTATATGCTTTTTTTGGCTATTGAAAGTTAAAAAAAGAAGTGAGATCTTCACTCCTATCCAAACTGGCTGCAGGCATGTTTTTTGAACTCAAATCACAGTTCCAGAAGTAGTTTTCAGATCACAACTTGATGCAAGTGCAAAGGAAATAAGAAAATTTCCTTCCTCCCTCCCTCCCTTCCTCCTTCCCTTCCTTCCTTCCTTCCTTCCTTCCTTCCTTCCTTCCTTCCTTCCTTCCTTCCTTCCTCCCTCCCTCCCTTCCTTCCTTCTTTCCTTCTTTCCTCTCTATCTCTTTTTCTTTCTTGCTTTGTGGAGACCAGGTCTTGCCATTTTGCCTAGGCTGGTCTTGAACTCCTAGGCTTAAGTGATTCTCCCTCCTCAGCCTCCCAAAGAGAAATTTTCATATTTACAAATCCATTTAAGAGGCAATTGAAAAAACATTTAAATTTTAATTTTAAAAAAGAGGCAGTGGAGTGGCCGGGTGCGGTGGCTCACGCCTGTAATCCCAGCACTTTGGGAGGCCAAGGTGGATGGATCACCTGAGGTCAGGAGTTCAAGACCAGCCTGGCCAACAAGGTGAAACCCTGTCTCTACTAAAATACAAAAATTAGCCGGGCATGATGGCGGGTGCCTGTAATCCCAGCTACTCGGGAGGCTGAGATGGGAGAATCACTTGAACCCAGGAGATGGTGGTTGTGGTGAGCCAAGATCATGCCACTGCACTCCAGCCTGGGTGGCTGAGGGAGACTCCGTCAAAAAAAAAAAAGAAAAGAAAAGAGAAGAAAAAAGAAAATGTGTTTTCACATAGAAAATATAAGGGCAAATGCAAATTAAAAATAAGAGGTTCAATTTACTCTGGTGAAAACAGGAGAAGAGATTTCCCTCCCCTCCTTTTTCTCAGGACATTTACCTTAGAAAACTTGTAAGTATTTTCTCTTTTCTTTGAAATACATATGTATATATAGGCTTTTGAAGACTAGGCAGGACTTTTGCCAACTGGCCTTTTCTCAGCTCCATGACCAAGGAATGTTTTTCTCGAGGACCTGAAAGCCATCTCTTTGAATAGCAAAAATTAGAGCTTAGCTTCGGTGGGTGCCCTGCTTGAAGTTGCAAAACTACCTCTGCCATAAAAAGTTGAGAAGATTTTCCTCTGGATAAAGCCAATTAGCTAACATAGATGGTCACTCCAATTACCACAATAAAGTTGGGAAAAACCATGTGACAAAAGGTGCTGCCAAGACCTCTTATTTGAAGACTAGTTATTGTTTATCTTGAAAGCATGTATGTAATGGGTTGTATCTGTTCGGCTATATAAGGAGGCGAGATTTCTTTCTGCCTTTTCAATCTCTTTGTAGGTTGCCTGTGATATGTGTTACATTCTAGTTTAATGCTTCTTTAATAGTGTATTCTTTCCCTGCTACCTTTGTAGAGAGAATTTCTGGGTTGGAAGAAGGATTTGTTTTTAATTATATTTCCCCAACAAAGGTTTGTGGAAACTTTTCCACTGCGTTTTTTTGTTGTTGTTGTTGAGATGCAGTCTCGCTCTGTTGCCCAGGCTGTAGTGCAGTGGCTCAGTCTCAGCTCATTGCAAGCTCTGCCTCCCGGGTTCACGCCATTCTCCTGCCTCAGCCTCCAGAGTAGCTGGGACTGCAGGCATCCACCACCACACCTGGCTAATTTTTTTGTATTTTTTTAGTAGAGACGGGGTTTCACCATGTTAGCCAGGATGGTCTCGATCTCCTGACCTCGTGATCTGCCCCCCTTGGCTTCCCAAAGTGCTGGGATTACAGGTTTGAGCCACCGTGCCCAGCCAAAACACATTTTCTGGTTTGTTTGTTTTTGTAATTTAAGACCAAATAATTTATTTTGGGAAATTTATTGTGAATAGACATTAAAAATAGGTTCATTTGTGCAAAGTAATCTAAACAATGAATGTTTGTGCATATATATATATATATATATATATATATACTGATATATATATACGCACATATACACATACATAACACAATTCTGTATGGGAAATTCATTAAACAACGAGTAGAGTCAACAGTTTGAGTCTCTCAATAACTTAGTAAAAAGCAATATTGATCTTTATAAAAATAATTTTAAAACTTTTTTCTGTTTGTGAAAAATAAAATATCAATTTGAAAATTACTGTCAGACCATGAAGGCAAATAAGAAGTAATATAATCTATCTTCATTTATAGATGAGGAAGAAAGTGACTCCAGAAAAGTTAAATAAAACTTTCTTAAAATTATGTAGGCAGTTATAGTGGCAGAGCTGGGTTATTAATCTGTTACTCCTCACTTACAGTTCAGTGGTTTGGTTTTTTTGTTTGTTTGTTTTGTTTATTCTGCTCCTACTGTTTCCATCTCAGCCTTAACATTTCCTTTTATTCTTCATTTGAGCTAAGCATTCTTTTCTTCTAAAGAAGACCATCGACTTTATTTGAATCATAAGTCACACACACAAACACACACACACACACACACACACACACACTCCTGCAGAACAATCTGGAAAATCTGAACACACTGGATATCTGACGACAATAGGAATGATTATTAAAGATGTGAAAATAGGGCTGGTCGCGGTGGCTCATGCCTGTAATCCCAGCACTTTGGGAGGCCGAGGCGGGCGGATCACGAGGTCAGGAGATCGAGATCATACTGGCTAACACGGTGAAACCCTGTCTCTATTAAAAATACAAAAAATTAGCCGGGCGTGGTGGCGGGCACCTGTAGTCCCAGCTACTCAGGAGGCTGAGGCAGAAGAATGGCATGAACCCGGGAGGTGGAGCTTACAGTGAGCCGAGATCGCGCCACTGCACTCCAGCCTGGGCGACAGAGTGAGACTCCATCTCAAAAAAAAAAAGAAAAAGTGGAAATAGAATTGTGATTTCATTTTTTTTCAATAGGTTTTTGAGGAACAGGTGGCATTTGGTTACATGAGTAAGTTCTTTAGTGATGATTTGTGAGATTTTGGTGCACCCATCATCCAAGGAATGTAACGGTGCCCTATGTGTAGTCTTTTTTTTTTTTTTTTTTTTTTTTTTTTGAGACGGAGTCTCACTCTGTCGCCCAGGCTGGAGTGCAGTGGCGCGATCTCAGCTCACTGCAAGCTCCACCTCCCGGGTTCATGCCATTCTCCTGCCTCAGCCTCCTGAGTAGCTGGGACTACAGGCGCCTGCCACCACGCCCGGCTAATTTTTTGTATTTTTGTATTTTAATAGAGACGGGGTTTCACTGTGTTAGCCAGGATGGTCTCGATCTCCTGACCTCGTGATCCGCCCACCTTGGCCTCCCAAAGTGCTGGGATTACAGGCGTGAGCCACCACGCCCGGCCCCAGTGTGTAGTCTTTTATCCCTCACCCCCTCCCACCCTTTCCTCTAAGTCCCCAAAGTCCATTGGATCATTCTCATGCCTTTGCATCCTCATTGCTTAGCTCCCACTTATGAGTGAGAACATACGATGTTTCATTTTCCATTTCTGAGTTACTTCACTTAGAATAATGGTCTCCAGTTCCATCCAGGGTTGCTGCAAATGCCATTATTTCATTCCTTTTCATGTCTGAGTAGTATTCCATGGTATATATATCACATTTTCTTTATCCACTCATTGATAGCATTTGGGCTGGTTCCATATCTTTGTAATTGGAATTATGCTACTATAAACATGTGTGTGCAAGTATCTTTTTCATATAATGACTTCTTTTCCTTTGGATAGATACCCAGGAGTGGGATTCCTGGATGAAATGGTAGATTTACTTTTAGTTCTTTAAGAAATCTCCACGCTGTTATCTATAGTGGTTGTACTAGTTTACATTCCCACCAACAATGTAAAAGTGTTCTCTTTCACCACATCCACGCCAACATGTATTATTTATTATGGCCATTCTTGCAGGAGTAAGGTGGTATCACATTGTGGTTTTGATTTGCATTTCCCTGATAATTAATGATGTTGAGCATTTATCCATGTTTGTTGGGTATTTGTGTATCTTCTTTTGATAATTATGTATTCAAGTCCTTAGCCCACTTTTGGATGGGATTGTTTGTTTTGTTCTTGCTAATTTGTTTGAGTTCCTTGTAGATTCTGGATATTAGTCCTTTGTCAGATGTATAGATTGCAATGATTTTCTCCCACTCTGTAGGTTGTCTGTTTACTCTGTGATGAGTTCTTTTGCTGTGCAGAAGCTTATAGTTTAATTAAGTTCCATCTATTTATCTTTGTTTTTGTTTGTTGTGTTTGCTTCTGGGTTCTTGGTTATGAAGTCTTTGCCTAAGCCAATGTCTAGAAGGGTTTTTCCAATGTTATCTTCTTTTTTTTTTTTTTTTTTTTTTTTTTTGAGACGGAGTCTCGCTCTGTCACCCAGGCTGGAGTGCTGTGGCGCAATCTCAGCTCACTGCAAGCTCTGCCTCCCGGGTTCACGCCATTCTCCTGCCTCAGCCTCCCAAGTAGCTGGGACTACAGGTGCTCACCACCACATCTGGCTAATTTTTTGTATTTTTAATAGAGACGGGGTTTCACCTTGTTAGCCAGGATGGTCTTGATCTCCTGACCTCGTGATCAGCCCGCCTCAGCCTCCCAAAGTGCTGGGATTACAGGCGTGAGCCACCGTGCACGGCCCCCTTTTTTTTTTTTTTTTAAGACAGAGTTTCACTCTTATTGCCCAGGCTAGAGTGCAGTGGCACCATCTCGGCTCAATGCAACCTCCACCTCCCAGGTTCTCCTGTCTCAACCTCCTGAGTAGCTGGGGTTACAGGTGCACACCACCATACCTGGCTAATTTTTTGTATTTTTAGTAGGGACAGGATTTCACTATTTCACCCAGGCTGGTATCTTCTGGAATTTTTATGGTTTCAGGTGTTAGATTTAAGCCTTTGATCCATCTTGAGTTGATTTTTGTATAAGGTGAGAGATGAGGATCCAGTTTCATTCTTCTACACATGGCTTGCCAATTATGCCAGCACCATTTGTTGAATAAGGTGTCCCTTTTCCACTTTATGTTTTTGTTTGCTTTGTTGAAGATAAGTTGACTGTAAGTATTAGACTTTATTTCTGAGTTCTCTATTCTGTTCCATTAGTCTATATGCTTGTTTTTATACCAGTACCATTCTGTTTTGGTGACTATGGCCTGATAGTATAGTTTTAAGTCAGGTAATGTAATGCCTCCAGATTTGTTTTTGCTTTTGTTTTTTGTTTAGTCTTGCTTTGGCTATGCGGGCTGTTTTTTTGTTCCATATGAACTTTAGAATTGTTTTTCTAGTTCTGTGAAGACTAATGGTGGTATTTTGATAAAAACTGCATTGAATTTGTAGATTGCTTTTGGCAGTATGGTCATTTTTCACAATATTGATTCTATCCATCCATGAACATGGGATGCGATTCCATTTGTTTGTGTCATCTATTATTTCTTTCAGCAGTGTTTTGTAGTTTTCCTTATAGAGATCTTTCAGCTCCTTGGTTAAGCATATTCCTAAGTATTTTTATATTATGTTATTGCAGCTATTCTAAAAGGGGTTGACTTCTTGATTTGATTCTCAGCTTTGTTGCTGTTGGTGTATAGCAGGGCTACTGATTTCTGTACCTTAATTTTGAGTCCTGAAAGTTGGCTGAATTCATTTACCAGTTTTAGGAGCTTTTTGGATGAGCCTTTAGGGTTTTCTAGGTATAAAACCATGTCATCAGCAAACAGCAACAGTTTGACTTCTCCTTTATCAATCTGGATGCCCTTATTTATTTATGTTTTTTTCTCTTGTCTGGTTGCTGTGGCTAGAACTTCCAATACTATGTTGAATAGAAGTGATGAAAGTAGGCATCTTTGTCTTGTTCCATTTCTCCGGGGGAATACTGTCAACTTTTCCTCATTCAGTATAATGTTGGCTGTGGATTTGTCATAGATGGCTTTAATTATTTTAAAGTATGTCCCTTCTTTTTATTATTATTATTATTATACTTTAAGTTTTAGGGTACATGTGCACAATGTGCAGGTTAGTTTCATATGTATACATGTGCCATGCTGGTGTGCTGCACCCATTAACTCATCATTTAGCATTAGGTTTATCTCCTAATGCTATCCGTCCCCCTTCCCCTCACCCCACAACAGTCCCCAGAGTGTGATGTTCCCCTTCCTGTGTCCATGTGTTCTCATTGTTCAATTCCCATCTATGAGTGAGAACATGCGGTGTTTGGTTTTTTGTCCTTGAGATAGTTTACTGAGAATGATGATTTCCAATTTCATCCATGTCCCTATAAAGGACATGAACTCATCATTTTTTATGGCTACATAGAATTCCATGGTGTATATGTGCCACATTTTCTTAATCCAGTCTACCCTTGTTGGACATTTGGGTTGGTTCCAAGTCTTTGCTATTGTGAATAGTGTCGCAATAAACGTAAGTGTGCATGTGTCTTTATAGCAGCATGATTTATAGTCCTTTGGGTATATACCCAGTAATGGGATGGCTGGGTCAAATGGTATTTCTAGTTCTAGATCCCTGAGGAATCGCCACACTGACTTCCACAATGGTTGAACTAGTTTACATTCCCACCAACAGGGTAAAAGGGTTCCTATTTCTCCACATCCTCTCCAGCACCTGTTGTTTCCTGACTTTTTAATGATTGCCATTCTAACTGGTGAGAGATGGTATCTCATTGTGGTTTTGATTTGCATTTCTCTGATGGCCAGTGATGATGAGCATTTTTTCGTGTGTCTTTTCGCTGCATAAATGTCTTCCTTTGAGAAGTGTCTGTTCATATCCTTTGCCCACTTTTTGATGGGGTTATCTATGACAAACCCACAGCCAATATCATACTGAATGGGCAAAAACTGGAAGCATTCCCTTTGAAAACTGGCACAAGACAGGGATGCCCTCTCTCACCACTCCTATTCAACATAGTGTTGGAAGTTCTGGCCAGGGCAATTAGGCAGGAGAAGGAAATAATGGGCATTCAATTAGGAAAAGAGGAAGTCAAATTGTCCCTGTTTGCAGACGACATGATTCTATATCTAGAAAACCCCATTGTCTCAGCCCAAAATCTCCTTAAGCTGATAAGCAACTTCAGCAAAGTCTCAGGATACAAAATCAATGTACAAAAATCACAAGCATTCTTATACACCAATAACAGACAGAGAGCCAAATCATGAGTGAACTCCCATTCACAGTTGCTTCAAAGAGAATAAAATACTTAGGAATCCAACTTACAAGGGACGTGAAGAACTACAAACCACTGCTCAATGAAATAAAAGAGGATACAAACAAATGGAAGAACATTCCATGCTCATGGGTAGGAAGAATCAATATTGTGAAAATGGCCATGCTGCTCAAGGTAATTTATAGATTCAATGCCATGCCCATCAAGCTACCAATGACTTTCTTCACAGAATTGGAAAAAACTACTTTAAAGTTCACATGGAACCAAAAAAGAGCCCACATTGCCAAGTCAATCCTAAGCCAAAAGAACAAAGCTGGAGGCATCACGCTACCTGACTTCAAACTATACTACAAGGCTATACAGTAACCAAAACAGCGTGGTACTGGTACCAAAACAGAGATATAGATCAATGGAACAGAACAGAGCCCTCAGGAATAATGCTGCATATCTACAACTATCTGGTCTTTGACAAACCTGAGAAAAACAAGCAATGGGGAAAGGATTCCCTATTTAATAAATGGTGCTGGGAAAACTGGCTAGCCATATGTAGAAAGCTGAAACTGGATCCCTTCCTTACACTTTATACAAAAATTAATTCAAGATGGTTTAAAGACTTAAATGTTAGACCTAAAACCATAAAAACCCTAGAAGAAAACCTAGGCATTACCATTCAGGACATAGGCATGGGCAAGGACT
Source organism: Homo sapiens (assembly GCF_000001405.40). NCBI lineage: Eukaryota > Metazoa > Chordata > Mammalia > Primates > Hominidae > Homo > Homo sapiens. Next base: position 44,693,434 of record NC_000003.12, on the reverse strand, counting down.
TCATGTCTAAAACACCAAAAGCAATGGCAACAAAAGCCAAAATTGGCAAATGGGATCTAATTAAACTAAAGAGCTTCTGCACAGCAAAAGAAACTACCATCAGAGTGAACAGCCAACCTACAAAATGGGAGAAAATTTTCGCAACCTACTCATCTGACAAAGGGCTAATATCCAGAATCTACAATGAACTCAAACAAATTTACTAGAAAAGTATGTCCCTTCTAAGCCAATTTTGCTGAGGGTTTTTTTGTTTTGTTTTGTTCTTTTGATATGGAGTTTTGTTCTTGTTGCCCAGGCTGGAGTGCAATGACCTGGTCCCGGCTCACTGCAACCTCCGCCTCCCAGGTTCAAGCAGTTCTCTTACCTCAGCCTCCCGAGTAGCTGGGATTACAGGCGTGTGCCACCATGCCTGACTAATTTTTCTATATTTTTAGTAGAGATGGGGTTTCACCATGTTGGCCAGGCTGGTCTCAAACTCCTGACCTCAGGTGATCCATCCATCTTGGCCTCCAAAAGTGCTGGGATCACAGGTGTGAGTCATCATGCCTGGCCTTGCTGAGGGTTTTTAATCATAAAAGGATGCTGGATTTTGTCAAATACTTTTTCTGCATCTATTGAGATGATCGTGTGATTTTTGTTTTTAATTCTGTTTATGTGGTGTATCACATTTATTGACTTGCCGATGTTAAACCATCCCTGCATCCCTGGTATGAAACCCACTCGATCATGGTGGGTTATCTTTTTGTTATGCTGTTGGATTTGGTTAGCTAGTATTTTGTTGAGGATTTTTGCATCTACGTTCATCAGGGATATTGGTCTGCAGTTTTCTTTTTTTGTTATATCCTTTCCTAGTTTTTGTATTAGGGTGATACTGGCTTCATAGAATGACTTAGGGAGGATTCCTTCTTTCTCTATCTTTTGGAGTAGTGTCAGTAGAATTGGTATCAATTCTTTGAATGTTGGATAGAATTCAACTGTCCATCTTTCTGGTCCTGGACTTTTTTTTTGTTGGTAACTTAATTACCATTTCAATCTTGCTGCTTGTTATTAGTCTGTTCAGAGTTTCCATTTCTTCCTGTTTAATCTAGGAGGGGTGCATATTTCCATTTCTTCCTGGTTTAATCTAGGAGGGTTGCATATTTCCAGGAATTCATCCATCTCCTTGGTATTAGTCAGAATATCTCCTGTTTTGTTTCTAATTGAGCTTATTTGGATCTTATCCTTTATTTTCTTTGTTAATGTCACTAATGGTCTATCAATTTTATTTATCTTTTCAAATGACCAACTTTTTGTTTCATTTATCTTTTGTATTTTTTTTTGTTTCAATTTCATTTTGTTCTGTTCTGATCTTGGTTATTTCTTGTTTTCTGCTGCATTTGGGTTAGGTTTGTTCTTGTTTCTCTAGCTCCTTGAGGTGTGACCTCAGATTGTCTGTTTGTGCTCCTTCAGACTTTTTGATGAACTTTGCTCTTAACACCACCTTGCTGTATCCCAGAAGTTTTGATAGGTTGTTTCACTATTATTGTTCAGTTCAAAGAATATTTTAATTTCCATCTTGATTTCACTGTTGACCCAACAATCATTCAGGAGCAGGTTATTTAATTTCCATGTCTTTGCATGGTTTTGTGGGTTCCTTTTGGAGTTGATTTCCAGTTTTATTCCACTGTGGTCTGAGAGAGTACTGGCTATAATTTCCATTTACCTATATTTGTTGAGACTTGTTTTGGGGCCTATTATATGGTCTATCTTAACGTTCCATGTGCTGGTGAATAGAATATATATTCTACAGTTGTTGGGTATCTGTCAATATCTGTTAAGTCCATTTGTTCTAGGATATAGCTTAAGTCCATTGTTTCTTTGTTGACTTTCTGTCTTGATAAGCTGTCTAGTGCTGTCAGTGGAGAATTGAAGTAATCCCACTATTATTGTGTTGCTGTCTATCTCATGTTTTAGATCTAGTAGTCATTGTTTTATAAATTTTGGAGCTCCAGCGTATATATGGGGATTGTTATATTTTATATATATGTTAGGATTGTTATATTTTCCTGCTGGACTAGTCCTTTTATCATTGTATAATATCCCTATTTGTCTTTTTAAATTGCTGTTGCTTTGAAGTTTGTTTTGTCTGATATAAGACTAGCTACTTCTGCTTGCTTTTGATGTAAATTTGCATGGAATATCTTTTTCCATCCCTTTACCTTAAGTTTATGTGAGTCCTTATGTGTTAGGTGAGTCTCTTGAAGACAGCAGATACTTGGTTGGTGAATTCTTCTCCATTCTGCCATTCTGTATCTTTTAAATGGAGCATTTAGGCCATTTACATTCAGTGTTAGTATTAAGATCCAAGGTATTATTCTATTCATTGTGCTATTTGTTGCCTGAATAACTTGGTTTTTTTTCATCATGTTGTTGTTTTATAAGTACTGTGAGATTTATGCTTTCAGGGGACCCTATTTTGGTGTATTTCAAGGATTTGTTTCAAGATTTGGAGCTCCTTTTAGCAGTTTTTATAGTGCTGGCTTGGTAGTGATGAATTCTCTCAGCGTTTGTTTGTCTGAAAAAGATTGTATCTTTCCTTCATTTAGGAAGCTAAGTTTCACTGTATACAAAATTCTTGCCTGATAATTGTTTTGTTTAGGAGGCTAAACATAGAACCCCAATCCCTTATAGCTTGTAGGGTTTCTGCTCAGAAATCTGCTGTTAATCTGATAGGGTTTCCTTTATAGGTTCCTGATGTTTTTGTCTCACAGCTCTTAAGATTCTTTCCTTAGTCTTGACTTTAGATAACCTGATGAGTGTGTGCCTAGGCAATGATCTTTTTGCAATGAATTTCCCAGGTGTTCTTTGAGCTTCTTGTATTTGGATGTCTAGATCTCTAGCAAGACCAGGGAAGTTTTTCTCAATTATTACCTCTAATATGTTTTCCAAGATTTTAGATTTCTTGTCTTCCTTGGGAACAACAATTATTCATAGGTTTGGTCATTTTACATAATCCCAAATTTCTTAGAAGTTTTGTTCATTTTTTAAAATTCTCTTTTCTTGGTCTTTGATGAACTGGGTTAATTTGAAAGGCTTGTCTTTGAGCTCTGATATTCTTTTCCTTCTTGTTTGAGTCTATTGCTGAGACTTTCCAGTGCATTTCCAATTCTCTAAATGTGTCCTTGATTTCCAGAAGTTGTAATTTTTATTTATGCTACCTATTTCACTGGAGAGTTTCCCCTTCATATACTGTATCATTTAAAAAATTTTTTTTAAGTTGGACCTCATCTTTCTCTGATGCCTGCTTGGTTGGCTTAATAGTTGACTGTCTGAATTCTTTTTCTGGCAATTCACAGATTTTGTCTTGGTTTGGATCCATTGCTGGTGAGCTGGTGTGAAAGTAGTGAAAGTACAGCTACACCATAGACAAAGTAGGGTGTCCCTGAAAGTAAGAGGAAGAAAGTGTCCACCCTAGGTGCAATGATCATATATATGGGGAGATGTGCTCTGTCTGCTACAAGGGTTTGTGATGTAGGATTAATTTTTTAATTACTATATTTTGCAAGAAAGGATATTATTATTATTATTACTATTTTCAAGATAGAGTTTCACTCTTATTGCCCAGGCTAGAGTGCAATGGTATGATCTTGGCTCACTGTAACCTCCGCCTCCTGGGTTCAGGAGATTCTCGGCCTCAGCCTCCTGAGTAGCTGGGATTACAGGTGCACGCCACCACATCTGGCTAATTTTTGTATTCTTAGTAGAGACAGGGTTTTGCCATGTTGGCCAGTCTGGTCTCAAACTCCTGACCTCAGGTGATCCATCCACCTTGGCCTCCCATCATGCTGGGATTACAGGTGTGAGAAAGCCACCATGCCCAGCCTTTTAAGGGAAGGTTTTTTTTTTGGTTTTTTGTTTGTTTGTTTGTTTCTTTTTGAGACAGAGTCTCACTCTGTTGCCCAGGCTGGAGTGCAGTGGTGTGATCTTGGCTCACTGCAACCTCTGCCTCCCAGGTTCAAGATTCTTCTGCCTCAGCCTCCCAAGTAGCAGGACTACAGGCGCGCACCACCATACCCAGCTCATTTTTTTTTTGTATTTTTAGTAGAGACAGGGTTTCACCATATTGGCCAGGCTGGTCTCGAACTCCTGACCTCGTGATTCACCTGCCTCGGCCTTCCGAAGTGCTGGGATTACAGGTGTGAGCCACTGCACCCGCCAAGGGAATGTTTTATGGCCTGCTTCAGGGGAGAATCATGGGAGAAGGTCAGAGAGACCATCTTGCTTCTGCTGTTTTCTCAAATGGCAAGGTGCCATATTTTATGATAGTGTTTCATGAATCCTATCTCAGCCAACGAAGAATAGATAACCTAATTTTCCCCAAGAGTCTGAAAATGTTAAACTTTACCTGAGTCTGCTCTCCTGGAAAACAGTGACAATTAAAAATCCCCACACCCTTTAGTGTTCTAGGAAATGACTTCCTGCAAAGAGCCATCCTTCCCCATATGACTTAGATGAGACTCACAGATAGCCCCACCCCCTTGTTTGTCTAGACACAGACCCTCCAGATGATTTGCTTTACAAGTGATTAACTGAACTGTTTGTACCCATGACCAATTTGGACAGCATACCTGCTAATTTAACTTGACCAAGCTTTAGTTAAGCTCCTCTCCCTCCCCTAGGTCCTTAAGTTTTGACCTATCTTCGGCCTGAGCCAGTAATGAGATGTAGAACAACCCCTCCTTATTATAAGAACATGTGATGGTTAATTTTAGGTGTCAACTTGACTGGGTTAAGGAATACCCAGATAACTGGTAAAGCACTATTTTGGATGTATGTCTGTGAGAGTGTTCCTGGAAGAGATTGGCATTTGAATCTGTGTTCTGAGTAAGGAAAATGTGCCCTCACACAACATGGGTGGGCACCATCCAAAGGGCTGAGAGCCCAGGTAGAACAAAAAGAGAGAGGTGAATTCACTCTCTCTCTCCTGGAGCTGGGACACCCATCTTCTCCTGGACCTGTGAGACAGGAGTAGCACTGGGTAGTCACAGGAGTATGGAAAAACCTGAACAACAGTTAAAATAAGAACTAGGCAAAGAAACCACAGGATAACAGAAAACTCAAAATAAGGGAGAGAAAATGGCCAAAACCCTGGTCAGGCTGACATGTCCATGACTCTTCTTGGCAAACCCAAATAAGGGAGAAAGGGGGTGGTAATGGGGGGAATAGGGGGCTGGGAGGAGTCTCTGAAATCCCTTTCTTTTCCAAAATACTGAATGATTATTCCACCCCATAATTAAAGAAACACCCATAAAATTAGAAACTCGTTGTGTGTGACTCATTCTCATGAGCACACTCACACTTCTCTCTTAAGTGTGTACTTTTGTTTTGCAATAAAAGCTTCTTGCCTTTCACTTCATTCTGACTTTTCCTTGAATTCTTACTTGCAATGGTGTCATGAAGCTGGAAACCAGCTGGAGCTAGGGTCTCACTGGCATCTGGAGACCCTACTAAGCCCTCCAGCAACACTAGGACATTAGAACTCCAGGTTTTTCAACCTTCAGACTCTGGGACTTGCACCAGTGGCCCTCTCAGTTCTCAGGCCTTCAGACTTGGACTGAGCTATGCTACTTGTTTCCCTGGTTCTCCAGCTCACAAATGGCATATCGTGGGATTTCTCAGCCTCTATAATCATGTGAGTCAATTTCCTTAATAAATTCCTCTTATATATCTACACATCCTATTGGCTCTGGTTCTCTGAAGAACTCTGGCTTATGTGCTCACTGGTAATCAGCTGACTTCAAGGAAAGACATTTCCTGATTAACTATCCAATTATGACACTGGCTCATTCATTCCCTTACACCAGTCTGCTCTAACCTAATTTATTCCTACCTATCAGACATACACACGAGTGTGTCATGTCAATTTACCATTGCTATGGCAACACCCAGGAGTTACCGCACCTTTCCACGGCAATGACCCAATGACCCAAAAGTACTACTCCTTCCCTAGAAAGTTCTGCATAAAATTCTTTTCTGCCTGACCTTCGAGATTGTGAAAGTCGTCAAAATCAAAATGGAGTCACTTGTGTCAAGCCCTAACAAAAAAAAAAAAAGAAATAAATAAAACCAGAAGGTTAAGAAGGGAGGGTCCTCATGCACATATGCCTATGTTATGAAATATTACAAGAACTTTCTATGCATAGGTGCCCATAACAAGAACTTCTGACAAGGGCTTTCTAAGCTGCAGCTTGCTACGTGAGTAAAAGGAAGCTACCTGGATGCACAAGAACACTTGCTTGACACACTCTCTCTGTTAATAAACTGGCATCAACCCCTCTGATAAGTCTTGTAACCAATATTCTCTTTGTTTCAAAACAAATTACGTATGCTTCCTTTTTGCCTTTAAAAACTTTTCCTTGCTTCAACTGATGTAATGCAGGTCTCAATTAATTGAATAACTGTCTTTGTTTTTTGCTTCTGTAATACGTTTTTCCCTGCACAGATTTTCTCCTGCCCCACGAAATGCTTAAAAGGTAACTTAACATTTTGTTCAGGGCTCAGCCTTTGGATGTTAATCCAACTGGGCCAGTGCACCTAAATAATAAATATCCTTCTCAACCCCATCGGTCTCTCTAATTTTTTATCAATCCCGCTACACAACCTCTTTGGATATGCCAATGGTCTGCATAGCCCCCATATACTGGATTTGTGAATCCCCTGTGCACTCCTGAATAAACACCTTATCTTTAGAGAGTCTGTCTGTTATTTGGGTTGACAAGATGTTTGTGGATCTTATGGTCTAAGCATTCTCTCTATTGCAATAGTCCTCCTCTCCCTATTGTAGTAGTACCTTTCTCCCATTTGCAATTGTCCTTTTGAATAAAGCCTGTCTTATCTATGTCTGAGTTTGTTTTTTATTTGACAACTCAAGTAGCTTCACGGTTATGCAAGTCAGGCAAGCCCCAAAGTGGAGCTTAGCCCACAAGGGTTCCTGGCTTTGCCCAGGAAAGACTTCAAGGACAAGCCAGAGGTAGAAGAAAAAACCCCTTCAAAGAGGCGGTGTTACAGCTCTGTAACTGCTCCTGCAAAGGAGGGCTACCCTGTAGGCAGACAGTAGCAGCTCAGGGCAGTTTTGCAGTCATATTTATATCCATTTTTAATCGCATGCAGATTAAGGGGCGACTTATGCAGAACTTTCTAGGGAAGGAGTAGTACTTTTGGGTCACTGCCATGGAAAGGTGCAGTAACTCCGGGGTGTTGCCATGGCAATGGTAAATTGACATGGCACACTGGTGGGTGTGTCTGACTGAAAGCTGCTTCCACCTGGCTCTGTTTTAGTTAGTCCTCAATTTGGTCGAGTGTCTGACCCGGCCTCTGGAGTCAAGTCCTGCTTGCTACCTCAGCAGTTCCATCCCAATCCTACTGCAACGGGTTGGAGAGCATTGACTAGAGAGAATTTTCTAACTTGAATCTTCTAACCTGAATCGTATCTTCTATAAGCACCTCTCAAAAATAAAGGAGCTGTAGAGAGACACTTTTACATTGTAAAAGAAGTAAAAGTTAAACATGTCAATATCTAAGACTTTAATTTTTTCCCCAACATTCTCTGAGGCCTTTGTGTAGATAGTAGATTGTCCTCCCACCCCTAAACACATTGCAGATTTTTAATTGGAATGGATAGGTCAGATGTAGGAGACCCAGGTAAGGAGGCGTCGAGGTCAAAAGACCTCCGAGATTCCTAGAGCGGTCGGCGAGGGGCCTGCAAGTCGCCCCGGCCGCACTTCCGGGACGGCCCATCTTCCTTGGGTACTGAAGCTCGCGAGAGGATCCTGGGGGCAGGCGCGTCGCGGTGGCAGTGTTTCTTGGGTGTGCGGGGCCGGGCGCCCCGTAGCCTCTGGTGAGCGAAAGAGACCGGGGCCGAGCGGGCGCAGGCTTGCCGGGGCTGCGGGCTGCGCTGGCGGCGGGGCCGGGTGGCGGTAGTGGCGGGAGTGACTGGCGGGAATCCCCGCGGCCCCGGCGCTTGGGCTTACTGTGCACTTGATGTAAGGGGAAAGTCGCTCGTCAACTGCTTGAAGGGCAGTTTTGCGGTCATATTTATACCCATTTTTAATCGCATGCAGATTAAGGGGCGGCTTATGCAGAACTTTCTAGGGAAGGAGTAGTACTTTTGGGTCATTGGGTCACTGCCATGGAAAGGTGCAGTAACTCCGGGGTGTTGCCATGGCAATGGTAAATTGACGTGGGCACACTGGTGGGTGTGTCTGAAGGGCTTGTTGTTAGGGTGAACTGGGGACTAGAAATGGGATGCGGGCGGGAGGAAAGTAGTGTAGGTGCAGGTGGCAGTCATAAGTGTCCCATAAGTCTGAATGTCTGAATGTCTGAACTGTGTAGATTTAAGGAGCATTAAAGAGGCAAAATAATAGCAAGTGCTTGTGTAATGCTTAGCGTGGGCCAGGCACTGTTCTAAATGCTTGTTTCATTTAATCCTGACAGCAACCTTATGAGGTAGGTACTATTATTCCTATTAAGAAAAAATGAGAGGGGTTAATCTGCCTAAGCGCAAACAGCCCCTAAGTGGCAGAGCCAGCATGGAAATTCAGGCCCTGAGGCTTTTTTCAGGCTGTGTTACCAGCTCTTCCTCTCAAAGACGACTTTGAAGAGTAAGGGAGAGAGAGAAGGCAAGGAGCATTCAAAAATTGGGAAGACAGTTTGAATATTCATCAGAGAGATCCTTCCAGGGAGATACTGAGGACGAGGACTAGAAATATAAGGCCAGCAGAAATCAAGGATGTAAAAATCTCCCTAGAGAAGAAAAGCCAGAAAGGTAAAGAATTTGATAACTTCTTTAATCTAAGCTCAAAAAGTATTTCACATTCGAGAATTCACAGGGAGAAGAACAAGGGGCCAGTTTCAGAAGTCAAAATACAAGTCACAACTTACGAAAGGCTTCAGAGTGTAGCCCCTCTGGCAGCCAGGTTTAGAGAAGCCCTAGCGGGGAAGGGAAGTGCAAAGAGGCATCAGGGAAGCCAGGCAGGACCCAGAGCAAGGAGAAGGAAGAGAGTTTCCACAGGTGTTGCCTTCAGAGACAGGAGTGCCCTTGACAAGGAAAGAGGGCAACAAAACTACCCAGGAGAGAAACCCTTTATCTGTAAGGAGTGTGGAAAAGCCTTTGGTCAGAGTGCAAGCCTTATCGTGCACCAAAGAATTCACACAGGGGAGAAACCTTTCCTATGTAATGAATGCGGAAAAGGTTTCAGACAGAGATCACACCTCATACGACATCAGAGGATCCATACTGGTGAGAAACCCTATGAATGCCAGGAATGTGGGAATACCTTCAGCCAGAGCTCAAATCTCATAGTTCATCAGGGCATCCACACTGGAGAGAAATCTTTTGAATGTGGTAAGTGTGGGAAAGCCTTCAGCCGGAGTTCAGGCCTCACTGTCCCTCAGAGGATCCACACGGGGGAGAAGCCATTTGAGTGTAATGAATGCGGCAAAGCTTTCAGTTGTAGTTCATACCTTATTGTGCATCAGAGAATTCACACAGGGGAGAAACCCTATCAGTGTAATGAGTGTGAAAGAGCCTTTGGCCAGAGCTCCCATCTTATTCTCCATCAGACAACTCATGCCCAGAAGAAACCTCAGCTGGCTACTTGGGTTAGGGCCCACTGTTAATGGGGCAGAGTTGAATGGTCATGTTATATGCTTGCCTTCAGCCAGGCCAGCATCTCATAAATACTAGGAAGTATGTGAGAGGTCATGGACTGTTCATTGCTGGAAATCTGGGTCCACAAACTCACTCTGCTTGTATGGTGTTTTATTCACTTGCCTTGTTTTTGTACATGTGCCTCCAGTCAGATTTGGAGTTCCAAGAGGTAGATGCCAGGTCCTGTCTTCCACTTTGATTGACAGGAAACTGAGGAGCTCTTCATTTCTACAAAGTTGATTAAATTTTAATTCATTGAGAACTTCCTCTTATCAAGAAACTCTTAATCTGATAATCTTGCAAGATCTCACCTGCTTTGAAGATTTGTAATTTTTCCAATGTAACTCCAGCACATTAAAGCTTACTTACTTTTCATTGTTATTTCAAAGCTTTAATGTGCTAGAGTTGGGAAGCTTAGAAGGCCCACTGTGAGCAGTACTAAAATTTAGAATGTCACATCCTCATTCAAATGTAGGCTGCCTTTAGGAGTGACCAAAACAGCGAAGGATACATAGGATGATAGAATCATGAATCAAAGGAACCCTACCAGACCAGAACTGCAGACCAAAGTTAACAAGATGAAGTATTAAACCCTGTCCATAGGGCTAAGGAGTCTGAGCCTCTCAGAACAGAAGTGTTCTGTCAGAAACACTGCAATCCTTGACCATTAGACATGCTAGAGGGGTGTCTTTAAAAATATCCTTCTCTCTCATCTTCAGTTGCTAGCTGCTCAGGGATGAGATCCTAGTCTTAAGGCCTGTTCTCTTCTCTCTAGACCATAGAGCTTGACTTTTCCTTACAAGGAAATAAAACAGATCATGTGTGTGTATAAAATTAAAAAGTAATATCCTAATCATCTGCCACTTACACAAAAAGAAATTTATTACCTTTAGACTAAAGGAAAAATATAATAGGAATGCAATATGTCTCGGTATGTGCAGTCATGTGCCACATAATTATGTTTTGGTCAACAACAGACCACATATTTGATGGTAGTCTCATAAGGTAATGGAGCTGAGAAATTCCTATGGCCTAGTGACTCTGCAGCTGTCATAATGTGGTAGCACAATGCATTACTCACATGTTTGTGGTGATGCTGGTGTAAAGCTGACCATGTTGCCAGTTATATAAAAGGATAGCACATGCAGTTATGTACAGTGCATAATACTTGATAAATAAATGACTGTGTTACTGGTTTATGTATTTTACTGTGCTTTTCATTGTTATTTCAAAGTGTGCTCCTTCCACTTATTTTTTCAAAGTTTACTGTAAAACAGTATGCTGTGTTTGACCAGCAGCAGCCTCATCTATCTCATGTTTACCACATCTCTTGACTGCATCATTTCCTCTTGTGCTTGATTTAATCTCATGTTTTGTTCATCATGTCTCCTAAGCATTCAAAATCCATGGCTAATTTTGCCAGTAAGAGGCCATGCTGAGTAATTGACCTGGAAACAAAATTAAAAGTGATTAAGGACTGTGAAGGTGGAAAATCAGGGATGGTTATTGCTCACCAGTCAGGCATGTCCCGTTTTACCATAGCTGCCATCCTAAAGAACAAGAGCAAAGTGATAGAAGCTGTTAAAGGATCTGCTTCATTGAAGGCAATGAGACTAACAAAAATTTGAGAAGGGCCAATATCAGATATGGATAATATCTGATATTGACCTAGATTGAAGACCAGACACACAAGCATGTCCCTCAGCACCATGACAATCACAGCTAAAGCAAAAAGCTTGTTTGTTACGTAGATAGAAAAGGCTGGACCTGACTATATTGTTGAATTTATTGCTAGCTCTGGGTGGTTTAAATGATTCGAGAATTGTTACTCATTACACAATTGTGAAAGTGAGTGCTAAGTCTACAAGTGCTGATGTGAAGGCAGCTGAATAATTTTTGGAAACTCTAGATAAGCTGATTGTGGGGGAAAATTACTTGCCAGAGCAAATCTTTAATATGGATCAAGGCTCCCTATTCTGGAAAAAGATGCCGGAAGGGACTGTCATCCATAAAGAGGCCAAGTCAGTGGCAGGTTTCACGGCTTTGAAGGACTGGCTAACAATGTTTGGGGGCGATGTTGCTGGCCACAAATTAAAACCCTTTGTGATTTGACACAGTGAGAACCCCAGGGCCTTCAAGCATATCAGTAAGCACACACTGCCGGTGTACTACATGAGCAATAACAAGTCATGGATGACCCAGCTTCTCTTCCAATATGCCCTCCTGAATTGCTATGCCAGTGAAATGGAGAAGTACTGTTTGGAGAATAACATACCTTTCAAGATTTTGCTTGTTGTTGATAATGCTCCTGTACATCCTTTTATTGGTGATCTTTGTTTTAATATCAAACTGGTGTTTCTCCCTCTAAACATCAACTCTTTGATCCAACCAGTGGATCAAGGAGTTAGAGCAGTTTTTAAGGCTCACTACCTAAAGCGGACGTTGCCCCAGGCTATTGCTGCTATTATCTGAGGGAGACACTGAGAAGACACTAATGCAATTCTGGGAGGATTACAGCATCTAAGACTGCATCAAGAACCTTGCTTAGGCTTAGGGTGATGTCACCAATGAGTGTATGAATGGCATCTGGAAGGAGACACTCGAGGTTTGTTCATGACTTCAGAGGATTTGCCATGGATGACCAGGTTGCAAAAATCCACAAGGCTGTGGTTGAGATGGCAAACAGCTTTAACCTGGGTGTGAATGAGGATGACATTGAGGAGCTCCTAGCGGTGGTTCCTGAGGAATTGACTAATGAGTTGTTGGAAATAGAACAGGGACACAGCTGAAGAAGAGGCAAGAGAAAACAAAACTGCAGAAAACCACCATCAAGAAAATTTGCAGTAGGGAGTTTAGCAGAAGCTTTTGCAGACCTCAAGAAACTCCTTAAAAAGTTTGGGCCGGGCGCGGTGGCTCACTCCTGTAATCCCAGCACTTTGGGAGGCCATGGTGGGAAGATCACGAGATCAGGAGTTCAAGACCAGCCAGACCGACATGGTGAAACTCCATCTCTACTAAAAATACAAAAAAAAAAAAAAAAAAGCCTGGGTGTGGTGGCACGCACCTGTAATCCCAGCTACTAGGGAGGCTGAGGCAGGAGAATCACTTGAACCTGGGAGGCAGAGGTTGCAGTGAGCCGAGATCGTGCCACTGCACTCCAGCCTGGGTGACAGAGCAAGACTCATCTCAAAAAAAAAAAAAAAAAAAAAATTGAAAACATGGACCCCAACACCAAAAGGTTTTCATTAATAGAGAGGAATGTTCATGGTGCATTATTTGTTTACTGGCAAATCTATGATGAAAAAAGGAAATACCAAGCAAACCACCATGGACATATTTCTGAAAAGAGGGACACCTCCTTAAGAAGAGTCCCAGGCAGGTCCTTCATGGGTATTTCAGAAGAGGGCATTGCTATCATAGGAGATGACAGCTCTGTGCATGTTACTGCCCGGGAAGACCTTCCAGTGGGACAAGATGTGAAGGTGGAAGATGATGATATTGATGATTCTGACCTGTGTATGCCTAGGCTAATGTACTTGTGTCTTAGTTTTTAACAAAAAGTTGAAGTAAATAATTTAAAAGAAAAATGCTTATAAAAATAAAATATTTTTGTATAGCATTACAGTGTGTGTTTTAATCTAAGTGTTATTACAAAAGTCAGAAAATTTTAAAAGTTTAGTAAAAAGTTAACATTAGGTTAACTTATTGAAGAAAGAAATTTTTAAGTAAATTTAGTTTACTCTAAGTGTACAGTATTTGTAAAGTCTACAGAAGTGTACAGTAGTATCCTAGGCCTTCACATTCACTCGCCACTCACTCACTGACTCATCCAGAACAACTTCCAGTCCTGCAAACTCCATTCATGGTAAATGCCCTATATAAGCATACTATTTTTTATCTTTCATACCATATTTTTACTGTACCTTTTCTAAGTTATTTTTAGATATACAGATACCATTTTGCTACAGTTGCCTACAGTATTCAGTACAATAATACACTGTACAAGTTTGTAGTCTAAGAGCAGTGGGCTGTACCACATAGTTAGGGTGTAGTAGGGTGTATATCATATAGCCTAGGACTATACCACAGAGCCTAGGATGTACTTAGACTTGCCATCTAGGTTTGTTTGAGTACACTCTATGATATTCACGCAACAATGAAATCACCTAACAATGCCCTTTTCAGAACTCTCCATTGTTAAGCAGCACAGGACTGTATTGTAATGCTGGTTGCTGCCCACTGCTATGAGTTTAGCCCTCCAATTAAGTCAGGAACTGGCCCTCTCTTGGGTGTGGATTTATAGTCCCCAACACTAGAGGGTCAATTTTAGAGATTTTTAACAAACTGGAAGGTTGACTTTCAAAATGTCTCCAGTTCCTTCTAGGTCAATTCCAGCATGAGATATACTTTATCTTTCAATCACTAGTAGGCAAAAAAGGGGTGCTAGGAATCAGTCACTGGCTTGACTTCTGGCAACAAGGAAAGCCTGAGGTGAATTACAGTTGCAACATCTGTCAGCTCAAACTGCATGGCGTCCGTCACAAGGAGTTGAAATTTCAAAGTGTAATAATTTTTTTAAGTATAAGAATAAAAAATGTCCATCCAAAGTATAAGAAAATCCTTCTTACCAAATCCCCCTTCTTTTGGCAAACACCAGGGCCCTTTTCCTTGTTAAAACAGCCTATTTTAACAAAGGCAAGGTGTAGGGTGTGCACAGAAGCCCAGACATTCATGAAAGCAACTGCTAATCTTGTGTGTTTACACAATAAGCATCTGAAATGAGCTGTGTGACTCCTTGGTTTTGGTTTGCATGAGACTTAGCATCTGTGTGAAACTGCTAGTTGTCTTGGGCAGACACCTGGCGAAGGATTGCAGGCCTGAAAATGAAGGGAAGTTAATTTTTTACTAGAACAAAAGTTCTAGTAAAAAGGGTTTTGCTTTGGACATAAGGGCAAAGCAGAACTAAGTGGTGAAAGGACCAAAACACCTCTGCCTGAATGGAGACGGTGGCCAGGGAAGTGACCACTGCAGCTGTGCATGGCTCGGTGTGGGCTACAGGCGGAGTATCAGGGAGACAGTAAATTGAATGGAGCGATGTCCACCCCTGGTGTGGGCTGTGGTGTCCAGACTCAGCAGCCACTCAATGCCCACAGCCCAGTCCCTTCTCCACTTACTGCATACCTATGGGCAAACTTCTTAAACTCTCTGTGCCTCACTGTCCCTGTCTATAAAATGGTGATATTAACTATCTAAGGGATGCAGTGAGGATTGAGTAAAACACATTAAGAAGAGCACTGCACAGAGTAAGTGCTTAGTAACTACTGTATAAAATAAAACAATTATTATTAACTTGCTTTCCTGCTCTGAGACATGGCCTAACAGTAACTTATCTCTAGGGCAGGTCAGCAGGGGATAACCTGTACAGCCAGAGAAACTGAAACTACCAGGTTTCTCTGGGGGTGGGTGTTGGGGGAGTCCAGGGACTGGATGAAGTTAATGTCTGCTGGAAGGTGGGAAGGGCCAAGGGTTTACTCTGCCACTCATTTTAGAAGAGCTGCGCCATTCAGGGAAGTGGCAGAGGTAGAAATTAGAGAGTAGAGAGATCCATGTACTACCAGAGGCCAAGCAGCTCTGGGTAGAGACTGGTCTCTGCCCCACAGAGTTATTCTTTGATTCTCCACTCCTTGGCCTGCATACTGGTTATTCTTGTCTGCACCCCAGATCCATCATCTACCTCATTGCCCTGGGGCAGAGATCCCTGTGGGTGGCATCACCCTGGGTCCCTTACTTCTGGCTTCCTAGTGGGATGCACTGGTATGTCAGAGGGAGGCATGAGAATGGGACGGGGTACTTCTGTCTGCTACCATGGTTCTGGCAGTGGCTGTGTCCCTCTGTAACCACAGCTGCATGGCTCCAGCTACACCATTTCCTTCCGTGCCCTTTCAAGCTAGGAGTGGCAGAGGCTCTAGTTCTTGCTGGTATCTGGTGTCTCCCCATCCCCTCCCCAAACCTCTGTAAATCACCCTTTCATTAAACTCTCTCCTTCCTGCCAGGTCCCAGCAGACTAATAATTGCTGGCAACTAGGGGATCTGGAGAGCTGCACTGTATATTTTATTTACTAGACCAGGCTGCATGACATTTTAAGCTAAGCACTGCTTAGTGATGGGGGAAGCACAAACCTGTTCTTTATTAACAAAACATCCACACTGCAAAAGGAGCCAGTGCTAGGAAGGTTTTCAGACTAGCTGTACCTTACATCTCACACAGCATGAACATTAGCAAGCACCCAGAGTGTCACTGGCATGCCTTCCATCTATCAAGCCAAGACAGTACACTGTTCCCAACATGCTTCATGCTTTCCAGACAAGTCCTTCTCCTAGACACAACTCCTCTCCCATCAGGTTTTGGGACTCCTACTCACCCTTCGAGGTTGGCTTGAATGCCACTTTTTTCATGATCCACCCCAAATCAAAGCAGCATCCACCCTCGTCTGAACTTCCCTGCAATTATCCTCAGCTGTCCTCCCGCTCAGCATGTTCTGCCTTGTGGTGGTCTTACTTCCCCTGCTGGATTGTGTTAAGAGAAGGACCAGGTCTCATTCCCTGTGGGCCCCTTAGTTCACCTAGCAAGGTGCCTTTTACATAAAAGGTGCTCAGTAAATTGCTGAATGAATGGACAATGACTAAAGAGCGTCTTTGACCTACTTCAGCTGAGCAAGGTCACCTGTGGTAGGTACCAAAGTCTGAGAAGAACCAACTGGATTTCCCCACCTGCCTCCCACGTGGTCTCCCTTGTCTCCTTTTCCTCCTCTTTGTCCGTCTACCCTGAGTTCCCATCAGCTTCATTCTCCCAACACTTCCCTCCTCCGTCTATTAGTCCTCATTCTGACAATGGCTTCAAAGCTCTGAAATCACAAGTGGCAGAGAGAAGAGAGCTCAAAGCCCCTCATGTCCAACTCCTGTCCTGCACAGGTGTGGAAAATGATGCTCAGTGGCTTGCCCAGGGTTAACCTGGTACACGAAGCCCAGTACCGTGGGCAGGGCTTGGCCTTGGTTGGTACCACCCACACACCGGGGCTTTTGTCCTGAAACTTCTCACCTCCCCATGTGCCTGTCAAGCCTGCCACTCCTAGTGACTGTACAGCCAGTCTCTCCCCTCACTGGGGCCCACCTGGAGGCATTCCTTGTTTGCTTAGTCCCCTCCCTGGGCTGTCCCTCATCCACCTACTGCCAACCCATTCTCCCAGAGCTGGCCCACTAAAGCTTCACCCATTTCCCCTCCCTGCTGATCTTGCTATCTCTGCACACAATTCAGCACTTTAATCTCAGCTTGTCACCTACTGTCCTTTACTCATTTGTGTGTTTACTGTGTATGTATCTTGTCTCTCCAAAGACACCAGGAGGCCCTTACAGGAGCCTACCTTAGCCTGAGAGCTAGGTTGGTGACAAGGGCTCAGCTTGCTCTCATGTGGATTCAGTGCTGGACCTGAAGCCCTGACCCATCAGCACTGGGCTCTGACCGGGGAAGTTGGCTGGTATTTCTTCCAGGCATGCTCCCAGGTACCAGGCACTAGGCAACCATGAGGGGCCCTTCAGGACATGCTCTGCCTCTGACTGGTTGGGTCATCTCAGATGATTTGCAAAACTCTGAGTTGATTTCCTCACCCTGGAAAGGTGGGAGCCCTGGCCGAAGGCCTTTCCATACTGGGTGCAGCAATAGGGCTTCTCCCCCGTGTTGCTCTACCAGTGAACCAGGAAGCACGAGCTGCAGCTGAAGGTCTTGCCACCCTATGGGCACATGTGTGGCTTCCACCCTGTGTGCACGACTAGGCTTGGTCCCTGACTGAAGGCCTTGCCACATGTGCCACAGACAAAGGGCTTCTTCCCCATGTGTACCCTCTGGGGCTAGGTCAGGTGGGAGCTCTGCATGAAGGCCTTGCCACACTACCCACACCCACACGGCTTCTCCCAGGTGTGGATTATCTGATGCACGATGAAAGTGGAGCTCTGGCTGAAGGCCTTGCCATACACAGTATATGCTTAAGAGATTCCTGCTAGGGGCAGCCAGGCTGGAGTTGTGGCAGACCTCTTTCCTGAGTTCCTTATAGTTCCGGCCCCTCTCTCCTGGGAGACCTCTTTTCTTTTGTTGGGGCCTGCCTGGTGTCTGGCTTGTCTCTCCTCACTTGCTTGTCTGCAGGCTGTTCCGAATGCCCTGTTCCCCTACTTCCCACTTTTCATGCTTCCAGTCTTCCAGAGAATTCTCCTTTCACATTTGTTTTTTCCGGAATCAAATCTGCCTTTTCAACTTTGGTCTTGATATCTAAACAAGACATAGAAGATAACAGATATAACAAAAGCAAATAAAAATAGAATCAGCTTTATATTCTAGATGGGAAACATGAAACTATAGTGGGATTTGAGGGAATTCAATAAGTAACACCCTTCTCTTCAGAGGCAATATAGCATTGAGACCAGGGGTGTGGTCTCTGGGGCCAGACTGTCTGAGACCAAATCCTGTCTTTGCCATGAACAGTTATGTGACCTTTCTGTACCTCAGTTTCCTACCTGTAAAATGGATTAATACTAGTACCTATGTCATAGTGATGTTGTAAGAATTAAATAAGTCAATGCACATGTACAATGTACATGAGTCAAATACAATGTACATGAAGTGTTTAGCTAGGTATTAGCTATTATTATAATTTTATACTCAATATTCGAACCAACTGAGAAATAATATGGGGAGACCAACATATCACTTTTATTAGTGAAAGCCTGATATTGGTGAATGTGGCTGTATCTGCAGGCAAGTGGGGTTATGAATCCCAGGATTAGGCAGCATTAGCCACCCAAGGACATAGTGCTGGCTGCCATGGGTTTGCTCCTGAAACACCTGCAGCACAAACGGCCAGGATGGAATGCATGGTTTCTGTGAAGATGCCAGACCCCAAGGGAGAAGTGGGAGGAGGACTGGCTTTCCAAAACTCACCAGTCAAATAAAATCCCTTTTTGTAGTGTGGCAAGAGTGTGTGAGGATCAGAGTAAGGCCCCAAGTGTTACACCAGTGAGCTTCCTGAAATATCTGGGATAGGAAGCACAGTACTTACAATCATAATTGTCCTGTATGTATACTATGGTTTCAGAGCATGGGTAGAGAAAAAGAAAAGAAAGAGTAGTCAAAACAAAACAAAACAACAACAAAAAAATGCATTCTGGGAAAGAGCCAGGGATGGCACTGTCACCAAACATTTGTCTGATGAGGGCAATGCCTGCATGCATAAAGACTGCCAAGCTGAGAGGAGGAGACAGAGGCGACTTGGAAACTGGCCAAGGCAGCAAGTGGTGGTCAGAGATGGGCTGGGCTGTGGACATGGCGTCCTGGGAGTCACAGAGCTTGACCAAGTCAACTTCCTGGCTGGAGAGAGGCAGGATGAGAACTTGTGACTCAAGAGAGAATTCAGAGATCTATCAGATAAAGTGGGGAAAGGGAGAACAAGGGTACTGCACAGAGGGAAGGGTGTTGAGGGCTGCCAGGTTTGGCAGTAGGGGAGGCAGAGAGATGTGGCTCCCTAGCCTCACAATCCGCGAGCTCAGTCCAGGCAGGAAGAGAAAGCACAAAGAAGCAGGGCAAGCCAACCCTCTGAAGTGTGGGGAGGGACACATGCAGGGCCCTTTCCTCCCCCTAAGCTACAGGAAATACAGCAGGAAAGAAGGACGCTGTTCTAGGAGGTCCAGGAGGAGCAGCTCAGGCTTTTGCTTCCAGGAGGCCTGAAGAAACAGAGGAGTGTGGAAATGCTAAATAGCAGAGCACTGTCCCAAGGGCAGAGATGGCCATGGTCCACTCTAGGCCCTAGCCCTCCAGTTAAGATCTTGATATGATTTGGCTATGTCTCCACCCAAATCTCATCTTGAATTGTAACTCCCACAATTTCCATGTGACATGGGAGGAACCCGGTGGGAGGTAGTTGAATCATGGGGGCAGGTCTTTCCTGTGCTGTTCTTGTAATAGTGAATAAGTCTCACGAGATCTGGCAGTTTTAAAAACGGGAGTTTCCCTGCACAAGCTCTCTCTTTGCCTGCCACCACCCATGTAAGACGTGACTTGCTCCTCCTTGCCTTCCGCCATGATTGTGAGGCTTCCCCAGCCATGTGGAACTCTAAGTCCATTAAACCTCCTTTTTTTTTTTTTTTGAGACGGAGTCTCGCTCATCGCCCAGGCTGGAGTGCAGTGGTGCAATCTCTGCTCACTGCAAGCTCCACCTCCCAGGTTCACACCATTCTCCTGCCTCAGCCTCCCGAGTAGCTGGGACTACAGGCGCCCGCCACCACGCCTGGCTAATTTTTTGTATTTTTAGTAGAGACGGGGTTTCACCATGTTAGCCAGGATGGTCTCAATCTCCTGACCTCGTGATCCGCCTGCCTTGGCCTCCCAAAGTGCTGGGATTACAGGTGTGAGCCACCGCGCCCGGCCTAAGCCTCCTTTTCTTCCCAGTCTTGGGTATGTCTTTATCAGCAGCATGAAAGTGAACTAATACAGATCTTTTCTCCTATTCCCCAACCCTCTTCTTGGCTTCCTTGAACTTTCTGGTTGTACTCATGCTCTTCAACAAAGATTTCCTATCTCTGTATCTTTCCTCTCACCTTCTGCATGGCTTGGAATACCCAATCCTTGTCCTCTAAAACTGCTCATCCATCCACCCACCCATTCATTCATCCATCCATCCACCCACCCACCCATCAGGCCTGGCTCAAGTCACCTCTCCTTTAGGAAGCCTTCTCCCATCCTTCCCACAGCTCCCAGTGACTGCTCCCTCCTCTATCCTTGACTACCTCTGCCATCCATCCCCATTTCTTTGGCAATGACCTTACATGTTTTGGTGAATTAGATTTCTCTTTCCCATGTATCCATCTTATCTTCACAACTAGGCTGTGTGTTTCTCCAGGGCAACATCTGAATCCTATCAGCCCTGTAGCATTCTTAACCTGGTGCACTTGTGCTAGTATCTGTGAAGGCACCATTCTGGTTGGCACAGTCCCTGTCCTCACATCTGCCAACAAATAAAATATGTTTATCCTGCCTCCCTTGGGCCCCAGAATTAGCACTAGTGCACATCTGGCAAAATGCTCAGGATGGCTCTGAATGACTGGTTTTGGCGTGAAGGTCACCCTGAGGACCACTATGCTTGCCAGACAGCCACAGCTAACCAAGGGGAAAGAATTTTGGGGGGTTTGGCTCTTTGGGGGAGTTATTACAAAGAATTTGGGATCATGACCCAGGAAAACAACCTAGGCAAGTTCTTTGTCTAATCAATGTGAAATTGTGGTGCCATGATGGGCTGGCAATGGGTGTTTGGTAGACAGAACCCTTGTGGCCTCCAGCCTGGCCTGGCATCTGCAGCCAGGTCTGCTCACAGAGCTGGGGGACACATTCTCTCTGGTGCTTTCCTCCACGGACAGCTCAGCACCTTGGAGTAATTCACAAAGAGATGTCTGCTAACTGACCAGGAGGGAAATGGCTTTTCCCAAGACATACAAAACCTGTCTGGCAGCCTTGGGGATGGCTAGGCCCTGAAGCCTGGATTCTGAGAGGTGCACTCTGCTGAGAGTATCAGAGGCCCACATTTCTGAGGTGTGGTGGTTAAGGCCAGGTGGAAAGTGGCCTTACCCAGGCTGGCTGAAGCCTCTCAATTCAGCCCTAGCAGCATTTCTCCAACAGTGGCCCTTGGGGCAGGGAACACATGGGTCCCAGGCAGCAGGTAGCCTTAGAGGGCTGAAGTCAGAGGAAGCTCCGGCCCTACTCTCAGGGTGCCTTTCTCCCAGAGCTCATGCTGTTGTCACCAGGCTAGTACTGAGACCTGGAAAAAAAAATTCTGGAGACAAGTCCACTGATGGCCTTGGGAGGGGAAGCTAAAGAAGGTCACAGTGCTGACCCTACCTTCTCCACCCCTTTTGCTGGTGGGCAGTGGCAAGAACCCATAGTAAGTAAAGGTAAACTTTCAGGGAGGGTCTGGTGTTTAAAGGCAAAAAAGACTGAGTGGTCATCTCCAGGATGGACCCTGGCCCCATGCAGCCCACAGAAGCATCCCTCCCAAAGAGCATCCCTTCTCTTCTTGGACAATGACCCCACCCTGGTTAATAACCACAGCGATGTCAAATGACTGAACTGTTTACAGCCCTGTCCTGTCCGAGTCTCCTTTGATGCATACCACCCAGTGAAGCTGGCAGGGCAGGAAATGTTGCTTCATTTGACAGGCAAGGACATTGACTTCTCTGAGGTGACCTAACCAGTCAGAAGCAGAACAGGTCCTGAAAGGCCCCTCATGGCTGCCTGGTGCTTGGCATTTGGTAGCAGCTGGGCAATTGGACACTGAGTGAATAGGAGAGAATGAAATTAGCCTGGTGCATCTCTCACACCTAAGGGCCATGCCTTACCTGGGAATAAGGAATGGCTTATGAGAAAGGTGGCTTATGAGTCGCAGCCCTACCCTGGCAACCCCTGGTCCTTTCACCACACTCTTCTAGGGCCAGCCATATTCCCACCTCTCACCTTTGGTTGTGGCCCACCAAGCTAAGATGGGAAATGCCAGCCCTTAGCCCTGGTGGGGGTGTTCCCAAGGCAAGAGCCACTGGCCCGGGGCTGCTCCTCCTTCAGGCTTACAGGGCTCATCCTCATCTGTGTGCACCTCACTCTCATTCGAACCTGTGATGGAAGAGAGAAAACCCTTTGGTTCTTTGGGATCATCAGGTGTCACCTAAAGGGACAGTAAATACTGTTCGCCAGAGACCTGGCCCATCCCAGGAGGATTATCAGCTCCTTAGGGAGGCAGGGGCATCTTGGGACCAGGCCCCTGTGAATGCAGTTCATGACCGTGGGCACCTATTCTTTCAAAGGCCTAGCTTTGCCCACCAGGGTGGAAGAAGGAAAGGTGCTCCAGCCCACCCCAGCCTCTGGAAGCCACTCTGGCCTCCACAGCTGTCTGGGACCAGAGACCATCCATCCTGCTCCTTCCTCACAGGGCTTGTGTTGGGGGAACAGGTGTGGTCCAGACCCTGCCAGAGACTCTTATTTCCAGAGAAAACTCCCCATAGCTTCTTCTGGCCCAAGGGGTCACAGAACTATTTGGCTCCTTCTTCAGCACGGTGGCCCCTTAGGCTCTATTCTAAACAGATTCTCCCCCTTGGGACCTGAGTGGTGACTTCATGTCTCGCCTTCCTCAGACAAGGCCTCTGCTTATCATCCGCTAAGCATCCACCACAGAACAAGGCTCTGGAAGCACGGCCGAGGCCCATGTGTAAGGCAGTCAGGGGCAGGCACCCCACGCTGCACTATGAAAGTAAAATGTTTTCCAATCAGGTAAGGCTTGGTTTTCTTTTATCCATGTCTATCCTGTCCTCCAGAAGGCCACAGCAGGCCTGTGCAACCAGGCAGCCTTTCAATCATTACAAAGCCATTTCCTACCCCTCATTTCACCCCAGCCTCACAATGGCAAGAGAGGACTTACGTTAGAGAGCTTAGGGATCTGTCCTGGGTTGGGAGGTGAGGAACAGGGCCAGCCTAGAATGCCCTCTTCCCCACCTGCCCTCAGGAGTATGGTCTGGTTTCTGCCCTGCCCACCTAAGGCCAGAGAAAGCAGTGGGCAGCACGAGGGTCCCAGGGTCCTGGAGGAAGCCACCCTTTTCCTCCCTGGCTCTTCCCTGAACTGGGCTCCTCCTCCAGGCCACCACATCTGATCCTGACTCCTACCCTTGCTGCCCACCTGCACATCGCTGCTCTTCTCCTTGCACATTCCCGATTCTTCCCCCATCCCCATAGCTGCAGCCTCCTCCTTCGCCTCCCACATCTCAAGCTCCAGCCCTTCCTTCTCTTTCCTTCCCCCAACACACCACCCACCCCAGATTTGGGCCTGTCCCTAGCCTCCAGGCCCCCACCAGCCCCAACCCCACCCCATGCGAGGGTACAGCCCCTTCTGTTCTCCCTTTCTCGGACTGCCCATTCCTCCCTCAGCTTGCTCCACTCTTCGCTGGGCTCCCCGGACACCCTGCTTTTGACTGGCTCAGTGAGTCCGGCGAGGGCAGAAGGCCCTGGTGCAAGCTTCTTGCCCGGCTGCTCTAGGAAGTTGGGAGCTGTCTTCGTCTATGTGTTTTTCCTGCTTGGTTCCTCCACCTGGATGCCAGAGGAAAAGGGGCGGGAGACAGGGCCAAGACCTGACTCAGTCCTTATCCACAAAGAATTTCAAAGGGACCGATCTCAAAGGACTAGAAATCATGGGAGAACATATCATCTTGAAGAGGGGAAGTCCTTGATTTGATATTAAATTTTAAATATCCAAACAGCAAAATTAAGTACGACAAACAAACCTGGGAAAATATTTGCAACACATATAGCAGATAAGGATAATTTCTTTATAGTTTGTACAAATTGATTATTAAAAGGATGAACAGAAAAACTGCTAAAGAACGCAAATAAGCCAGTCACAGAAAATAAATACAAATGACTTTTAAACATGGGCTGTGGTACCCAGTTTCACTCATAGTTGAATGCAAATTAAAATATGAGAGCATTTTTCATTTATGAGATCAGAAACAACACAATAGTTTCAGAGGATTCAGGGGAATGAACATTTTCATACACACACTGGGAACTACATTTCCAATTTCTATCAAAATAACAAATGCACCTACGATTTAATTTCATCAATTTATCCAGGGACAGTGTGCGGGGATATTTGGCACAGTACTGTTTGTAATAGCAAAAGGCAGAAAAGAACCTAGAGGCCCATCAACAGGGGGACTGTATGAATTATGGTACATTCATACAATGGATATCACAAAGCAGTGAAAAAAATGAGGTAGATCTTACAGGCTAATAGAAAGCCATCTCCAAGACACTGAAAAAAGCAAGGTGTAGACTGTATCCTAAGCTTTTCATTTTTTGTGCGTGTTTCTTTAAGGGGGATACATAAGGTTGTAAATGCTGGGACTATCTTGAGGAAAAATCAAGACATTTAAAAATAGCTACCACTGGGGTAGGAGACTGGTTATGTGGACTGGGAGGGAGTCTCACATCTCTTTGTATGCTTTTGCACCACTGACCTTTTTACTACAGGCAAGAACTGCTCTTTCAATTTAACAAAGAACTCTTACATGGGGAGAGGAGTCCTTGGGGGTGCACTGAGAAGTTCACCTGGGAGAAAGGGGCACAGACTTGTACATCAGAGTTGTTCTAATCCTGACTGGGACTACTGGCTTTGCAAATGGCATAAGAGAACTTCCCTCCTCAGGTGAAGATTAAATGAGATGTAACACATTTGGCATTTAGTATGGTGCCTGGCACACAGGAACCCCTCAACTAACAGTAGTGATGATTACAACCTTGCTATTGGTTCAGTAGGGTGACTTGCCTTGAGGGAACCCCAGTCCTTGGAGGGAAAATACCAGAGATCACAGGAATCCTGGAAAACCACACATGGTACAAGTAGGGAACCTAGTCAGTGTCAAGGTAGCCTACGATAGCCAGGTAGCCTGCTATGAGTTGGGTTGTCTCCTCCCTTGTCTCCAGCCCTTCCCAACATCAGAGAGGCATTAGCCACTGTGAAGACAGGGTAGCTCCAGAGAGCTGCAAGGAAAGCAGTGCCTCTCGGACCTGGGCCTGGCCTCATTTGTCATGTCGTAGGTCTCACCAGGATGTAGAGGCCCAGACTTCTGGCTTGGGAATTTGCTGCTTGATCTTCCGTGTCCCTTAAGGTCTGCTCATTTTATCTTCAAAACATCACATCTATTCCTTCTCCTCTGGCCCCCTTCTAGTGGCTGGGTCAGAATCCCACTGTCTCTCTTGGGCTCTGAAAAAAACTGCCAATATGGTCTTCAGGATTCCTTTCTCCCCTCACCAGCTCAGCCTCCACTGTCCAGCCAGAACAATGTCACAAATATATATTCTTCTGCTGAACTCCTTCACCTGGTATTAGGTTCTTGGTAACCATAAAATGCTAACAATGGATAAAAATAGGGACCTTACTTCTCCAGACCCTTATTCTATTATTCCCCACTACCCATTTCACACTTCACAAGAAAGTCTCACCACTCTGAACAAGCCATGATCTTTCTCTTTTATTAACCTTCCCCTCCTGATCATAAAAGTAATACAGGCTCATTGTAGAAAATGTAGACTGCTGGAAATTTAACCACAGTTAACCCCCAATTTCTTTCTTTCCTATGCATGTGCATCTCAGAAAACTCAGCTCTCTGTACAGTGTTTTATTTTGTACTTTGCATCATTTATTTAATATTACTGTGTGCTATTATCATATCACTATTCTTTTAATTATGACCTTTAGTGGTTGCACAATATTCCATAGTATTATAACTTATTTAATCATTCCCCTATTGTTACTTAGGTTAGTCACTTTTTTGTGAAATGAGTAACATCGACAAGTATATAAATCATTGTACAAATATTCATTCTTAAGACAGCTTTCTAAAAGTGGTACTGCTGTATCAAAGGATATCAACATTCTTTTAAAAATGGTTTAACTTCCCCTAAAATAACAATGAGTAAAAATGGTTAAAATGTGTAACGATGAGGCTGGGCGTGGTGACTCACGCTTGTAATCCCAGCGCTTTGGGAGGCCAAGGTGGGCGGATCACCTGAGGTCAGGAGTTGGAGACCAGCCTGGCCAACATGGTGAAATCCCATCTCTACTAAAAAATACAAAAAACAATTAGCTGGGAGTGGTGGCATGCGCCTGTAATCCCAGCTACTCAGGAGGCTGAGGCAGGAGAACTGCTTGAAACCGGGAGGTGGAGGGTGCAGTGAGCCAAGATTGCCCCATTGCACTCCAGCCTGGGCAACAAGAGCAAAACTCCATCTCAAAAAAAAAAAAACTATAACAATGAGATAAAAGGAACAAATTTCTAGAAGATGGAAAATGAATGATGTGGTAACTAAGACAGCTGGGTGGAGGGAGTAACAGCTTGGAACTCTTGCTGAGGGCTATCCAATGGAAGGAGGTAGCTGATCTACCCTGCCCAACCCCGGAGACTTGGAATTTTGAAACCCCAGGTACAATGAAGGCTGGGAGGCAGAAGTGGATCTAAAAATAAGGGCATTAAATGGAAGTCTGTAATAACACTTGGCTTCCTTCCCTCCACTTCTAGAAAAGCACTTAACAGCATCTAAACCCCAGACAAAAATATCAGAGGATTTTTGCTAATTAAATGTAAGAGCCCAAGGCAAAATATTCTGTATTCTGGCATTTAGGGTTCTCCAGGGAAACAGTGGGCAAATCTCACTCCTACACACAGAGGTCTCAATTAGGCTTTTAATTCACAGACACACTCACGTGCACACGCACACGTATATGGGTGTAAGAATCACATTTGAGGAAAGTCTAATGAGAGTAAACAAGGTAAACAGAGGGAAAAAAGGACCCAGTGGCAGGGGCATGAAGGGAATGAGATAATTCATGTGACAGAAGATACTTTTAAGAAAAGGCTCTCAGAAATTAAACTAGTTATTGTTAAAATTATTACTGTTAAAAATATTATTCATTAGAAAATAATCAAGGTACTCTTCTCATAGTGGCACAATACAAAGAAATGGAAATAATGAATGCAGCTAAGGATCAATCCACAAGGTCCAACATTTGATTAGCAGGAACAGGAACTCTATAAAGAGAAAAAACATGGAAAGGGGGAATAGTCATATAAATAATGAGAAAATTTCCAAGAGTAGGAGTACCTGAGTCTGTAGATTGAAAAATTCCACTGAGCATTAGGGAACTGAATACATCAAAGATAAAGAAGAGACTTTAAAAGCTTCCAGGCATAGGGGTGGGAAAACAGATCACTGTAATGTAAATACTATTTACTGATTGTCAAATAAATAAGTATCAGATTGGAATCAGGCATCTCATTAGCAGCAGTGGATGCTGTAAGTCAGTGAAGCAGTGGCTACAAACTTCTAGGGAAATTTTTCAACCTAGAATTCCAGAGCCAGCCAAACTACCATCAAGTGAGAGGTCAGAGAAAGACACAGACACTCAACAACTCTGCCTTCCATGTACTCTTTCCTGACAGGAGACTTGACATGTACTATAATAAAATGATGAAGTAAATAAAGAAAAAGGAAGACACAGAATTCAGAAACAGTTGAGTCCAGTGTAACAACAGAATATAGGCAGAAAGGTCATCAAAAACAGACTAGAGCAGGAGGCTGAAAGCAGAATATACAGAGAGAAAAGAAGTGAATTCAACAGAGTATTTAATTGAATGGAGAATTTGAAAATGACTGTGAGTGTGTGGAAAGCAACCAGTACAAGGTAAAAAGAAAGGCAACTAGAAACTTCCGTAAAAACAAAAAGCTGATCCCAAAAGGAAATATAAACACAGTAAGCTAAGATCTGCAATCAACAATATTCAGATGGTTGTAATAATGTTCATGCTGTTTATTTTCAGCTTTTGAAATCAATCAATAACCAAACATAAAATCCTAACTGGTTACAGAATAGAATTTAAGAATTATCAGACTTGACAATGTAAGAGCCAACGACGTGGAAAAGGGAAAGGGAAAGGAAGGGAAGGGTCCCTCCAACATACCACAAAATGGAGAATTGAGATATGGTTTATAGTTAATATAATAAACTAGATATGTAAATATAATAATTATTTTTATAAAATTCTTGCTCCTTATAGAAATATAGAAATTGCTAAAACAAACAAACAAAACCCCTCTTAGTAAACCATAATCCTATTATCCAGAGTATATGGGTTTGAATGTAAGCCTGGAATTAACCGTCAGTATGGCTGTAAGTCATTTAACCACTTATAATATTTTCTTTTTTCCTTCAGGTAATTTATCTATATACTTTTAAATAGTATATAGTATATATAAAAGCAACAGTATATGAGAACTGTATTATATACACAATTTTTAATCCAGACTTTTTCACTTTAAAGCAAAAAGGTAAATCTCTGGACACATAGCATATCATGCACTTGTATATGCGTATTAATAAATATACTTCTGAATATGCCTTTAACCATAACGCAGTCAGGGGTTTCCCAGAGATGGAACTTGAACCAAATATAAAAAGAAACTAAGCTTGCAAAAGTAGAAGGGGACTGAGTGGGAAGTAGTGATGAGGTATTATAGGCACTGAGAAAAGTGTGAGCAAAGGCACAGAGAAGAGCAAGCACGTGCCTCTAGGCTGCAGTAAAAGGTGCCTGAGAGTGAAGAGATGAGGCTGGAAAGAGATTATGAAGAGCTCAGTAAATCATGTTAGGGATCCTGATATTTTTCCCATAACAGACATGACAACAGGGATAGTGGACCAGGTTTGCTTTGGCAGTCCAGAATCTAGCATGACGTTCACCACAAGGGAACACAAAATGTTTTTGTAATGAATGATGCTTAGGAAGGCAGAAATAGCTTCTGGACATTCAATCTGCGTGCCCCAGGTGGTGGGGATAATGTCATTTGATAAGGGAAGGAATCTAAGAGAAAAACAAATTTTAAAGGTTTAAAGAATGTCTGGGCAACATTCTTAGTGATTCTGTAACCTAACCTCATTTAAAAAAAAAAAAGTCACTGGTGATTATGTAATACACCCCAGATTCAACTTTAGGCTCTAAATGTATGTATTGTCTTCAGGAAGCCTGCATAACCTCCAAGTAAGCACAAGATTTAATCTGCAACGTACACTTCTTAGGGGAAGAGGATCCATAATCTTCCCAGGATTCCCAAAGGGGCTGCAACCCCAGAAAGGTTGCAGTGCCTACAATGGATGAGCAAGTGGAGAGGTGACAGACGTGGGAGAGGGACAACTACCTGAGACAGGGAGGGGATACAGAGCAGGTGAACAATTAGCTTTGTCCAAAGACACCTCTTCCTAAGCCTGGTGGAATTTATGGCTGTGTTTGAGTGTGTAACTTCGTGTTAGGGATTGAAGTCTTTCTCCTGTGCTCCCAGAGTACTGTACGTGATTTCGCCATCAGTTTTGCATCACTGTGCTCCACTTAATACATATCTGTTGGTCTCATTTGAGGATGAGGACAGATTTCCTGGCCCTACTCTTAATGCCAATCACTAGGCCTGCAACAGAGCTCTTAGCCTGACAGCTAAAAGTCTGATAGCTCTCAGCAACTTGGGAAAATGGGGCTTCAGAGTTCCCAACCACTCCTAGCAAGACTACCCAAAAAAGATGGGAGATGAGCCCAAAGAATAGGAAACTAAGCAAACTGACAAAAGGTGGTCACTCCTCCCTTATAAAACATAAAGAAAATGGCAGGCTGCAATTTATTTTGAGGACTGGAATCAGAAGGCAGAGTTATTAGCTGGGGAAGGATCTGATCTGTCTAGTAATCAATCCACTTGGCTCATATGATTTGTGCAGAATCAGAGGCCCTGAACCTGGATGCAGATTTGTGGAAACTGAGATCTGAAGAGGAAATCCAAGTAGAAATGTAAAAAGTCATAATACATACCAAAAGCATGTTATGTAAAACTTGGTTTGCTCATATAAATGTTTGGTATATTCACTTAAATACAAATAAAATAAGCTAGGTGGCAGAATCCTCTAACATCCAATGGTTGGCAGAGGCACTGATGGACACCTAGTTCAGCTAGTGTAAAGTAAGTCTCCTGTTCTGCTAAAAATACATAGAATGCTTTGCACGTACAGATCCTTATACTGGAGCACCCCCACCCCCTCCACCTTTGATCACACACATTCTTGGCCTGCAGCCTTTACTTTTTGCTACAGTGGCTCATAACCTTTGCTTGTCATTGTAATCCCCTCCAGAGTTTTAAAAAATACAGAGGTCTAGAAATGGAAATTTTAAAAAAGTGCCCAATGTGATTCTAACATGAAGCCAAGGTTTAAAACCACTGCTTTACTGCAAGGTTGGGTCAGTGAATCTCAAACCTAGTTTTGCATCATAATCCCCTGCGTAGCTTTTCTGAACTACCTATGAGTGAAAATCACAATCATCCATAACTGAATATTATGAGGATAAACATATGTGATGGTAGAATGGTTTAACTGTCTTAATGGTCATAAATCCCAGCAGGTATTCTTTAAGCAAAGTAGTTTCTGTCTCTTGGTGGGTCAAGGTCACAGAGTTTTCTCAAATCTTCAGACCTGCTCTCCTGATATTCTCAGCTTCCTGATAAGGCAGGGGGAAAAAACTAACTTGTTCCTACTCTCAGCAGAGACAGGGGGTGGTTTATTTGGGTCTCTCCATTCCATCAGGGAGACTGGAACAGTCACTGTTAGGATTGGTGAGGGCATGAGTATTTGATCCTACTTTTGAATCCTTTTGATTTCTTGTATTTGTGTCTCTATGATTTAGAGTGAAACTGGGAAAGTAAGTTGCATATGTTTTGGAAAAAAAACTAGAGGAGGGAGGAAAAAGGAAATTAATAAGCTTTCTTGTGTATGCCTTCTGTATGTGAAAGTGCACTGTAGGCCAGGCATGGTGGCTCGTGCCTGTATTCCTGACACTCTGGGAAGCCGAGGCAGGTGGATCACCTGAGGTCAGGAGTTTGAGACCAGCCTGGCCAACATAGTGCAACCTCGTCTCTACTAAAAATACAAAAAAGGCTGGGCGCAGTGGCTTACTCCTGTAATCCCAGCACTTTGGGAGGCCAAGGCAGGTGGATCACGAGGTCAGGAGTTCAAGAGCAGCCTGACCAACCCCACTGCTACTAAAAATACAAAAATCAGCTGGGGGTGGTGGCGTGCACCTGTAATTTCAGCTACTCAGGAGGTCGAGGCAGGAGAATCACTTGAACCCGGGAGGCGGAGGTTGCAGTGAGCCAAGATCGTGCCACTGCACTCCAGCCTGGGCAACACAGCAAGGCTCTGTCTCAAAAAAAAAAAAAAAAAAAAATTGGCCAGGCGTGGTGGCATGCACCTGTAGTCCCAGCTACTCGGGAGACTGAGGTAAGAGAATTACTTGAACCTGGGAGGCAGAGGTTGCAGTGAGCCAAGATTGTGCCACTGCACTCCAGCCTAAGACTCCATCTCAAAAACAAAACAAAACTAACACACAAAAGAAGTGCTCTGTAAACTAGAAAACACTATGTGATTAATATTTAGTCTTGCAGAAATGTGATAATAAATGCATGGGACTTCTGCATGAGAGCTGCATCAGGCTCAGCATTTATGATAAATGCTCTTGCATGCCCTGAGGCATTGGAACAGCATGGAGGGACAGAGCCAGAAATCAGGAGACCCAAATTCTAGTCTTAGGTTTGCTGATTTCTGGTCACAGTGCCTAAGGCACACTCCAAACATCTGTCACATCAGCTTCCTCACCTGAAAAATGGGACTACACACCCCTTTCTTTGTCTCCCCTACAGGTCTGCATGGGGATTACAGGTGTTTGGCAAGTGGCATGGCAGAACAGAGAATCTAGATTCAGGACCTGGACTTGGATATAAGCTGTCACTTGTTACTTGGCCTTGCACTAAATGACCATTCTCAGGTAAATGGGCAACCACCTGTTTCAGTGTTGTAAGGACTGAGGTAGGTGATCTATGTGAAAGCGTGAGATACGTGCCAGGTATCATGATCAATACATAAGGGTACACAACAAAGAATAAAAGTTCTATATAAATACAAGGCAATATTATTACATAACTCTACCTATTGCATAGTTTTATAAATCATTTTTCCAGGAGTAAAGGCTGAATGGTAACAAAGATATCTTACCTTGGCCAGTTTCTTCATCCTTCTAAAAGTTTTTCATATTCCAATACCTCTGAATTTCTCAAAAAATCAAATTAAGACCTTAGGAATCTTATTTCCACCTCCCCTCTCCCATCACTTTCCCTCTTTGGTCTTCTCAGAATGAGAAGAGCTCCACTATTTCTTCTAAACACCATCCAGAATGTGAGAATGAAACCCAAACTGAGACCCCTGGCTGGACTTGAGCAGAATGACAGCAGAGACAACTGGGGCATGCCTCTAGGCAAGCTTTATTCTTTGACTCCTTCATCCAGGAAGGGGCTGTTAGTTGCATCTCACCCAAATGGAATGCGATGGGAATTGGGGGCTTGAGTTGTTTGGAGAAGGAGCTGTTGATCTTGGCAAATGAATATAGCTGGTGTGTGGTGTCCATCAATCCTTGAGTGCTTGGCCATGGAGACTAGGGAATGGTCAGAACAGACCCAGAGGTCCCCAGATCTTTACAATACCAAGGTTCAGGAGGTATAGACAGTAAGGAAAAAGTCCATTTCCTATTTCTGTCCATTTTCAGTAAAGTTTTTGTTTTGACTGGCTTTTAAAAAATTACCTAGGAAATGGAAAGCTTATAAACATTCGTAAGTGAATTGTTGAACTGCTACCCCAAGTGGTTTCCTTACCCAGTCACCACTTAACCAGAAATATTAGAATACACGGTTCAACCAGAATTCAACCAGGCAGATAACCTGCCTGTTGCTCAAGCAATCATCAGAGTTTTAAAAAACAAAATTAAGCAAAAAAGACCTTTCCCCAAATAGCATCATTACCACTTAGCTTTGTACGACCCATTCCTAGGAAAGCCACATTCCACTTCAGAGAACATGACCGCTTAAGGTACAGTTAAAACAAAGTCCTTGCCTTTAGGTGCTTACTTTTTGTTTTAAATTAGCCTCTGAAATGCTTTTCTTGTGTCTTCTGCTGCATTCCTGAAAACTATAACTTTTAAGGACACAGCCCTCACTTTTATAGAGGAGGAAGAAAACAGCAAAGAGGTGTCTCATTAGGGAGGCAGAAGGTTATGACCAATGCTGGAGGTCTTCCTCTTCCTTACTTGTTATTCA
Source organism: Homo sapiens (assembly GCF_000001405.40). Lineage (NCBI taxonomy): Eukaryota > Metazoa > Chordata > Mammalia > Primates > Hominidae > Homo > Homo sapiens. The sequence continues at coordinate 44,659,940 of NC_000003.12, read as the reverse complement.
ACAAGATGGGTTCTATGGTGTCGCATGAGGTGTGAGTTGGAAATGAAAGCTGCACCACACTTCTCACATTCATAGGGCTTCTCCCCAGTGTGGGTTCTCTGGTGCACGGTGAGGCTCGACCTCTGTCTGAAGGCCTTCCCACACTCATTACATGTGTAAGGTTTTTCTCCATTATGAATTCTCTGATGAATAAGTAGGTATGAGCTACATGTGAAGGCCTTCCCACATTCATTACACACGTAAGGAAGATCTCCACTGTGAATTCTCTGGTGGACAATAAGGCAAGAGAGCTGACTGAAGGCTTTCCCACATTCGCTGCAGTCGTAAGGTTTCTCTGCAGTGTGAATTCTCTGGTGCACAATAAGGTGTGAAAAACAACTAAAGGCTTTCCCACACTCTTTACACTCATATGGCTTCTCACCAGTATGGCTTCGCTGATGTACAATAAGATTTGCACTCTGGGTAAAGGCTTTGCCACAGTCGTTACAGGCAAAGGGCTTCTCCCCAGTGTGGATCCTCTGGTGGACAATGAGGTTTGAGCTCCTAGTAAATGTTTTCCCACATTCATTACATTCATAGCATTTTTCCGTAATGTGGACTTTCTGGTGCCGAGCAAGTTGTGAGCTGTAACTAAAGGCTTTCTCACATTCATTGCACTTAAAAGTTTTTTCTAAGGAGTGGATTTTTTGATGTACAGTCAGATTTGAACTCTGAGTGAAGGCTTTCCCACATTTTGAGCAAACATAAGGTTTCTGTCCAGTGTGGATTCTCTGATGCACAACGAGGTTTGCACTCTGAATGAAGGCCTTCCCACACTCATGACATTCAAAGGGTTTCTCTCCAGTGTGGATTCGCTGATGCACAACGAGGTTTGCACTCTGACTAAATCCTTTCCCACACACGCTACACGTAAAAGGCTTTTGTCCAAGCTGGGTTTTTGGATTTTTAACAGCGCCAGAATTAAGGCTATATTTTCCTCCAGATTTCTTACATTTCTGGTTTTCCTCTTCTTTGAAGCTTTCAGGTAAGTGACAGTCATTCACTATCACTTGTCTGAAATCTTTCTTTTCTCTCTTTATTCTCTGCCTCTTTAACATGTTTCCCTTTTCACAAGCTTCTCCTAACTCAGGTCCTTGAGGATCAGCTTTCTGGATTCTTTCTGATATGATGAGGGGTTTTTCAGCTTCCTCACATATCTCAGTTTTTGGAACCAGTAACTGTAGGTTCTTGGTTTCAGCACCTGAACCAAGAAACAGAAAATACAAATGTTAGCTTTCTCTGGCCTAGAAAAAGAATAGGATCATCAAGTCATAAAACGAAGTATGTGATTTCAGCACCTCCACAAAATGGCTTCATCAAAGAAGAGAATCCCATCACATGTTACCTCTCCTCTCTAGGTTCTTCAGCTGGGGCTTTGCCCTCCCCTCTACCTATGGCAGAACCCACTGACTCGTGGTCTTTCCAGCACTTCCACTTGCCTCCATTAGACACTTAACCCCGCTGCCCGCTGCCTCATGCCAGGGAGGGCCAATCTCCAGACAGTGCTCCTGCTGGCTGTATGATGACTGCCCTTGCAACAAAGACCAGTTATGAAGGACACAAGCCTCTCCCTAGGCTTGCCTTCTTACCTTAGCTACTTAGTGTGGATTTGCTTGCAACCCACCAGTTAATTAGGGTGATTTGCTACCTGTAAACAAAGATCTAGCAACTGAGGTTTCTGTGTCTGAGGATGCTGGATATCAAAGAAAGGATAAGCACGGACAGAAAGGGTAACACTGGCTGCCAAGACAGCCACAGCAGCCAAAACCATATGAAACACTGCGAGGTCCTGCAGCATACAGGTTAAGAACATGGATTCTAGAGCTAGACTGCCTGGTTTCAAATCTCTGCTCTGACACTAACTAGCTCCATGACTTTGGGCTACTTAACTCCTGTGTGCCTCAGTTTCCCAATCTCTAAAACAGGGATACTAATAGTATCTACCTCATAAGGCCATGAGTAGATTAATGGAGTTACTCTATGTCAACTACTCAGATATTGCCTGGAATACAGTCAGTGCTCTGAATGTGTGCAGCAACTTTCAGGCTGACTGATGATGTTGTGAGGGGCCAGAAGGAAAGATGAACCCTTAGGGGAGGGGAGCTGCTATGGTGATAGACAGCTACACTAGGAGAATAAAAAAAGAAACTGTACATGGCAAACTCTTACCCTTGTGTCAGGGGAACAGCTTAGCATTGTGTCAAGGAAAGCTGACCTTGTTGAGTTATGGCATAGCCTGCTCCACAATGCCAGAAAATATCATGAGAACTTCAAAACACCCTGAAGCTTTATGACACTGATTAGTCTCTGGATGCTTTACATTGCTTCAGAACCTAATGGTGTCAAAAAGGGGTCCTGCTATCAGTAACATCATAGTTCTTTATGTTTGTCTCCTCTGCACACTCACTTTCCTTAACCTTGAAATGTGCACCCATGTAATCCAGTTTTGGCACAGTGAACCCTTAAGAAGTGTTTGTCAATTAAACCAAGCTCAAGAAATAAGGCAAGTGAAATAAAGGGTAACAGGAATGGGTGGCAAGCCTGTAGAGGAGGGAGGTATTCCCACTGGTGATGTCAGCTCAGAAATAAGCAGTGGTGCTGTGAGCTTCAGGTTATAACTGCTGCTACTGCGCAGGGGAGAGACTAGCACCCATGAGAGGGAAATATTCTATAGGATGACCATCCAACCAATGATATGAGTGGGTGGGACAAGGATGTTGGGGTGGTACAAAGCAATATTGGGGGCAGGAAAACAGCCTGGTTTGATTGCCTGGTTAAGACTATGGTAATCTGAAATTCTATCACAATCATTCAGACAAGATGAGCAGTGTCAGAGGAAAGAAATGCCCAAGTGCTGGATACAGTAGAGCCCCAGATATGACAAACAATAAATATCTGAAATGCTGGCCAGGCACAGTGGCTGATGCCTGTAACCCCAGCACTTCGGGAGGCTGAGGCAGGCAGATCACCTGAGGTCAGGAGTTTGAGAACGGCCTGGCCAACATGGTGAAACCCCGTCTCTACTAAAAATACAAAATTAGCCAGGTGTGGTGGTGCATGCCTGTAGTCCCAGCTACTTGGGAGGCTGAGACAGGATAATCACTTGAACTTGGGAGGTGGAGGCTGTACTGAGCTGAGACTGCACCACTGCACTTGCACTCCAGCCTGGGCCAGACAAAGCAAGACTCTATCTCAAAGAAAAAAAAAAAAAAAAGCCGGGTGCAGTGGCTCATGTAATCCCACCACTTTGGGAGGCTGAAACGGGTGGATCACCTGAGGTCAGGAGTTCGAGACCAGCCTGGCCAACATGGTGAAACCCCGTCTCTAGGAAAAATACAAAAAAAATAGGTGGGTGTTGTGGCAGGCACCTGTAATCCCAACTGCTCTGGAGGCTGAGGCGTAAGAATCAATTGAACCCAGGAGGCAGAGGTTGCAGTTAGCCGAAATCGTGCCACTGCACTCCAGCCTGGGCAGCAGAGCGAAACTCATCTCAAAAAAAAAAAAAAAATCTGAAATGCTAAACTTTTTCTGGTTATTTCTATTCCTACTGTTCTGCTAGCTCCCTCTTTTTAAAAATGTTCTGTTTTTCTCTCTGTAGTTCACTTGCTTTTATATCTTTTCTTCTGCTGCTGCTTATTTTTTCCTGCTATCTCGACCCCCTACTGACTCTTCATCTCTCTCCTCTCCTGTTTTTTAATTTTTTGTGTGAAATATTTTGAATTTTTCCATATACAGTTTCATGCCTCTTCTGTTTTTCTTTTGCTGACTGCTTGCTTCTCTTTGTGTTCTCTACTGTTACTTTATCACCTACATCCCACTTTATTCTCCTCCCATCCAACGTCTCCTCCCTTGATTCTTTTCACCTCCTCTTTTGCTTTAACTCCCCATCACTGACACGTGGGCCTCCCATACCCCAGCTGGGCATCTCTCCAACAGAAACAGAGCCCATGAAAACTTTAGTTCATAGCTGCACTGTCTCCCTGACTTTCACTCCTACCCTCCTTACTGGGAGATTTAGAATGTTGGGCATGAAGATCAATGGGAACTACTAAACTGATTAGAGCCAATAACGGAAACAATTCCTTCTATCTGAATAATGTCTCATGTCAAAACCATTACAAAACCAGGTGCAACTGTAGCCTAGAAGGTTTTCATGCAAGTGATTCATCACTGAGTAAAGTAAGACCTGGGGTCTTGGCAAGTGCCTAAGAAAAGAGAATTAGGGTCCATCTGGTATAGTCAAGTTCAAATTTCTTTGGGTAAAAAGATTAATCAGCAAATAATCCGGGCGTATAACCTTGGCTTATTTGAAATGGTATTTTTCCTTTTTTTAAAAAACATGTAGGATTACTGTAGCTCTAGAGAAATTAAATTAAGTACAGAAATAATGAAAAACTAAAACAAAAACTAATTTGTGACCAACTAGAACACAGGCATAGCCATAGTTTTTAAATCAATACTCTTCTTTCACTCTTTTTTTTTTTTTAAAGATAGCTGAAATGCTACATAAGCCTGCCACCTTAGCTGGTGACTGTATTCTGAGATAAGAAGGGTAATTTGATTTACTAAATTTATAAGTCCAATTCATTAGATTTATAACAGCTGTGTTTATCAAGATTTTATTTACAAGATTTGTAAGTCTGCCCAGTTAGGTGTTTGGAATGTTTTAAAGAACTAAAGATATCAAATTTGTAATTATGTTTTATATAAAGAAATTTGATAAGCAGGTAGAATTAAATGTTTAAAATTTTTAATTAATTTATTTTTTTAGACAGAGTCTTGCTCTATTGCCCAGGCTGGAGTGCAGTGGTGCAATCTTGGCTCACTGCAACCTCTGTCTCCCGGGTTCAAGCGATTCTCCTGCTTCAGCTTCCCAAGTAGCTGGGACTATAGGCACGCACCACCATGCCTGGCTAATTTTTGAATTTTTAGTAGAGACAGGGTTTCACCATGTTGGCCAGGCTGGTCTCGAACTCCTGATATCAGGTGATTCACCCGCCTCCGCCTCCCAAAGTGCTAGGATTACAGGCTTGAGCCACTGCGCCCGGCCAAAATGTTTAAAAAATTTAATCTGTAAAATTTGAAGCTTAACTGAACATAAGTTAAAGAAAAAATACAAATGTTCTCACTTTTATACAAATATTTCTAGATGTATGGATGAAGTAAAAAGTTATGCTTAATGGCTTAAAAATTGGTTTTTAAATGAATAAACTTTAATAAATTCAACATTAATTAAAATATGAAAACTACAGTTAAAACTTGCTCAGACATTAAAAACCCAGTAACACATCACAATTTCCAAAGCACTTTCATGTATATTATACAATTTCATCATGAAGATGAAACTGTTCTCCTTCAGCTAAAAAAAGAGCAAGGTTGTGTCTTATTCATTTCTGTATCTCCAGCACCTATCACGCTGCCTGACACATAGGAAGGAGGCCGCCAACAAATCCTGTACTTAATGAACACACCCAATTTGTAGAACAGGAAATGGAGGTCCAGAGAGAGAAGGGACTTACTCAAGGTCACAGAGTTATTACAGGCAGGGCAGCAACCCCACTCAGATATCTCTCACACATAGAGCTCAGTGTTCCCACCATCGCCTGCTGACATCGCCATGGAAATAGTGTTGGCAGTGTTCCTGCCATCGCCATGGAAATAGCTGGCAGCACAAAATACTAAGTCTTGGGTATGAACATGGTCTTGAGGTAAGAGGCAAAGTAGGAAAAGGGAGCCCATTCCTGATGAGGTGCAGCTGTTGGGGTTAAGACTATGAATGGCTGATAAAGCTCAGAGACAGAAAATAAGTGACATGCACGCGAATGCACCAGAGAGAATGGAACACAAAGCAGAAAGTGGGGAACAGAAGCTGCTAAGAGTTTGGGAATAATTAAATATGAGACAAGAAAATCTAGGTGGAGATCCTTGTCTTCCCCATAGCACTGGTTTAAGAAAGTGACTTGGTCCCCAGATGCCTGAGGAACTGGTTAGGGAGGAGAGTGGGTTCAAAATATTCAATATCTGGCAGACTCATAAAAAGAATAGGGCTTGGCAATCAGCCAGTAAGTGCTTTGAAACACAGGACTCATGGCTACTGCATTCTTGACCCTCACTTATATGTCACTCCTCCACAGGCAAGCTTCTGCCACTGCCAGTGAGATCTTTAGAACATACTACCCTTTCTCTAGTCCTAGCTTAGAGAGAACAAGTTGATAAGCCATCAGTACCCTTCACGAAGACCTAGTTTTGAACATCATTATGGTTAACACAGCTGCTCAAAATCCTCTATAATTTGCACAAAGATCTATGAAAACAGAACATCTCCAGGGCATTTGCTCAAAATCACCACAAAAGTTGACTGTTCCTACCTCGGCTAGCATCTCTTGCAGGCTCACCAACCTATGCTAACTACAAAGCGTATAAAAAGGACATGTGCCTACATGTGTGCACAGAGATGAAACTCATTGAACAATAAATATCACTAAAAAGTGAGTTTGGAATTCACCTATTGTATGGTAAATACACCTGATGGCAACAACTTAAGCATACCCTGAGAATGATCCTGTATGGCAGACACACCTGAATATAGTTTGGAGTTCCAAGCAAAGGAATCCAGAAGTGGCCAACCTGGAGATCCATTCCTTATCCATTCCCCACCCCTTTCAGTGGAATGCGGGCCTTAAAGGGGATTGAGGCCCCTTGTTTTGGGTTAAATTAAGGCTGCCAGGTGGAGGTCATTAGGGAGAGGGTGTTAAGTGAAAATGCGACATAAACCGCATGCCTTTTGCAAGCAGTTGCAGCTCTCCTGTCCAGCCTGTGCCACTGGGCCATGTGGTTCTCCCGTGCCCAGTCCACTGCCTCTAGACTGTCTACCCTGTACATAAACACCTAGTAAAATTCTATGTTGTTTGCTGGCTCTGGGTCTCTTCTTCAGCCTCTTGAACCTGGTACCATATTGGTGTTGATCAGGTTTCAGCACAACACCTATGTTTGTCTAGTGTCTTGAGCCTGTGTGCAAAATAAGCCACTTCCCATGACAAATGCACAGGCATTTCAGCATTCCTCTTTCCAGCTTTCCTGGACACTTTCAATACCTCAGTACTCTGTTGGTCAACCTAGGAGACTGGATGCCCACCAGTCTCTGAAAAGATTTTGAGAAACCCCAATGGTCAGATTCAGAATCAGGGAACTGAACCATACCTAGAAAGTTCATGGTCCCATGAGTCTCCAGTATCTCACTCTTGGCCAGAGTCCCTGGTAATGAGTAGCTGCCAAGGGTTGAAGCAGCAGGTGCCTCCTGAGTTGCTTTCAGGACTACCGCCATATCCCAGGATATGTTCTGACCCTAGAGACAAGCAGGCACATGTTTAAGAGGGAACTGGTGGTAGGGGGTAGTGTGGTTACAATTTTGAGAATGAGAACATAATTATCTATTCCTGGAGGCCATAGAACAATTTTTAAAAACAGAAAAGGAAGCCAGAGTCTCCTCCAACCCCCAGGGTGAGTTGGGCAGAGAAACAAGCTAGCTACTTTCTTCCTTATTACTTTGATTGCACCTCACTGCTCACTCCAGAATCTAAACCTAGCTTACCAGTGAGTACATGATAAGAGGAGAGAGCATATGGGAAGAATTTTCAGAGTGAACTTTTGTGGGATCTAAAGATCAAAGCAGCAAGGTTTTGATGATATTATTACAGAAAGGCTCTGGGGGAACCTCTGCCCTCATTTGACTAGTAATGGTAAGGGGTGTGTTTGAAACATTAAGGACAGCACAGTGTACAGCCTCATGAATCAAAGTGTGGTGCAAAGATCAGCAGCAGTATCTGCATCACCTGGAAGCTTGCAAAACAAACAAACAAAGAACACAGAATCTCAGACCACCCCCAGACATCCTCAATCAGAATCTGAACTTTAACTGTTTTAACAAGAACCCCTAGGTGATTCCTATGCACATTAAAGTTTTAGAAGCTCTGGTTAGCATTGTCAAAACCTGACTGAAATTACCTGAAGAGTTTTAAAAAAACATGGATACCCAGGTCCCACCCTTAGATTCTTTTTTTTTTTTTTTTGAGGCAGGGTCTCACTCTATTGCCCAGGCTAGAGTGCAGTGGCATGAATTCGGCTCACTGCAACCTATGCCTCCAAGGCTCAATCAATCCTCCCACCTCAGCCTCCCAAGTAGCTGAGACTACAGGCACGTGCCACCATGCCAAGCTAATTTTTTGTATTTCGGCATTGCAAAACACGAGGTGTGCAATGTTGCTCAGGCTGGTCTTGAACTCCTGACCTCAAGTGATCCTCCCGCCTTGGCCTCCAAAGTGCTGGGATTACAGGTGTGAGCCACTGTGCCTGGACCACGGATTCTGATTTAATAGGAATAGAATACAGTATGGACATCAAGATTTTATAAAAAGCTCTCCAGGTTCTGTGTAGCAAAATTTGAGAACCACTGGTTTACAGAAAGTACTGAATGTCACATCAATCAGAAGGGAATGTTTCTATCCTATTACAAAAGACTGGAAGCTAGAATTGTACCCAAGAAATAAGACTCCAGGTGTGGAAGCAGAGGGGCAGAGTCCCCTCTTAAACTACTTGAGGTCTTCAAGTATCTCCTCCCCTCTTCCTCTCAGGCCCCCGTTTACCTTTTCTTCCTCTTCTGATCCATCAAGGCCTGTCTGAAGACCCTGCACTGGGGCCCAGACTTTGATGTTCTCGGAGTGCACTTGTTGGCTGGATGCCTGACCTGGGAAGTTTTCTTCTTCTTCCTCCTCCTTTTTCACCTTCACTGGGCCCCATGGGGCTAGGGCCATGGCTTCTCTCAATTCTGCAGTCATCTTCTCTGCTCAGCAGGGGAACTCCTATAGCTGGGCGCTGCCCTGCAGAGGTCAAACCCCATCCAAGCTTTATGTTTCAAAAGCTTCTTCTTGAGTTTCTTCCCAGGGCCAAGATGAGTACTGCCTACTGAGAAATCAGAAAACACTGTTAGCACCAAGGAGAGATTTGCTGGATGCCACTTAGCAAATTTGCCGGATGCCACACCGGCAAATTTCACCAGCGCCTGGCCAGGGGCCAATGTAGGACATGGAATCCTCTATTCCTCCCTCATAGGATGAAGGGGTTGGACTATAAATATGTAATATCTTCCCATAATAACCACATTGCAAACAGCTTTATATAATGTTTATTGATTTTTTCCTGATTAAAAGTTAACTTACTTTTATTGTAAAAACTTAAAAGCAGCAAATGATTAAGAAAAATCATCTCGGTCTACCTCCAAAGAGATAACCACTATACATTTTAAGATTTAAGATATTTCTTTCAAAGGAAAATCTCCAACCATACTACTAATAATTATGATTTTACAAATTCTTGTTTTTGACTTTGGGGATACATATTTTCACAATTATCATCATAGCATTTTTTAAAAAAGGATTTTACAACAAAAAGATTTTTTATTGCCAAGGATACAAAATAATGTGAACAAAAGGATCCCAAGAAAAAGACTGGGAGTCTTTATACCAACGTGTTAGCAGTGGGTAGTTAACTCTGGATGGTGTAATTACAGGTAGTTTTAAGGTTCTTTTCATTTTTTTTGTTTGATTTTTACATTTTCCATAGCTTCCAAATGTCCTGTGAGATAAAATATTACACTTAAGATTTAAAAAAAGATTACTTTCATGTTGCCATTCTTCATGCTTATTTTAAATGCTACACAATAACCTATGGTGTTGATAAATCTTCACTCTCATTGAAAAAGGATCAAGTAATACAGAAATATATAGAATTAAATATATAACCTACACACACTACACACACACACACACACACACACAAAGTACTTATCAGTTTAGATGGGAGTCCTAACCCATTTTCTCTGCATTTACATACTTATATGTTCACCTTCACACATATTGCTTATTTTTCAAAAACATACTTTAGATCATCACAGTTATATACTGTTCAGCAACCTGCATTGTTTTTTAACTCAATTTCCGTATTTCACAATAGTCTTAACAATCTTTCAATACAACACATATAGAACTACCTCATTCTGGCATAGTATTCTAAATTGTGGCTATATTATCATTTACTTAATCATATTCTATTTATGAACCATTTATTTAGTAAAAGTTTATATTTCCATTTTATTAATATTTAAAAGTTTTTCTTTGTAAATATTTTTTTTTTGCTGAATTATTCCTTTAGAATAATCAGAGAATTACTGGTTCAAGGATTTGCTGGTTGATATGTACTGTCAAATTGCTTTCCAAAAGCACCATGCCAATTCACACCCCCACTAATTGACAGTAACCCTTTATCACAGCTAAGCCAGCAGGGTTTTTGTTTTTAACCTGTGAGCAAAATAACCTTACTAGTTTGATTGCTTATGAAGAGATTGAAATTTTTCTTTCTAACCCCCTTTGAATGTTTTATTGGAAAAGGGTGCGAAATCTTATTCAATCCCCTGTTGCTGCTATTGAAGTGATCATACTCTTTTCCCCATGTCAACTTACTGGCCACTTACTGTATACACTGAATTTATTAAGTAATGCAATACTTTCATTCCTGTGACAAACCTTAATTCTGGAGGACTATTCTTTCCATCACTATCCGAATTCAATCTGGTATGAAGGTCCTTAAGACTAGTTCCACCTTGTGTATAAGACTGCCTACAGTGAGTACTCTCATCAGACTTCTGATCAGATTCTGACGGACCTCCGGTCCCAGACGGCACAGGGCCCTCTATCAAAGGCTCCCTTTCAACGTCCTTTCTCTATTTCCAAACGTGGCAATCCATTCTTTCCACGTATAGGCTCCTCGCGGCCCTGTCCCTGGGACCTATCTGGCCCCTTGGCCGGTCCGTGTGCATCCTCTCCCGGACCAGGCCCCAGGTGGGCAGCAGCCGGGATTCCGAGGCGGTGGGGAACTCACTGCCCCCCGCACCCCGACAGACAAGGCTGGTGTCCCCGGGGAAAGGACGCAGGGGCCGCTCCTAGGGCCATGGCCCCTGGGAGAGCCCCTTTTTCTCCCTCGACGTTCGTGCCCACCCCCTCCGACCCCACTCACTGTGCGCAGCTGAGAAGCCCGACCTGAGTTCACTGGCTCTGCAGCAGGAGGCTGGCTGACCGGTACTTCAGCTTCTACCGGCACGAGAACAATGACCGGACAGGAAGTGCCTCGGGATGGGCTTCCGGCTCCCCAAGTCGCCAAGCCGGCCTCTCTAGGAACCTCGGAGGTGCTTTCCTCTCGATGGGTGTCCAATGTCGCCCCAGACCAGGGATGGGGCAGAAGCGCTTAGGAGGATTGTGCTGTTGGAAGCTCTAAGTGAGCCTCAGGGAGGGGCGCATCCCAAGCAGGGATGAGACACTCAGGCGAGGCGCGCACCCAAGAGCCTGAAGCTACACAGCATTAATCTGTAGAAAGCCCTGATAATTTCCCCTCAAATGTTTTATTTTGAAAATATCAGAGTACAGAAGAGTTGAAAGTATGGCACATTGAATACCCGTATTTTCCATGTGGACTCAACAATGAACATTTTGCTATGTTTGCCTGATCTCTCAATACATATTTAAAATCATTTTTTTGAAAGTTGTAAACATCAGAACACTTCATTCCAAATACTTCAACATGCATCCCTTAAGATTAAGAATATTCTTCAAACTACCACCACCGTCACAGGTAAGAAAATCAACAAAAATTCCCTAATACCATCTAATAACCAGTCATATTCAAATTTCCCAACTGTCCTAAAACATGTATTTTATAACTTTTTTTCAAATCAGTTTCACACACTTTAGTTGGTTACAGCTCTTTAGTTTTGGGTTTTCGTTGCCATTGTTGGTTTTTACTTTTTATTTTGAAATGATAGAATCACAGGAAGTTGCAAAGATAGCACCCTTCACCCACTTTCCCCTCATGGTTACATCTTACATAAAATGAAAAAGGAAATCAACATTGGTACAGTATGTGTGTATAGGTATAGCACCTATAGATTTGTGTAACCACCACTGCAATCAAGATACACAAGTGTTCCATCACCACAAAGACCTTTCTGGTGCTACCTTTTAATAGTTCCATCCAACCCTCTCCCCATTTTTCCTCCCACCATCCCTAACCTTTGGCAACCATTAATCCATTTTTCATCTCTATAGTTTTATCATTTTGAGAATGTTATATGAATATTTTCATACAGAATATGGCCTTTTGTGATTATTTTCACTCAGCATTAATTCCCTTGAAATTTATTTGAGTTGTTATGGATATCAATAAGTCAATTTTATTGCAGAGTAACAAGTATTCCATGGTAATACATAAACCACAATTTGTTTTAACCACCTAAGGAAGGATATATGGGTTGCCTACAGGTTTCGACCATTACAAATAAAGCTGCTATGAACATTCGTATACAGGTTTTTGTGTGAACGCAAGTTTTCATTTCTCTGGGATAAATGCTCAGAAGTGCAATTCCTGAAGCATGACATATACATGTGTGGTTTTACAAGAAACTGCCAAATTATATTCCAGAGTGGCTGTACCATTTTACATTCCCAGCAATGTATGAGATCCTGTTTCTCTTCATCCTTGCCAGCAGTTACCACCATTAAAAAAAAAAAGTTAAGCTATTCTGATAGGTGATATCTCACGATTTTACTCTGCATTTCCCTCATGCCTAATGATGTTGAACATCTTTTCATTTGCTTATTTGCTATCTATACTTCAGTGAAATGTCTGTCTTTTGCTTATTTTCTAATTGTATTTACTTATTACTGTTAAATTTGGAAAGTTCTTTATGTAGTTTACATACAAATCCCTTGTTGGATATGATTTGCAAATATTTTTTCCCAACCTGTAATATCATCTTTGTAAAAAGGTCTCTTACAGGGTAAATTATCTTAATTTTGATGAAGTCCAATTTAACATTTTTTTTCCTTCTAAGGAGCATGCTTTTGAGTCATCTGAGCCTTCTTAGCTCAGTCCTAGGTCCTGAAGTTGTTGGTTTACTGCCTATGGATATCCAATTACTCCAACAGTATTTGCTGAAAAGGCGATCCCTCCTCCATTGAATTGCTTTTGCCCCTGTCAAAAATCAATTGGCCATTTATGTGAGTCTATTTCTGGTTCTTAGTACCTAACGGCTCTCTAGTATTATCTTTTAAAAACAAGCCTCCTCATCCATGTTTTATACCTTTCATATCGAAATTTTCATACATACACAAAAGCAGAGAATGGTATAATAAACTCACAGCAGACTCAAGACAGCTTGAACAATTTTCACTCCCCTCTCTTTTTCATCATAATAATATTTTGAAGAATCCAGGGCAGCTTTCTTATGCAATATTCCACGTTCTGGATGTGTCTGTTTCTCGTGGTGTCTTTTATTTGTTCCTCTGCCTCCTGTATTTCCTGTAACCTGGCAATGAGGTCCAAGAAGCTTGATTAAATTCAGGTTGAACATTTTTCAGCTTATTACATCACAGAAGGTGGCACATTATGTGGGCTGTCTCAATCTAAGCAATGTGACATTTTGTTACTCGGTGAAGAGGTAAATCACAGCATTCTCCATTGTTAAAGTACATATGTCCTTTGTAATTATTATATAAGCTGGGATGATTCAACAACCTGGATGAAACATTTTTATATTCATTATCTCATAAGAACTTTGTGAGGTAGATATTCTTCCTCCTGTTTAACAGATGAGGAATTCAAGGCTCCAAGAACTGAAGAGATTTTTTCTGAGGCAGATGGCAAAACCTGAACCACATCCAGGTCTTAAGACTTTAAGCCTTAGGCCCCTTCCAGTTTTCACTCTTGGCTACCTTTCACTCTAATGAGGAACCAGCCCCCAAGAAACTGTGGGGTTGAATTAATAACATTTATGATAATCAACACACCACTTTGACATTATTAAAAAACACAATCTTCATATTCAGGTATTATTCATAGTCCAGCTACAGAAACAGAACTTTGAGAATTACAACATAAAAATTACCAACTTAAGAATATAGACTGAGTTAAACCCACAAATGTACTCAAGGGCACAGAATGGTTCACAGGGGGTAATGGGCACTGACTGCCCACAAGTGGATTCTGCACTGGCTTAATCAGTGAAGAGCTTGGCTCCATGTGAAAAATTTATGTCCCAGTAAATTTAGTGCTGGGACAGAATGTTGTTTCATTAGTAACAGGCTATCATTTGACAGCAATGATGAAATATTGATTAGAATTCACAATGACTGTGGCAGGGATCATCAGCTCAACTGCGGGTCAAGGATTTTTTTCCCTCTGAATAGGGAAAGCAGGGTACCACTGCCCTTCCATTTTGACACTCTCCATCTGTTAAGTTTCAAATTCAAAAGCTGGGAAATAAATTGTTTTCCTTGGCATCACTGTTAATGGCTGGCCATAACATTTTTTTCCATATACATAAACTAGATATATAATCTAGTAACTCCCTCAGATATTTTTAAAGGTAAATTTAACAAAATTATTCTTAGAACACTAAATTCCAGTTAGCTATTCACCATACTTCCTCTTATGAAAATGAGTATCTTTTAGGTTCCTGGAATCCCCCTCATTCTAATATTGACTTAATACACAAACTTACATGATCCCATGTTCTAAACTTTTACCATAACCTCTTTTATCCAACTTTATTGACAACTGAATGATTTCAAAAAGTACTTTCACAAAGATCCTTTCACTTAACCCTCACAACAACCCTGTGAGGTAGGTATCATGTCAACATTTGACTGACAGGAAACTAAAGCTTTAGAGGCTGACTTAATAACATCACATGGCCATTAAGGGAAAGCCAGGAATCAAAGGTAGGTCTTCTGATTCCAAATCCAGTGCTCTTTTAGGTTGTCCTCATCAGCAGACTCTTGTCCGCCCAACTCCACACCTGACATTCTGGATCATACTGTCTGTTCAGGTTTTCCACAGCAGTGACACTATCTTTAAAATGCATACTATACACATTTTAAAAAACAATGTCCACTTTTTATTATTAAATTTTTAGTTTTATTAATAAATTTATTTTTATTTACTAAAGACGGGTCTCCCCGTGTTACCCAGGCTTGTCTCGAACTCCTGGGCTCAAGGGATCTTCCCACCTCGGCCTCCCAAAGTCCTGGGACTACAGGAGTGAGCCACTGCACCCAGCCCATGTCTACTTTTTATTGTTGCTCTCATTTACAACTATGTTATTAGATTTGGATTATGTTTTTGTAGACTTGAAAGTTGGGATGAACTTTATTTTTTCAGACAAGAGTTTCGCTCTTGTTGCCCAGGCTGGAGTGCAATGGCGCGATCCTGGCTCACTGCAACCTCCGCCCTCCCAGGTTCAAGCGACTCTCCTGTCTCAGCCTCCTGAGTAGCTGGGATTACCGGTGTGTGCCCCCATGCCCGGATAATTTTTGTATTTTAGTAGAGATGGGGTTTCACCATGTTGGTCAGGCTGGTCTCAAAATCCTGACCTCAGGTGATCCACTCGCTTCGGCCTCTCAAAGTGCTGGGATTACAGGCATGAGCCACCAAGCCCGGCCTATTAACTTTCTTCTATATGCTACTCATTTGTCTAGTAAAGAGTAAATAATAAACTTTTTCCTTAGAAGAAATATATATCATTTGTCCAACAGTTACTTAAGTAGGCAGGGATTCTATTCCATTTTACATATGACACTAGATTTTCTGAATCTCAATCTTGGACTCATTGGTGTTTTGTAGCCAAGAGAATTCCTCAATGGTATGGATTTTCTGTTGAAGATGAAGGTTGGAAGTCTGAGAGAATTCTTTTTCAGACACATCACATTCACAAGGTTTTTCATCTGTGTGGATTTTCTGATGTACAGTAAGGTTTTTTCTTTGCCTAAAAACTTTACTACAATCATTACACCCATAGGGTTTCTCCCCTGTGTGAATTCTCTGGTGGCCAACTAAATTCCTCTTAGAAGTAAAGGATTTCCTACACTTGTCACACTCATAAGGTTTTTCCCCAGTGTGCATTCTCTGATGTACAACAAGGTTTTTATTCTGACTAAAGTCTTTTCCACACTCATTACATTTATAAGGTTTCTCTCCAGTATGGATTCTTTGATGTACCATAAGATTTCTACTAGAGGTAAGGACTTTCCTACATACATGACATTCGTAGGTTTTTTCTCCACTGTGAATTCTTTGATGTTCAATCAGGTTTCTGTTGTACGTAAAACCTTTTCCACACTCACTACACGCATAGGGCTTCTCACCAGTATGGATCCTCTGATGGGCTATAAGGTTTGAGCGGTAACTGAAGACCTTCCCACAGTCATTGCATTTATAAGATTTTTCCCTCGTGTGAATTCTCTGATGTCCAATGAGGCTTTTCTTCAGAATGAAGCATTTGCCACACTCATCACACTCATAGGGTTTCTCACCACTGTGGATTCTCTTATGCTCAATGAGGTTTCTGTTTGAACTGAAAGCTCTTCCACACTCACTGCATTCAAAGGGTTTTTCTCCGGTGTGGATTCTCCGATGTACAAGCAGGCTTGAATTGTAACTGAAAGCCTTCCCACAATCCTCACATTTGTAGGCTTTCTCTTGTGTATGGAGTTTCTGATGGACCATAAAACTTTTGCTCATAATAAAGGTTTTCCCACACTCTCGACATTCATATGGCTTCTCCCCATTGTGGAGTCTCTCATGGTCAATGAGGTTTCTGTTTGAACCGAAGACCTTACCACAATCTTTACATTCATAGAGATTCTCTCCAGTGTGGAACCTTTGATGTAAAATGAGGCTCTTCTTCAGAATAAAAACTTTCCCACATTCATTACATTCATAGGGCTTCTCCCCATTGTGGAGTCTCTGGTGGTCAAAAAGGTAAGCACTTTGAGTAAAGGCTTTCCCACATTCAGTGCATTTGTAAGGTTTCTCTCTGCTGTGCATCCTCTTATGGTCAATGAAGTTTGACTTAGAACTGAAAATCTTCCCACACTTTTTACAACCAAAGGTTTTCTTTTCTGTGTGGACTCTCTGATGTAAGAGGAGGCTTTTGCTTCGAATGAAAACTTTTCCACATTCTTTACACTTGTAAGGGTTCTCTGCACTGTGGAGTCGCTGATGGTCAATAAGATAAGTGGTCTGAGCAAAGGTCTTTCCACATTCATCACATTTATAGGGTTTTTCCCCAGAGTGGATTCTCTGGTGCAGAATGAGGCTCTTCTTCAGAATGAAAGCTTTCTGACACTTATTACATTTATAAGGTTCTTCCCCTTTGTGGAGCCTCTGATGGTCAATGAGGTAAGCATTCTGAGAGAAGACTTTCCCACATTCATTACACTTATAAGGTCTCTCCCCTGAATGGCGCCTTAGATGTATAATTAGGCCTGAGTGCCTATAGAAGCCCTTTCCACACTCCTTACACTTATAAGGTTTCTCCCCAGTGTGGATCCTCTGATGGTTTAGAAGGTAAGCACTTTGAGAAAATGCTTTCCCACATTCATTACATTTATAAGGTTTCTCCCCTGAATGGTTCCGTAAATGCATTAGAAGGCTCGAACGCTGAATAAAGCCTTTTCCACATTCCTTACATTTATGAGGTTTCTCACCAGTGTGGATTCTCCGATGGTTTATAAGATGGGAGATTTTATTAAAATGTTTACAACACATATCACATTTATAAAACTTCTTTCCTTCAGTACCTATTAAACTTTCAGAAATAGCTGAACCGAAAGTCAAGCTGTCTCCTAATTCCTTCCACTTTTGGCCTTGTTTCTCTGGTGGAGTCCTTTTCTTCTTGTCTCGTTCACAAAGGGAAACTTTCTTCACTGTATCTGCCCTTTCATCTGTTTCATTTCCCCACTGACTTGCCAAAACTTGCCATTCACACTCTTCTTCAAAATCAAGGACCTGGGGAACACTTCCTTGAAGTCTTTTTGATGTTCCTTTATGAGAGTCTGCTCTTTGAGAACTACTTGGCTTTGATGTCACCTCCTCATTCTCGGTCATGGTCTCCCATTCTGGTAAAAGGAATTAAAAATGCAAATGTTACCACGTCCCTGTGTTTGGAAGAACAGGATCTTCAAATGACTTTAAAACATTCTAGGAAGG
Source organism: Homo sapiens (assembly GCF_000001405.40). Taxonomy (NCBI): domain Eukaryota; kingdom Metazoa; phylum Chordata; class Mammalia; order Primates; family Hominidae; genus Homo; species Homo sapiens. The sequence continues at coordinate 44,641,808 of NC_000003.12, read as the reverse complement.
CACACTTTAATATGCATACAAAAAGGAGAAACTTTTCATTAAAGGAAGGTACAAAGAATAATGCTACACTGACAAGATGTTGTAAATGGATTAACATACAACTCAGGTTGAGACATTTTTAAGTGCTTTGTCTTCAGGAAGCAGATAGAAAAATACAAATAATGCTGAGAAAACAGAAGCAAGGAAAACCAGAGAGAAAACACAGGATCTTATGGAGGTGGTTCACATCTAAGGAACTTGGATAGAAGAGCAAGAACCATTGGATTAGAAGTAACTTTCTTTATTATTTTCTTCATGTTAGAAGGATGGAAACTTTAAGGGAAGGAAAATATATGTAAGGACTCTGAAAGGCAATTTTTAATTTTTGAAAAGTCAAAGGCATGAATACTTTTTAACTGGTTGAAAGCAATTAACCAACAGAAAAGAAATCCATTGAAAAGCAACTTAATTCTTAGAATTCATATAACTCCTACTCCGTTTAAAATTAAGAAATGGAAATTTTAAAATTCATTTTAAATAGTCAGGTCTGTTATGAACTCCCTTAATTACACATAAAAGGTAAGAGAAGAAATACAGAAAAGAAAAGGGAAAATAGAATAAAAGTATGAAAACATCTGTAAAATGATGAGGCTAAACTAATATCCAAGGTTCCTATCTACTCCAATATTCTCAAATATTTTAAAGTATGAACAGTATGAAAATGTTTTGGAAGTTTACTTTCAAACTACCCAAGTGTGAGAGAAATTATGAGCCAGTTCCCCCAAACTGTCTAATAAGTAAAGTTATGTGAATAGCAGTAACATCATCTTCTCTTTGAATATAACAATACTTTTCTTCTATCTAAACAGAGAGAGAAGACAAGAGTGCAGCCATTTTATTTCATTATACATTTCTTTAAGTTTATGAAAGGATGAGGATGGCAAATATCCAACAAATATTAACTTGAACTACAGACATTCTTAGGTCAGGCCCTCATATCTCATCTCAACTGCCCTTCTCTCTAGGACTCAGGCAGGACTGCCAGTCACACTACCCAACCACCTGGCTGCAGGGATGGGTATGTGTCTTAAGCCTATCTAATGCTGGTACTTCAGTTTCCTTATTCACAGTGAGGTTTCAAACATAAGGAGAGGCCGGGCATGGTGGCTCATGCCTGTAATTCCAGCACTCTGGGAGGCTGAGGAGGGCGGATCACTTGAGGTCAGGACTTTGAGACCAGCCTGGCCAACATGGTGAAACCCTGTCTCTACCAAAAATACAAAAATTAGCTGGGCATGGTGGTGCACACCTGTAATTCCAGCTACTCAGGAGGCTGAGGCAGGAGAATCACTTGAACCAGGGAGGTAGAGGTTGCAGTGAGCCGAGATCACACCACTGCATTCCAGCCTGGGTGACAGAGCAAGACTCCATCTCAAAACAAAACAAGAACAAAACAAACAAAAAACAAAGAGAATGCTGATGGAGAGGAGGGCTGCTTCTATATAATGAAACATTTCTATATAAGGAAATGAAGTGTTACAAGTAGTTAAACTGAGATGGAAAATGGTTAAGAAATTAGCAACTCTTGTATCAGTAGCTAATTAGCTGGTTAAACTATTTAATATTTTTAGCTTAGGAATCAGACTATATATGGGCCTCTTGAGCTTTTTAAGACTTTGTAGAAAAATGTCAGAATGACAGAGGGAGCTGGTTACTTTCCATAACCTTTGGTGAATGAAGCCTGCAAGAAAGAGACACAGGCTTTCCTACCACTGACACCCCCCGCCTTTCATCTGCCCTAATCCATGCCTATCTTCTGTCAATGATCTTTCCGATAGGTAAATTTGATCCTGTCACTTACCTGCACAAAACACCTAACTCTTCATTGCCTACAGGACAAAGCAGAAATAACCAGTGGAGTCAAAGGGGTATCTTCACCCACTGCCTGTTTTTCTGGTATCAACTATCATCAGTATCTCTTATGCCCCTAGACTCTAGCCACACTGAACTACATGCAGCTGCCCAAACATGTCATTTCTTGCCTATCACTGTCCGTGTCCTTTCCTCTTCCTGAATTGCTCTTCTTCTTTCCAACTCACTACCTAAGCCCGTACCTACACCCTTTAAAACTAAGTTCTAAAGTCACTCTCTGGACATTAACATTGATCTTAAAAAAATAAAAAGGAGTATAAATGATACTATCAATGATACTGTGCCAATAAATTAAGACAACTTAGATGAAATAGGCAAATTCCTAGAAAGGCACAAATTACTAAAACTGACTCAAGAAAAAAAATGGAAAATCTGAGTAGATCTACAACAGGGAAAGAAATTGAATCAATAATTAAAAAAAAAAAAAATTACCCCCACCCCCTGCCTGCACACAAAAAGCCCAGGCCCAGGCTGCTTCACTGGCAAATTCTACCAAACCTTAAAAGAATACCATTTCTTCACAAATTCTTCCAATAAACAGAAACATTTCCCAACTAATTCTATGAAGCCAGTGTTGCCCTGATAGCAAAACCAGACATAACCATCACAAAAAAGAAAACTATAGATAAATATAGCTTATGAATACAAACATAAAAATCCTCAACAAAATGCTAACTAACCAAATCTAGCAGGACATAAAAAGAATTATACACCATGACCAGGTGAGATTTATCACAGGAAAATAATGTTGGTATAACACTAGGAAACCAATTGATGTAATACACCATATCAACGAAATGAAAAACAAAAACCACATCATCATGACAATAGATAAAACACTCCATGGTGATAAAAACACTCAACAAAGTAGGAATAGAATTTCTGGCCAGGCACAGTGGCTCATGCCTGTAATCCCAGTGCTTTGGCAAGCCAAGGTAGGTGGATTGCTTGAGGCCAAGAGTTTGAGACCAGCTTGGGGAACATGGTGAGACACTGTCTTTACAGAAAAAAATAAAATTAAAATAAAAACAAATAATTAGCTTGGTGTGTGCCTGTGGTCCTAGATATGTGGGAGGCTGAGATAACAGGATTAGGAGGATTACTTCAGCCCAGGAAGTTGAGGATGTAGTGAGCCGTGATCACGCCACTGCACTCTAGTCTGGGCAACAGAGTAAGACACTGTTCAAAAAAATTAAAATAAATTATATTTCATGGTGAAAGACTGAATGTGTTCTCTCTAAGGACAAGAACAAGAAAAGGCTGTCTGCTCTTGCCACTTCTAGTCAACATGTACTGGAGGTTCTAGCCAGAGCAATTAGGCAAGAGAAAGAAATAAAAGGCATCCAGATTGTAAAGGAAGAAGTAAAATTATCTCTATTTGCAGATGACAAAATCTTGCATATAGACAATCCTTGGAAATCACTAAAAAGCTATTAAAACTAATATATAAATACAGCAAGATTGCAGGATACAAGCTCAACATATAAAAATCAGCCTGACATAGTGGCACACACCTGTAGTCAAAGCTATTCAGTAGATTTAGGCTGAGGACTGCTTGAGCCCAGGAGCTCAAGGTCAGCCTGAGAAACGTATAAAACCCCATCGCATTAAAAAAAAAAAGTGGTATTTCTATGCATTAGTATTAAATAATCCACAAAGAAAATTAATAAAACATTTATAATAGTCTCAAACAATAAGATTAGGATAAATTTAACAAAAGAAGTGAAAAACTTATATTCTTATATTCTGAAAACTACAAAACATTACTGAAAGAAGCTGAAGGCCTAAATAAATGGAAAGAAACCTCATGTTCAAAGATTAAAAGATTTAACATTGATAAATGGCAGTACTCCTCAAATTGATCTACAGATTCATTGCAATCCCTACTAAAATCTCAGCTTGCTTCTTCAAAGATATTGACCAGCTGATACCAAAATTAGATGGAAAGTCAAGAGACCTAGAGTAGCTAAAACAATCTTGAAAAAGAACATAGTTGGAAGACTCACACCTTTTTATTTCAAAATGTACCATGAAGCCAAAATAGTAAAAGAGGGTGATACTGACATAAGGGTAGACATATAGATCAAAGGACTAGATTTGAGACTTTAGAAATAAACCCTGATATTTATGATCAACTGCTTTTTTAAAAGGGTGCCAAAACAATGCAATGGGGAAAGCACAGTCTTTTCAACAAATGGTGCCTGGGATAAATGGTGCCACATGCAAAAGAATGAAGATGGATCCTTATCTCATACTATATAAAAAAATTAACTCAAAATGGATAAAAGACCGAAATGTAAGAGCTAAAACTTAAAAGAAAACATAGACATAAATCTTCCCGGCCCTAGATTAGTGATGGTTTCTTAGATATGACACCAAAAGCAGAAGCAACAAAAGAAAAAAAAAACTGGAATTCATCACAATTAATGACTTTTGTCCTTCAAAGGATACCATCAAGTAAGGGAAAAGTCACCAGGCCCAGTGGCTCATGCCTGTAATGCCAACACTTGGGGAGGCTGAGGCAGGAAGATCGCTTGAGGCCAGGAGTTCAAGACTAGCTTGGGCAACACGGTAAGACTCTGTCTCTACAAAAAATTTTAAAATTAGCCAGGCTGGTGGGGTGCATTTGTAATCCCAGCCACTTGGGAGGCTGAGGTGAGAGGATCGCTTGAGCCCAGGAATTCAAGGCTGCAGTAAGCTATGATCACACCACTACACTCCAGCCTGGGCAACAGGGCAAGACCCCACAGAATGGGAGAAAATATTTGTAAGTCATATATCTGTTACGGGACTTATATATAGAATATATAAAGAACTCTTACAACTTAGTAATAAAAAGACAAATAACTTAGTTAAAATATAGACAAAGAATCTGAATAGACAGTTTTCTCCGAAGACGTACATATAGTCAATAAGAACATAAAAAGTTGCTTGACATCATTAACCATCAGGTAAATGCACATCAAAACCACAGTGAGATATCATTTCAGACCCACTAGGATAGTTAAAATAAAAAAGACAGATAATAACAAGTGTTAGGGATGATGCAGAGAAACAGGAACCCTTATACGCTGCTGGAAGGAGTGTAAAATGGTGCAGTTGCTTTGGAAAACAGTCTGGAAGTTCCTCAAATGATTAAATACAGAGTTATCATAAGACCTAGCAATTCTACTTCTAGGTAGAAATGAAAACATATATCCACACAAAAAATTATACACAAACGTTCATAGCAGCATTATTCATAATGGACCAAAAGCGGAAGTACCTAAGTATTTATCAACTGATAAATGGGAGATACATCCATTCAATGGAATATTTGGCAATAAAAAGGAATAAAGAACTGATACCTGATACAACATGGATGAGCCTTAGAAATACTATGCTAAGTAAAAGAAGCCAATCACAAATGACCACATATTGCATGATTCCATTTATATGAAATGTTTCAAATACACAAATCTACAGAGGTAGAAAGTAGATTGGTGCCTGCTAGGGCTGGATTGGAGGAATGAGTTAGGTGAAATGAAGGTGGACTGCTGAAGGGTTCAAGGTTCCTTTTGGGGTTGATGAAATTTTTTTTTTTTTTTTTTTTTGAGACGGAGTCTTGCTCTGTCGCCCAGGCTGGAGTGCAATGGCACAATCTCGGCTCACTGCAAGCTCTGCCTCCCGGGTTCAAGCCATTCTCCTGCCTCAGCCTCCCAAGTAGCTGGGACTACAGGCACCTGCCACCACACCCGGCTAATTTTTTTGTATTTTTAGTAGAGACGGGGTTTCCCCGTGTTAGCCAGGATGGTCTTGATCTCCTGACCTCGTGATCCGCCTGCCTTGGCCTCCCAAACGGCTGGGATTACAGGCATGAGCCACCATGCCGGCCGAAAATGTTTTAAAATTATTGTGGTGATGGTTGCACAACTCTGTGAATACACAATAACCACTGAACTGTACACTTTAAATGGTGAATTTTACGGTATGTTAAATATACCTCAGTAAAACTGTTATAAATCTTTCCTTCCTGGTGGAGGAACTGGGAACCATCCATCTCCTCCTCCCACTGTCCCAATCCTTCCATCATTCCCAGGATCCTATGGGCTCACACAAACTTATGCACCCTTTTATTATACAGAATGTGCCAAATTGTATTGTAATTATAAGTGGAAATGTCTATCTCTCCAATCTGAATGTACTTTAAGGCAGGGGCTAAGCCTGACAGGGGAGGTACTCAATATTTCTTAATACTTTCCTTCAAGTTTTAGTCCAATCTCCTAAATAAACATATACAAATATTTTACATACTGAAGTAGTATGTACAAGTTATCTGGGAGTCTACTTTTCTACCACAGTTTATCGATGCATGAAAATTGAGTACACAGAGTTGTCATAATATTTGATAGTGTCATAATATACTATTAGGTCAAAACACCATGTTCTGCTTAGTACTTTACCCTTAGGGAATTTGTTTTGCCCAACTTTTAACCATCATAGTTACCTGGGACTATTTTTAGACATATAACTTTTATTTCCTCTTTCTGAACCATTTCTTTAATGTATCTCAAATCAGAGTTACTAAGTCAATGGGAATAAACATTGGGCATCTGCTTGCCCGAAGCCCCAACAACATCGGAGTGCACATTTTTTTTTTAATTTATTAAAGTAGGTTCAAGTTTCTTTTTCTTCAAAGAGCCAGAATAATCAAGCAATTACATTATTTTATTGGTTTTTTTTTTTTTTTAGTTTAACTCTTAGACCTATCTGGAATTTATTTTAGTATACAGCATGAGGTATGGGTCCATGGTGAGTGTTCTTCATAAAATTAGCCAATTAATCCATATAGTCTATTTTAAAATTTTTAGGAAAGATTGATTATTGAGTAAATAGCTTTGGAACTACTGAAAGCTACTTGGATTAAAAAACAAGCTTGGAGGGTGGTGCATGCCTAGAGTCTCAGCTACTTGGGAGGCTGGGGTGGGAGGTTTGCTTGAGGCCAGGAGTTTGAGGCCAGCCTGGGCAGCATAGTGAGGCTGCCATCTCAAAAAGCAATAACACCCCTCCACAAGATGTCTATGTCATTCTATGTATCAAGATATATTGATAAATATCAAGATGGATTAAAGCTTAAATGTCAAAATAAAATGATAAATAAGAAAATACAGCTGGGTATGGTGGCTCACGCCTATAATCCCAGCACTTTGGGAGGCTGAGGCGGGTGGATCACCTGAGGTCAGGAGTTTAAGACCAGCCTGGCCAACATGGCGAAACCCCGTCTCTACTAAAAATACAAAAATTAGCTGGGCCTGGTGGTGCATGCCTGTAGTCCCAGCTACTTGGGAGGCTGAGGCAGGAGAATTGCTTGAACCCAGGAGGCAGAGGTTACAGTGAGCTGAGATCACGCCACTGCACTCCAGCCTGGCCGACAAGTGGAAACTCCATCTCAAAAAAAAAAATAGAATACAGGTGGGTTTACAAAATAATTTTATGAGGAAAAAGACCACTAAGACCATAAAGGAAAATACTGCCAAGTTTGACAACATAAAGGATTTTCTAAGGCTTAAAAAAAATTAATAATATTGAAAGGCAAACAAATGGGAAAAACATATGCAACAACTGACAAAGCATTAGCAGTAGTTCTATATATAGGAAGTATATGAATAGGAGTAAAATGACCAATAAACATATGAAGAGATTTCAATCACACTAATAATGAAAACATGAAAAACAAACAAAAGATGGTATTCTTCATCTACCTAGCAAAGATTTAATTAAAAGACTGACCAAATCATGAGCATATCCAGGGAAAATTGGCTCTCCTGTGTGTTCTTTCTGTGGGAGTTTAATTCAAGTATCATTGGTAGAAAATAATTTGGTAATATGTATCAAAGTATAAAATCTACAGACTGTTTCACCCACCACTGCCACTACTGAGATACTAAAGGATACAGTCTCAAAAGTGTGAAAATGTACAGTTTAAATTATTAAAGATAATAAAATAAAGTTGCTAGGTACAAAATTAACACAAACAAAAAGTACTTTCATATATGCAAATGACAGTCAATTAGAAAATACAGAAAAGACTCCAATTCCAAAGAATAAATATTACCAGAAATATGGAAGATCTAGGCAATTTTAAAACATGCCCGATGCATACAAAAGCAGTACAGAAAAAATGGAATGTTATGTAATGTTCTTGAATAGAAACATTCAGAATCATAAAGCTGTCAATGTAAAGCATGATACACAGACCATGCAATACTCTGCAGCCATTTAAACTGATACTGTAAATCTGTATTTCAGTCAAAGTTAGTTCCTGTGGCTGATTACCCAGTTCTGAACGTTGATTTCTCCAAAGAGAATTCTACTCTTTTCTTCAAGTTCCAGTATAAATGCTACCTCCTTTATGGCCTTTGCTAATCCCTAGGAATGAAACTGATTGCCCCGTTTTCTGCATTTCTGTCACACCAGGTTTATGCCACTCTTGTACCAATTATTTTACTCTGCCTTGTATATTTAATATCTCTGTAATCATCTCCTAAACCATTGTAAGCTATTTAAGGGCCGAATCACATCATTTTCACAGCTGTACCATGATAGGTATTTAATGTCTGCTGGTAGCAAAAATGGCTAAAAATTGTTTTGAAATATTCTTTTATTATTTATCAAAGAAATCTATTTTAGAATATATATAACTTTAAAAATATATTAGCAACAATTTAGAATTGTGGGATTACTCAGTACAAATGAAGGCAGAGCAAAAGGAGTGTTCTTATACACCACTTCTAAGAACAGAGAGGACAGGGATCGCTACAGAAAGTAATTTGGCAATATGAAGCAAGAGCCTCAAAGCCATTCAAACACTTATGCCCAGTAATTGTACCTCTAAAAATAATAAAACATTTTAGAAGGCCTTAGGCACAGAGACAGATGATTATTATAGCAGTTATCTAAAATAAGGAATGGCTGACTGAATTATGGTACAAATCATATAGCCAATATAGATAATAACTGCAAAGAGTTTGTAACATGTGAGAACACACACAAGGAAAGCAAGCTATAAAACTGTGCACAGACACACACACACACACACTTTGGAACAATGTAAAAAATCCCTCAAACATATAGAAAAAACAGAAAGGTAATATATCAAAATGATAATAGTTATCTGGAAATAGCGATGTTAAGGAAGGTTTTTTTCTTCTTTGTAATATTCGGTGTTTTCCAAAATACATATATGCTACTTTTATAATCAGAAAACAAATAAAGGCTGGTGAAATAAAGGTAAGCATCATAGAAAGAAGAATCCTTACCTAGGGAGGTCACATTTCCATAATTCTCCAGCATCACATCCCAGTACAAGGCCCTCTGGATTGGGCCCAGACATGCCCATTCCTCTGAAGTGAAGCATACTGACACCTCCTCGAACATCACCAACTCCTGAAATAACAAGTGTGTGTGAGATTACCAATGCCCAGGAACTTGCCTGTCGAAAGGTTCCCTTCACTTCTGGGGAAGGGATACACTGTGAGGCCATGAGTGCATAACAGACATCAGGGAGACATAAGGAGATCACATGTAAAGTCTGTCTTCCAATAGCATAGACCCTGATTTAGAAATGGGAACTGACTGGACATTGAAGCACAAGGATGAGAGAGGGCACTTCAGCCACAGTTACGCTGTGCAGATGGGAAGGAAAGAGGATGCAAACCTTACCTGGGGCTGGGCTGTTAGGAGCATAAGTGCCATTAATTGATTTCTTGGGTTCTCTTCCTGGGAAAGGGCAGAAGCTTCAGGGGCAGGAGAATCTGAGGAGGGAGAAAAAGCTGCATATGGGACCTACAAACCTTTTCTGAGTGACCCCACTTGCAGAGCTGGAATAACACAAAGAGTAGCAGTAAGAATGATACAAGGCAGGGCGTGGTGGCTCACACCTGTAATCCCAGAGCTTTGGGAAGCCGAGGTGGGTGGCTCCCAAGGTCAAGAGATTACGACCATCCTGGCCAACATGGTGAAACCCTGTCTCTACTAAAAATACAAAAAAATTAGCTGGGCGTGGTGGCACGTGCCTGTAGTCCCAGGTACTCGGGAGGCTGAGGCAGGAGAATGGCTTGAACCTGGGAGGCGGAGGTTGCAGTGAGCCGAGATTGTGCCATTGCACTCCAGCCTGGCAACAGAGCGAGACTCCATCTCAAAAAAAAAAAACAAAAATGGCCGGGTGCAGTGGCTCACACCTGTAATCCCAGCACTTTGGGAGGCCAAGGCGGGCAGATCACAAGGTCAGATCAAGACCATCTTGGCTAACACAGTGAAACCCCGTTTCTACTAAAAAAAAAATTAAAAAACTAGCCGGGCACAGTGGCGGGCACCTGTAGTCCCAGCTACTCAGGAGGCTGACGTAGGAGAATGGCGTAAACCCAGGAGGCGGAGGTTGCAGTGAGCTGAGATCGCGCCACTGCACTCCAGCCTGGGCGACAGAGCGAGACTCCGTCTCAAAAAAAAAAAGGGGGGATGTATACAAGCTCAGAGGGGCCCAAGAAAGAAGGAGAGAACAACAGAACAGCAGAAAGAAATTGGCACTGTAAGAGACTCCTAGACAGGGTAGCAGAGGAAGCAACTCCCTGGAAGTAGGGGGATGAGCCACAGGAAGGGTCCTTGAACAGCCCAAAACCCAGAGCACTGAGTAAATACCATGCTGAGGATCCTGGAGGTTGAATGCCACTAGGTCAGTAGGAGGATGCGGGCAAATTTCAGCTGCTATGTGGCTGCCAGGAAGTACAGGAGGAAGTGTTGTTCCTGGGGCACTCACCACCTTCTGGAGAGTGTCCTGATCCTTGACAAGGACTGGAACCTGGAAACAAGTAAAATAAGCTAGCTCTTCTTGTTTCTTAAGAAAATGGACTCACCTAAGCACTGTGGACCTCTTTCTGCCCACAATCTACAACTGTGAGATCAGAGAGACCCACCTCAAGTATGGAGCATCAAAACAGCAGTAAAGCTTTGCATTGAGAACAATGGAGCTGCCCTCGAGCCCCACTCATGGCACTGGTGACCTCTCCCAGAGGAGACTGTACACAACGGTGGGAACAGAAGCCAGACCTGGGTGTGGGTTAAGGAGGGAATGGGAAGTAATAAGCAGTAATTAAGAGCATGGATTTTAGCTTCAGACTTAAGTTTTAGATCGGACTTCAGTCACATCTCTTCTACTTATTTACCATCTACTTATTGACCCCTTTACCTAGCCCTTTGTGCTCAAATACAACTAACACTAAAATTGGCACCAAGACACTTGGTTTTGCGGCCAGCTAGACATCTGCCTCAGTTTCCTTATCTCTCAAATGAGGATGTATTAGTAATTTGTAACGAAATATATAGCTCTAAAATTGTTCACGTTATTATTAAAAGAAACAAGCCCATCCTTAATGCCACACCCAAGTTTGAGTTATGATTCAGACGTCTTATACAGAAATGTTTCTAGTGAGCTACAGATGTACAAAAAGAAATCTCACACACATGAGAGGCTACATTAAGATCCCAATCTAATGGTCAAGGATATAAATCTTATCAGAAGCAAATATCTTAACCCAATCCCTTGGCTTGCAGATCCCTAGTAGGGCACACAAGAGGAGATCTTACCAAGATGTGGAAAGCTTCATTCTTGTTATGCTACTGCCATTTTATTTATTTATTTATTTAAAGACAGGATCTCACTCCATCACCCAGGCTGGAGTGCAATGGTGTAATCATAGCTCACTGCTGCCTCAACCTCCTGGGTTCAAGTGATCCTCCCACCTCAGCCTTCTAAGTAGCTGGGACTATAGGCACTCGCCACTACATCTGGCTAATTTTTAAATTTTTTGTAGAGATGGGGTCTTCCCATGTTGTCCAGGCTGGTCTTGAACTCCTGGCCTCAAATGATCCTCCCACCTCAGCCTCCCAAAATGCTGTGGCATGAGCCACTGTGCCTGGCCTGCTATTGCCTTTTATACTCTAGGCTTACATCACCATTCCAAACAGAATTATAGAAACAATACATAGGCTTCTGTTTAGGGAAAAACTTATTAACATTTCTTCTTCAGGTTCTTGGTCCAAACTCAGCATTAGCAAGCATTACCCAAGGGACAAAACAGTCAATGTTTTTATGCTGCTTCTCAGTTGGACCCGAAGACCTCAACGTAAATCCGTTTCTCTACAGACATATTCTATGGTCTGAATACTCATGGACCTGCTTTAATTATCATTAAGGTTGCTAGTGTGCTATTAATGCTATTAATTTTTAATGAAAATCACAGGATCACCCTCTAGCCTAGCCTCAATTCTTTCCTTCCTTTCATCCCAACACCCACCGCCCCTCCCTGTCTTTCTCACTTGTATTGCTGGTCCATCAAGGTCTTTCTGCAGCTCCTCTACCAGGGCCACAGCCTCCTCGCCACTTCCAGGGTGATGGAGCTGTACCCAGGTCCGAATCTCCCCAGGCAGGATGCTCAGAAACTGCTCCAGCACCAGCAGCTCCAGGATCTGTGCCTTGGTGCGTGCTTCTGGTCTCAGCCACCGGCGACAGAGTTCCCTGAGCCGGCTCAGGGCTTCCTGGGGTCCAGATGTCTCATGGTAACGTAATTGTCTAAAGTGTAGGTGGGAGGTCTCCCAAACAGAGGAGCTACTTCCTTGGAAGCTGGTTCCCCATTTCCAGGTATCATCCTTCCCCTTCACAAGGCCCTCTTGTCTCAGAGCATTGTGGGCTACATTTTCTCTTGTCATTGTTGTTTTTTGAAAAAGGCTCCTCTCCAGTCCAGGTCTCCTTAATCCTTGACTTCTTCCTTACAGCTTGGAGAGTATCATCTACAAGACCTCAAGAAATCATTGTTAAAGTTAGCCCAGAGAAACAACTGAGCTTTCCAGGCCCCAGTCAGCTCCCAGTCAGCTCCCAGTAATAAAGAGAACCTTTGTGAGTGCAAGGTTCCAGGCTCTAGAGAGTGCTTCCTCTGACAGAAACCCCCTGCCTAAGGCTCTGGGATACAAACACTCATGTTACGCACGAGACTGCTGAAACCAAACACATGAACTTCCTTTGGTCTTTGTTCATAGGATCCCTTCAGCTAATTACAATAGACTCTTTACCACTCTAACAATGAGCATCCTGACTACTCCTGTGTAACCTGGAACAAGTACCTCACTTCTGAGCCTTAGTTTCTTAACCTGTAAAATAGGGATAGTAACAGTTCCTACCTTATGGGGTTGTCATGAGAATTTGATGTATAATACATTTCAAGTTTTTGAACAGTGCCTGGTATACGGGTTTAAATGTTACTTATTACCCTTCTGTAACTAGTACTCTTTCCTATGTTCCGCAGAGTTAACAAGTAATCATTAATCATGATACATATGAGAGAAAATCCTAACCACCTCCTCAATTAACAAAGAAAGGATGAATTAAGTTCTGTGTAGTTTTGCTCTACATGCCTTTAATTCTCTGAAAATTGTTCTTTCTGTTAATCAAAATATTTGGATAAATTTGCCTTTTCTTCTTTTCCTTTCACATCTAGTCCCACAGATGGATAAATATGAATAGAGTTTTATTATACAGAACTTAGACTTGCTCTCTAGAAATCATCTGCTCTTTAGAAATAACATTTTTCTAATTATAAAACCAGAAAACACACAAAACCAGAAAACAATCACTGCTATTATTCTGAACTATGTCCTTACCATAGTTTAATTATCATAGATAAATTCTAACTTTCCCCTATTATTAATAAGGTCACAACGGCTATCCTTGATAACAAATTTTTAGTTACATCTCTGCTTATTTCTTCAGGATAAACTCCTAGGAGAAAATTGTTGGGCTGAAGGATAAAAACATTTTTAAGCTTTTAAGGTTATAACAGTTATATCACCATCAGTGACATATGAAAACATCCTCTTTATTTGAACACACAGACCCTTAAAGAGAGCTTGCTTATAACAAACAGGGGAGCCAGAAATATAAACATAATTTCAATATAATGTTTAAGTACAAGTAATAGGAGAACATAAAACTACAGAAAGGATTCATGAAAGGAAATTTCTTTTTTTTTTTTTTTTTGAGATGGAGTCTCGCTCTGTCACCCAGGCTGGAGTGCAGTGGCATGATCTCGGCTCAGCGCAACCTCTGCTTGACAGGTTCAAGCAATTTTCCTGTCTCAGCTTTCCAGGCAGCTGGTACTACAGGCTCGCACCACCATGCCCAGGTAATTTTTGTATTTTTGGTAGAGACGGGGTTTCGCAATGTTGGCCAGGATGGTCTCAATCTCTTGACCTCGTGATCTGCCTGCCTTGGACTCCCAAAGTGCTGAGATTACAGGCATGAGCCACCATACCCAGCCATGAAAGGTACTTTTGGATTGGGCTTTTAAGGAAAAATAAAAGGATCATTGGACTATGAGGAAAGCCATTCCAGGAAGAAAGAAACTCTATTTTCAAAAGCAAGGAAGGACACATAACTCTGTGAAGGAAGACCAGAGAAGGAAAGTAAACTTCAGAGGCAAGAGTGTAGGAGTAGAGCAGAGAGGTGAACAGAAGTTAAATTCTAACTACTGCTCTTGAGAGGCAGTATTCTGAGGAGATGATCCTGTCCTGTAAGTGAAGTGATTTTACTTACATTTCAGCATTAAAGAGGCTTTACTTTACATTTTTCCTTATTTTTAAAAATAGTAATATATTCACTTGGTTCAAAATTTAAAATTATAAAATGTATACTGTGTAAAGTTTCCTTCTCCGTTAGCTTCTTATCTATCTTTCCAGTTATTTCTGCATATGTGTGTACATATATTGTTTTCTAGTTCCCTTTTTTTCACAAATGGTAGGACACCATGAATGACGTGGTACATTTTCCTCTTCTCAATAATATGTCTTAGAGATCTTTCCTGTCAATACACAGCCCCTCTCCGCATTTTTATGGATGCATAGATGTATCATAATTTATTCATGCCAGCACTGATGGAATGTTTGGGTAGTTTTCAATCATTTCTTATTACCAACAATATAATCATGAATAATCTTGGGCATACATCAGTTTGGATGTGTGTAGGCATATATAAGAAAAATTCCTTGAATCAGAATTGCTGAGTTAAAAGGTATATACATGTATAATTTTGATATTGCCAATTTGACCTCACTAGGATTGAACCAATTTATAATTTATACTCCCATCAGAAACAGCTGTATGGGAGTGCCTTTCCTCACTTTCACCAATATGTTTCTCAAAGTTTGTGCTCTTCGCCAAATTTTTGACTTGCATTTTGAACGAATTAATATAGAGTCATTTGTATATTTTTTAAAGTAACTATTCATATATTTTGCCCATGTTTCCATTGAGGTGTTGGGTCTTGTTAATTTGTACACACTTTTATCACAGGAAAATTAGTCCTTTGTTTACAATGGCAGCTGCAAATTTTTCTCAGTTTGTCAAGTGTCTTTGTGACTATATATGCCATGTGACTTTGCTTAAAGTGTTTTTTGCCATGCAGTCAATCTTTTACGACTTCTGGGTACTGTACCACAATTAGAAAGACCTTTTTCACTCTGAGCATGAAGAGAGTCTTAAGTGGTGTCAGGACTCTATTAGTGAGAAATGGTGGGGGTGGGAGGGCTGGATATCAAGAAAGGTCAGTTAGGTTTTTCTAATAGTCTAAACACATGACTTAAGTTCTAAACGAAGTAGGGATAAGGCAATTGAGAAAAACTTGGTAGTCCTTGGTAACTGATCTGGGGGTGATGGAAAGGAATTTTTAAAAAGAATTTTGAATAATTTTCAAATAACATAAAAATAACAAATTCTTAAACATACATTTTATTAGCTTCTCACAAAAGGTTTTCAAAGCAGAAGTTAAAAAAAACAAAAGGATCAGAGGAGCGAATCCACTCAAGGCCACTTAGCTAACTGAGACATGGGAGCAAATTCTGAATTCAGGGATTCTAATTCCAGAAGTCCAAAACA
Source organism: Homo sapiens (assembly GCF_000001405.40). NCBI lineage: Eukaryota > Metazoa > Chordata > Mammalia > Primates > Hominidae > Homo > Homo sapiens. Next base: position 44,625,937 of record NC_000003.12, on the reverse strand, counting down.
ATTCCATCTACGAAGAAACTTATGAAACCCAAACAACCCAAACTGTTCTAAAACAACAGTTTCCAAACACCAGTCCACGACAAAGCTTTAATCTGGTAAGCTGCAAAAAGAGAAAACCAGTAACAATCGTCGCTGACAGGTTGGCAATGAGTGTGTGTGTGTGTGTGTGTGTGTGTGTGTGTGTGTGCGCGCGCGCGCGCAAAGGCCAGCATTTATTCTGAGTTTACGGTCTTAGTACTTTGTGTTAAAATGTATTGCCTGAAGTAATGTTGGTATGGGTGGTTTCAAGTTTGAGTTTTTCAAGTTTGATTTTTAAATACCATTATATTACAAAACTAAAAGACTAAAAAAGCTAAAATCGTTCCACCCCTTAAAACAAACAAACAAAAAAATCCGTCCTCAAGAGTCTGGGCGCCACCGGTAATAGGGAAACCTCAGAATGTTTCTGTGGATTAGCCTCAGACAAGACTGAGGAAGAGCAGAAAGGCCTGAGCTGGGGGAGCAGGCTACTGAGGCAGCTCTTCTCAAAGCGCCAGCAGAGTCCGTTAGACAGGAGCACCGGTCCACAAACACACACAGACTCGGAGCTGCTGTCCTCAGTACTTCCCTCGGGCCGGCTGCCTGCCCAGCCGAGGCCACGACGTCGAACCCCAACACGAAGCTGGCGACGGACCATGCCGGGGGTCAGGGCCCGGGAGAGGCTACCGAGGGCTGTGCAGTCCCAGCAAGCTCAGGCCCGCGTCCCGGGCCGCCTTCCCTGCACGCCCACCCGCCCCCGAGCCCACCCCGCTCACCGGGGGCTCCCGCTGCGGCTCCAGCCTTGCGTACCGCCGCCTCGGCGCCAGGCCGCTAGGAGATGACACAGGAACGAGCCCTTCCGGCAGCCGAGGCACAGAATAATGGCCGAGCCGAGAATACTGCGACTTCCGGTTGCACCCCGCCCCTCATCCCGGATCTCTAGGAAGCCACATCTCTATGGTTCGTTTCTTTTCCCAGAACTGGGGAAGAGAGGCGGAACTCCTGAGCCCTTGGGTACTAGTGTTCCTTACATCGAACAAGAACTGGCCGCTGTTTCAGACCGGAAGGGTGCAGAGATGAAAGACAGGACCCAGGGTCTCAGGATGCCTGTTGCCTCCTAAGAGAGTTGGACATTTCTATTTTGATTTGCATTTCAATTGAGGTTGATAGGGAGTGACCTTCACGTCTGAATGACCTGGTAGGTGACTTTTCTGGTCTCTTCTTGAACTTATGCAATTCTCACTATAAATAATAACATGACTTATAAATCACCCTCTTGTGAATTCGCTTACTGTGGTGTATCTCTTGCCCACATGATGACATATTGGAGCTATGATATTAAATAATAATCAAGTTGATGGTGCAAGGTAATGTGCAAATGGTAGGGACATCTCTCCCCTGAAAGAAGAGGTTATTCTAGCTGTCCATCGCCCTGGGTAAAGTCAGGTGTATATAAAGGAAACTGGCACTCTGATCCTCTCTTTGGTCTTCAGTCTCTTAAGTTTGGACTTCTGGAACTGACACCCCTATATGGGACTATGGCTGAAACAAGTCTCCAAAAGGGCAAAGGCCATGTCTGCATGGATCCCATGTATTTAGCACCTAGTACAAAGCTGAAGCCATATAGGTTGTAGATGAATGTTTATTCAATGAGCAAGGTTCATGTTATTCTGTTTATGTCTTTTTTTTTTTTTTGAGATGGAGTTTTGCTCTTGTTGCCCAGGCTGGAGTGCAGTGGCGCAATCTTGGCTCACTGCAATCTCCACCTCCCGGGTTCAAGCGATTCTTCTGCCTCAGCCTCCTGAGCAGCTGGGATTACAGGCACGTGCCACCATGCCTGGCTATTTTTTTTTTTTTTTTTTTTTTTTAGTAGAGACGGGGTTTCACAATGTTGGCCAGGCTGGTCTTGAACTCCTGACCTCAGGTGATCCACCCCCACCTTGGCCTTCTAAAGTGTTGGAATCACAGGCGTGAGCCACCGTGCCAGGCTTATTCTGTTTATTTCTTTATGTTCTCTCCTGGCATTCATTAAACAACATACTTAAACTTCAGCCTTGATTCATTCATTCATTCAACTACTGAGTACTTGCCATATGCCAAATACTGTTCTGGGCACTAGGGACATAGATAAAGAGGTAAAGTCTCTGTTCTCATGGGGCTTACATTTCTAGTGGGATAAACAGAAAACAAATATAAAAATGTGTCAGGTGGTGGTAAATGCTAAGAAATGTGAAAGCTGATCATAAGAATTGGGTCATTTTTGTCATACCTAATAAAAGAAAGTCGAGAAATTAGCTGGGGGAAGCACTCAGGGTACACAACATTGCTCCAGGAATGTTATTCTCTGTAAGCTTGACTGCTGAAACTGCTTATTATAAGCCAAAACCAGTTTTATCTATAGCTTCTGAGATAAGTTGCTGCAACTCTAGGACTAATTTTGCCCACCGCAGTTGCTCACCAACTGGAGCTTGTCAGCTCCCCACACCCTTACTACTGCCAATGAACTTTCTCAAAGAGCAATATGTAACATTCCTCCTTTTTGTAAAACCTCTAACCTTCTCTTTGTTCTTCAGAGAGAGCACCACTTTCAGTTCAAGCCAGAGACTATCTCTCCGAGTTTGTAAACTGATGTTGTGAATAAAACTTTCTTTTCTTTCTTTCTTTCTTTTTTTTTTTTTTTTTTTTGAGATGGAGTCTCACTCTGTCGCCCAGGCTGGAGTGCAGTGGCGCGATCTCGCTCACTGCAACCTCCGCCTCCCGGGTTCAAATGATTCTCCTGTCTCAGATTCCTGAGTAGCTGGGATTACAAGCGCACGCCACCATGCCTGGCTAATTTTTTGTATTTTAGTAGAGATGGGGTTTCACCGTGTTGCCCAGGCTGGTCTCAAACTCCTGAGCTCAGGCAATCCACCCGCCTCGGCCTTCCAAAGTGCTAGGATTACAGGTGTGAGCCACTGTGCCGGCCAACTTTCTTTTCTACTATCTAGCCATCCTGGTGGTCCTTTGGATGACATAAAAAAGGGTAAGGAGGACCCAACAAAGGAGACTGAGAAGCAGCAGCCAATCAAGTAGGAAGAGAAGAAGGAAATAGTACTTTATGGGTCTCAAAGTATGAATGAGTAGATTTTGAAATATTGATCAATGTGATTGCTGTTCCCCCCACACTAAATTATAATTTTACTTGTAAACCAAGGCTCCCTTCTCCTCCCCTGCCCTACCTAGGTAGACAGGAGTTACACACTATGGGACTGGAAACAAAAGTGACAAAAACGATAGTGAGTTAGGCCATTAGAAGCCTTTAGTAAGGTGAAAAACATTCTTGCCTTGCTGGGAAAGAAGAAAGGAATGGGAGGAGCCAAAATGACCAACTAGACTATGGACCACTGACCAGTGAGCCTGTAATCATTCACACTCCTACTAAGCAATGGCCCGGAAGCATGTAACCAAAGAGTTGTCAGCTGGTAAGAACCACCAGTTGCCAGTGGCCAGCCCAGAGCCTCAGTTTTGTCACTCAGTTTGTGCCCTGAGATTCTGCCCATCTGACAAAGAACTTGAAGCACCCTCACCACTGTCCCAAGATGAAAGACTTGGTAACCTTGTGGAATGATGGTGATAGGAAAGGAACACCCTATCTTTGACCAAGGTGGAACTATACAAAACCTGTTTAAAGTGGGCCAGAGCTCTGGGACAGTGGTATAATACAACACATAGCCTTTGTTTTACATACACACACATTCCTGGTATTTAAAATCCCCAAATGTACTGGTGAAAAAAACTAAGCAAACAAGAAATAAATGAGTTTGAGATAGGCATATGAGAAGAGGCTGGAAGCACAGGACTGACATTTCAAGATGGGTTAAGATCTTAGACTACTGATCAACTAAAATGGAAATCCCGGTCTGAATGGAAAGTTTGTATTTCTCATCTTTCTATAAAACCCCACTTTGCCAGAGTTGTTTTTAATGCAAATTGGAATGTGATTGACCTATGACCAAGGATTATATGTATATAATATATATGGCTAAGAAATCTCAAGACATGCAATCTGAAGACCCAGGAGAGCTGAAGGTATAGTTGTAGTCCAAGATCTATAGGCCTAAGAAGCAGAAAAGCTGCTGGTGTAACTTCCAGTCTGAGTCCTAGTCGGAATCCAAATGTGTTAGTCTGTTCTCGCACTGCTATAAAGAAATGCCTGAGATTGGGAACTTTATAAAGAAAAGAGGTTTAATTGGCTCACAGTTCTGCAGGCTGTACAGGAATCATGGTACCATCTGCCTCTGGGGAGGCCTCAGGGAACTCATGGGGGAAGGCAAAGTGGGAGCAGATGTCTTATGTGGCAGCAGAAGGACCAAGGGTCGGGGGAGGAGGGAGGTGCTACACACTTTTAAACAACCAGGTCTCACTCACTATCTCAACACAGAGCCAAGGGGTAAAGCCATCCCTATGATCCAATCACCTCCCATCAGGCCCCACCTCCAACATTGGGAATTACAGTTTGACATGAGATTTGGGCGGGGACAGAAATCTAAACCATATCACCAAAGGTGGGAGAAGACCAATGTCCCAGCCAGAAGACAGGCAGAAAGAGCAAATTCTCTCTCAGTCTTTTCCTTCTACTCACATCTCCAATGGCTTGGATGAGGCTCACTCATGTTAAGGAGGGCAATCAGTCTACAGATTCAGATGTTAATCTCATCCAGAGATACCCCCACAGACACTCAGAATAATGTTTAGCCAAATGTCTGGGCACACTATGGCCCATTCAAGTTAACATGTAAAATGAACTATCACATATGGATTCTTCCAAATACAGTTCAGGGCATTAGTTATTTAAAGATTTTCTAGGCACTGAAGGGCATCCACAGTGGTTAGATTAGGCTAGTGTCACTTAAAAGGATCCATTTCAGATCTGAATGTCTGTCTTGGACAACTTCACCCCCTTATCTTTACATCCTCAGAGAGGGATCTTGTAGAAATGAGGGAGTAACAGCAAACGGAAAGTTGGAGAAGGGGACAGGCCACCTGTGAAAGGCCAATCATGCTGGGAGCAGAGAGGGGTAAATCCAGTCCAGACTGGAAAGCTTGAGGGAAGACAGAACAGCCATATTCTTTGCAATTTGGAGGGAGGTAGAAATCCCATTGCCTATCCTTTTACCCTCATCGGAGTCCTACCTGGAGAGGCTGTAAAAGGCACATAGTCATTGGTAGGAGTAGAGGGATCACAAAATCAGAGGACCTGAGCTTGGAGTGCCTATGGCTTTGACAGGAGCTTTAGAATCTGAAAGGCTAAAGGGGCTGTTATGGCCCTAGCAGGAAAGGAAAGGAAGTGGGATACTGGGGGATCTGCTTTGGTCTTTCTGTAGCCTTTCTCAAGGGCTAGATGAAAATGAAAATCTCAGGTTGTTCCGAATTGGTTTCTAGGCCAGCCCTCTATTACTAGGCTGATGATGCTACAACGAATCAAAAGATCATTGACCCCTGATAGAGGTCTTTACTAGTGCCAAAATCTACCCAGCTGCACTTTCTGCATCCCACCCCCAACACACACACACACACACACACACACACACACACACACACACACACACACACATACATGCACACACACACAGACTCAATTTTCAACAGTATATAATTGGCAATCACAGAACATTTCAGTTGAATTAAGATAGAGTTCAAACCAGAAGAGTGAGGCAAAGCTAGAATATTAGAAAAAAAATAAAGCATATAAAAATTACTTGCTATGTGTCAGCCCCTTTCACATGGTTAATTTCATTTACTCCTTACATGAACCCTTTGAGACAGATAATATTGTGACAGTTTTGATGATACTGAAACTAAGGGTGAGTAAGTTTAAGTAATTTGTTAAAATACCTTCCTAATAACCAGTGAGGCTTTGAAATCCAAGGCAAATGCTGTTTCCACCACTATATTTAGGCTTTTGTACACCCAGAAGCAAGAAAATCATTCAGGAGACTGAGGCAAGACACAGGTAGGGAAAAGGGGGAGAAAAGTCAGGACAGCCAGCATGAAGAGTGTCTTCAGCCTCCTGAATACTTTAGCTGTGGTCGGGCCTTGGACAACTCATGCTAATTTGAATGCAGAGAAGCATTAATATGTTGTGTTCACTGGGAATGCATCTAAGGCTTTGATAATCGTTAGGGGTGGGAGGCAGGGAGGCCTGCTATCTTGGCTTATACCCACATGGACTTTTATATAGAAGGTCATAACTCTTGAATACATTCTGCTCTAGAGAGGCCCAAAAGTGGTAATTCTAAAGTCAGTCTAGTATCTCCTAGCCTTAGAGGTGTCTGGGTGTCTGGGGAGTAGAACAAATGTAACTGAGGCCCTTCCCAGTCCAAGATATTCTGCAGATACTTTACTTTTGGGTACTGGAAAACAATGGAAGTAGTTACCACACAGGTAAAGGGAATATTTTAAAACACTAAAATTCTTTGATGCTAAAAGCATAGTAAAAGAAGCATCTGCTTATTACCTAAAACAGATGTTCTTTGTATTCTCTACCACAGTCACCTCTGCCCACCTATGATTTTCATGCAGCTGTGGGAGAATGGATGTAGCCATCCTGACAGAGTCCTGTCTCAAGCATACACCATAACATCTTAGGCTGTTTTGTTGAAGGCTTCCTCTGGAAGTTCAGAAGCCTGTTCAGCCAGGTCTTAGGCACAAACTGGAAGAAGTGGATAAGAGTAACATCCCCTCAGGCAAACCTGAAAGAATGATAAATAAGAATTGGTACACAAATGCCCCAACGTCCTGTCCTTTGACAAGAAAAGTCTGAGCTATGTTCTACATGGGCCCTTAGAGGGCCCCTAGTGAAAATGAGCCTCAGTTGCCCACAGTGGATCCAGCTCAATTACTCATTCTTTGTTGGCTTTCGACCTTCCCTGTCTTATCCTTCCTGCTCACTGCCTCTTGCTCCTTAAGATCACCTTCAAAATAATCTACTCCACCTATATCCTTGTCTCAGGCTCTGCTGTTGGAAAAACCTAAACTTATAATCAATCTTTTAAATTCAAACAAGGTTGGGGGATTTGACAATGCCCAATTTTGTGAACACCCATTTATTAGTCTGGTTGAAGACTAATTTTCTTTTTCCAGAGGAGGCTCCAGAAGCCAGTCCTTTACCTTCTTTCTAAGTAGATAGGCCTTTACACAGATACACAGACAATGAGCTATTTAGTACATCTTGTCTTCCTGAATTATACACTAATGAGGAAAATGGAGGATCTTAGCCAGAGGGGAATCGTGAGTTCAAAGTTCTCACCACTGTGGGAAGAGATGCAAGCTCTACAGGCTAGACCAGATGGTGGAAAACTGGGCCTCCCGGAGACTATGCCTTGATGCAGGGTAGTCCAGGAGCCAAAGCAGCAAAAGTAAATGAATCTTTGTGCCGGTGTTCCACTGTAAATACAACCCAGCTGCTCCCAGCATTTATTTTCTATTTCTTTACTTCCCACCACTATCCAGCTTCTTCACTCTGAATCTTCTGTCCCTTTCATTAGTCCTTCTTATTACAATTTCTGTCCCTTCATGCTTACTGCTTGCTGCGGCTCCTAATGATGTGGCTTCTCTCCATCCACAATTTCTGCTTCAGCTCCTGTTCTTAATTTCCTCATTTCTGCCCTACTTCCAATTCAGAATTTCCTTAGAAAGGGATTCCAATTGGTAGAGTCATTAAATATTGTCTTTGTTTGGGCAGAGCTTTGACCTCAGGCCACACTCTGCAGGATAATTAAAAGGAACCAACATATTCATGTTTAGTAATCATGACCATAATTACTCTGCCTTCTGTATTTGACTTGAGATGTTTGCTATCCCTCTCTCTGCAACATCTTTTCAGAGAACTATGGAACCATACAATGTTATGGTTGGAAATGAATCTACAGTTCATCATTTTACTAAAGATCTTACCTCTGTAAGACCACATCATCCTTTGTAAACTTGTCACTTGCCCTCCAGTTGGCCTTCTAACTTCGTTGTGATGGCTCAGTATCTGTTTGTCCCTGATATCTTCTTTTACCTTCCACCGATAAACTTCTCTCCCTCTTTTTTTCCTGCCCATGGAGAAAAAATTGAGCTACTAACACTTCACTCTTGTTCTAAATATGTCATCTCCTTCTACACCCATAATCTGACATTTTTTTTTTAAGGTCTCTTGATGATACTGTTTCCACAAGACAAAAAAAAATGAGTAAAACTGTTTTCTGCTTACTTTTGACAGCAGATGAGAACAGAATAGACTTGATTATGAAGCAAGAAATTTTTAAAGGATTTATCTGATGGAACATCAAGAGGATTCTTTCTTTCTTTTAAGAGATATGAGGTCTCACTCTGTCATAGTGGCACAATCATAGCTCAGTGCAGCCTTGAACTCCTGGGCTCCAGCGATCCTCCTGCCTCAGCCTCCCAAGCAGCTGGGACTACAGATGAATACCATCATGCCCCCAGCTAGTAAGAGGGTTCTATGTGTTGATTCACTGGGAAACCAGAGACTAGAGATACCTGTGAAGACACTTTCAAGAAGTTAGAAGAATTACCCTTGAATGAAGAAAGGAGCTGACTAGAAGTAGTTTATTGAATAACACACAAAGATTGTTTCAAACCTACAAAAGATAAATGTGAGGAAGGGATTTGGGGAATCCTCCTATGTCCTCCAGTCTGGCTATACATTAGGATGGAACAGAAATCCTACCAATGTGATGAATGTGGCAAAGCTTTCAGAGTGCATACCTCAATGGCCATCAGAAAACCTATACTGGAGTGAAACCCTGTGAATGAATGAGTATTATAAGACATTCAGGTAGAATTTTCCATTTTTATGTCAGACATTTTTATCTCTAGAAATCGAATTTTAATTTTTTTAATATCTTTTGTGTCTGCTAAACAAATTCAATCCTTCCCCTTGATTTTTGCTTATATAGTCATAATATCATTAATATCCTTGTTTGTTGATTCTTTGTGTCAGTTCTAGGTCAGTTTTGAATAACTGATTTTTCTCATCAATACAGGTTGTATTTTCCTATTTGTTTACATGCCTAGTAATAACTGTATGTCAGACATTTTCCATTTTACCTTGTTGGAGACAGAATACTTTTCATTCCTATAACTATTCTAGGGAGTGGAGGATGCAGTTAAGTTACATTAGGTCAGAGAACATACTTTGTATTATTTAAATCCTTCTGATGTATTAAGGTTTGTTTTTTTACCTTGTATATGATTTGTCCTGAAGAATGTTCCTTGTGTGCTGGAGAGGAAGGTATATTCTGCTATTCTTCAGTGGCATGTTCTAGGGCTATATTAGGCCTAGTTGGTTAATAGGGTTCAAGTCCTCTATTTCCTTATTGATCTTCTTTCTGGTGTTAAACTATTATTGAAAATGGGCTATTGAAGCCTCCAACTATTATTGTTTGAATTGTCTATTTCCCTGCTGCATCTCTTTCAGTGTTTGTTTAATGTATTTTGGGGGTATTTCAGTAGCTGAATATACATTTGTCATTGTTATATCTTCCTGATGAATTGACACCTGTATTGTTATAAAATGCCCTTTTTTATCTGAAATAGTATCTTGTTTTGGTTTTAAAGTCTAATTTGTCTTGTATATAACCACTCGAGCTTTCTTATGGTTGCTATTTGCAAAATACATCTTTTTCCATCCTTTTACTTTTAATCTCTTTGTATCTTTGAAACTAAACTGTGTCTCCTGTAAACAGCATATAATTGGATCTTATTTTTTTATCCAGTCTGACAATATCTGCTTTTTCATTGGATTGATTAATCCATTCACATTTTATTATTGATACGGGGTTTCTTTTTAGACCACATTTCATCTGGAAGAAGATATAGTTGGATTTACGTCTGCCATTTTACTTTTTTTGTTCTCTTTATCTTATTATTATGAACCCATTCCTTTTTTTTTTTTTTGACAGGGCCTCACTCTGCCCCCAGACTGGAGTGCGGTGACATGATCATGGCTCACTGAAGCCTTGAATTCCTGGGCTCAAGTGATCCTGCTGCCTCAGCCTCTCAAGTAGCTGGGACTATAGGCATGCACCACTATGCCCAGCTAACTTTTTAAAATTTTTAGTAGAGATGAGGTCTCACTATGTTGCCCATGCTGGTCTCAAACTCCTGAGCTCAAGTGATCCTCCCACCTTGGCTTCCCAAAATGCTAGGATTGTGCATTTTCTGCCCCAATCATAGAATCAACCACTTTTTTAAAGGGCCCTAGTTCCCTTTAGAGGGAAATGGTGTTTCAGGACTGCAATTTTGGTGTGAAGGGTGCTCACTGCTCCTGGTAGATCTTTGTTTCTAGGTATTTTCAGTGGAAAGGGCGAGAACAAATTTTTTCTTTTTCTTTTTAGTTGGCACATAATAATTGTACATATTTATGGGACACAGGGTGATATTTTGATATGTATATACAATGTGTAATGACCAAATCACGGTAATTAGCATATCCATTACCTGAAACATTTATCATTTCTTTGTGTTGTGAACATGCAAAATCCTCTCCTCTATGTTTTTAAAAATATACAATAATTTCTAGTTAATTATATTCACCCTACAGTGCTGCAGAACACCAGAACTCCTTCCTCCTATCTAGCAATAATTTTGTGTCTATTAAGCAATGTTTCCCCATCTCTCCCCTCCACTACCCTCCATAGGCTCTAATACCCACAATTCTATTTTCTACTTGCATGAGCTCTAAATTATTTTTACCTCCCACATATAAGAGAGAACATGTAGTTATTTATCTTTCTGTGCTTATTTTGCTCAACATAATGTCCTCCAGGCTCATCTATGTTGCCACAAATGATAGAATTTTATTCTTTTTATGACTGCATAGTATTTCATTGTGCATATATGCCACATTTTCTTTATCCATTTGTCTGTTGATGGACACTGGGTTGATTTTATCTCTTAGCAATTGTGAATATTATAGTTCTGTAATAAGCATGGGGAAAAAGTATCTCTTCGATATTTAGATTTCCTTCCTTTGGCTAAATATTCAGTAAAGGCATTACTGTATCATATAGTAGCCCTATTTTTAATTTTTTGAGAAACCTTCACACTGTTTTCCATAATGGCTGTACTAATTTACATTTCCACCAAAAGCATATAAAAATTCCTTTTGAGCTGGGTGCAGTGGCTCACACCTGTGATCCCAGCACTTTGGGAGGCCAAGGCAGGTGGATCACCTGAGGTCAGGAGTTTGAGACCAGCCTGGCCAACACCTGGTGAAACCCTGTCTCTACTAAAAATACAAAAAATTAGCCAGGCCTGGTGGCAGGTGCCTGTCATCCCAGCTACTCAGGAGGCTGAGGGAGGAGAATGACTTGAACCCAGGAGGCAGAGATTGCAGTGAGCTGAGATTGTGCCATTGCACTCCAGCCTGGGCGACAAGAGTGAAACTCCATCTCAAAAAAAAAAAAAAAAAGGCCGGGCACGGTGGCTCACACCTGTAATCCCAGCACTTTGGGAGGCCGAGGCAGGTGGATCACGAGGTCAGGAGATCAAGACCATCCTGGCTAACATGGTGAAACCCCGTATCTACTAAAAATACAAAAAAAAAAAAATTAGCTGGGCGTGGGTGGGTGCCTGTAGTCCCAGCTAGTTGGGAGGCTGAGGCAGGAGAATGGCATGAACCTGGGAGGTGGAGCTTGCAGTGAGCCGAGATCGCGCCACTACACTCCAGCCTGGGTCACAGAGCGAGACTCCATCTCAAAAAAAAAAAAAAAAGAAACAAATAATTACCTTGGAATGCTCTCCAGCATTTCTTATTTTTTGTCTTTTTGATAATAGCCATTCTAACTGGGGTGAGATTATATCTCATTGTGGTATTGATTTGCATTTCCCTGATGATTCATGATGTTGACCATTTTTTCATGTATTTATTGGCCATTTGCATGTCTTCTTTTGAGAAATATCTATTTAGATCCTTTGCCCACTTTTAATTGGATTTAGGTTTTTGTTGTTGAGTTGTTTGAGCTCCTGGTATATTCTGGATATTAGTCCCTTGTCAGATTAGGAATTTGCAAATATTTTCTCCCACTGTACAGATTGTCTTTCCACTCCATTGATTATTTCTTTTGCTATGTAGACGTTTTTTTAGTTTAACACTGTCCAATTTTTTTATATTTTGTTGTCGGTGCTTTTGAAGTCTTATCCATAAAATCTTTGCCTAGACCAATGTCCTAAAGCATTTCTCCTATGTTTTTCTCTGGTAGTTTTATAGTTTCAGGTCTTACATTTAAGGCTTTAATCCACGTTGAGTGTATTTTTGTATATGGGGATAGATAGGGATCTAGTTTCATTTTTCTACATATGTATATCCAGTTTTCCCAGCATCATTTATTGAAGAGGGCATCCTTTCTCCAATGTGTGTTCCTGGTTCCTTTGTTGAAAATCAGTTGGCTGTAAATACATAGATGTATTTCTGGGTCCTTTATGCTGTTCCGTTTGTCTATGTCATACTATAGCTTTGTAGTATATTTTCAAGTCAGGTACTGTAACGCCTCCAACTCTGTTTTTCCTTGATAAGTACTGGTTTGGCTATTTGGTGTCTTCTGTGGTTCCATGCAAATTTTAGGATTGTTTTCTATTTCTGTGAAGAATGTCACCAATATTTTGACAGGGACTGCATTTAACCTGTAAATTGCTTTAGGTAGTATGGGCATATTCTTCTGATCATGAGCATGGGATGTCGTTTCATTTGTTTGTGTCCTCTTTAATTTATTTCATCAATGTTTGGTAGCTTTCATTGTACAGATATTTCACTTCCTTTATTTCTAGTTTTTTTTTTTTTGGTGGGGGGCTATTGTAAATAGGATTGATTTCTTGATTTCTTTGTTACCCAGTTCATTACTGGTGTATGGAAATGCTACAGTTTTTTTCTATGTTGATTTTGTACCCTGCAACTTTACTAAATTTGTTTATCAGTTCAAAGAATATTTTAGTGGAATCTTTAGAATTTTGAATACATGTTTTCTGAAAGGACAATTTGACTTCCTCTTTTCCAACCTGAATGCCCTTTATTTCTTTCTCTTGCCCAATTACTCTGGCTAGGACTTCCAGTACTATGTTGAATAAGAAAGGTGAACATGAACATCCTTGTCTTGTTCCAGTTCTTAGAGCTCTCAGCTTTTCCCTATTCAGTTTGATGTTAGCTATGAGTTTGTCATATTTGGCCTTTATTGCACTGAAGTATGTTCCTTCTATGCCTAGTTTGTTTAGGGTTTTTATCATAAGAGGATATAGAATTTTATCAAATGCTTTATCTGCATCTGTTGAGATGATCATATGTTTTTTGTTCTTCATTCTGTTTATGTGATGTATCACATTTATTGATTTGCGTATTTTGAAACATCCTTTCATCCCTGGGTTAAATCCCACTTGATCATGGTATATTATCTTTTGGTTAGATTTTATTTGCTAGTATTTTGTTGAAGACTATTGCCCCTATGTTCATCAGGGATACTGGCCTGTAGTATTCTTTTATTATTGTGTCCTTTTCCAGTTTTACCCTGGTATCTGGGTAATGCTGGCCTTGTAGAAAGAATTAGAAAAATTCTCTCATCTTCAGTATTTTGGAATAGTTTGAAAACAGTTGCCGTTAGTTTTTTTAAAGTTTGGAGGCCAGACATGGTGGCTCATGCCTGTAATCCCAGCACTTTGGGAGGCTGAGGTGGGAGGATTGCTTCAGGGCAGGAGTTTGAGACCAGCCTGTATAATATAGAGAGACCATGTCCCTACAACAATAAAAAAAAATTAGCCGTGCATGGTGGTGCATGCCTGTAATCCTGGCTACTTGGGAGGCTGAGGCAAGAGGATCACTTGAGCCCAGGAGTTTGAGATTATAGTGATCACACCATTTCACTCCAAACTGGGCAAGAGAGCAAGATCTTTTCTCTAAAAAAATTTTTTTTTTTTAAGTTTGGTATGCTAGGTGCAAAGACACATGTCTGTAGCCCCAGCTATCCAGGAGGCTGAGGCAGGAGCATGGCTTGTGTCCAGGAGTTTGAGTCTAGCATGGGGAACATAACAGGACCCTGACTCTAAAAAAAAACAAAAGTTTGGTAGAATGCAGCAGTAAAGTTATCCAGTTCTGGGCTTTTTGTTGTTGTTGTTGTTGTTGTTATTGATTCACTCTCATTACTTATGATTGGTCTGTTCATATTTTCTACTTCTTCCTGGTTCAATCTTGGTAGGTTGTATATATCTGGAAATTTATCCATTTCCTCAAGGGTTTCTAATTTGTTGGCATATAGTTGTTTGGAATAGCCTCCATTGATCCTTTGTGCTTCCGTGGTAACAGCTGTAAAGCTGTAATGGTTCCTTTTTCATTTTTTATTTTATTTTAGTCTTCTCTCATTTCTTTGTTTAGTCTAGCTAATGATACCGAGATCACCTTTTGGTTCAATGATTCACAAGATTCAGCATAGCTTCATACTCATAGCCATGATTTGCTACATCAAAAGAATTCAAAGTAAAATCAGCACAGAGAAAAGGCTCATAGGGTGAATTCCCGAAGGTACCAGGTGTAAGTTCCAAGATTCTTTTCCCAGTGGAATTACAAAAGACATGCTTAATTCCTCCAGGAACAAATTGCTACAAGTGTAAAATGTTGTGTACTAGGAAACGGACTAGAGATTCAATTTGAGAATTTTTAGTGTGGGCTGGTCACACATGCACACTCTGCCTGGCATGTACTAAAATTCTAAACTCCCAGAAAAAAGTAGATATTCAGCATAAACCATATTGTTTGCACAAACAATTTAGGTATAGTGATCCATTCTTATCAGGGAATGGTGGAAAATCTCTCAATGTCCAGGTTCCCAGATGCTGACCAACCTTGAGAGCAGACCTTTCTAAGGATAACAGTCGCAGGCATACTAACTTCAGTATTTTAACTATACAGGGTCAGACTTTTTCCTGTGTCTTTGCATGTCTCATCATTTTTTTATTGGAAATAGAATGTTTTAGATAACATTATAGCAACTCTAGGTACTGCTCCCCTCTTTCCTAGGCTTTGTATTTTCATTTGCTTGTTTATTTATTTAGTGACTGACTAGATTAATTTAGTGAAGTCTATCCCCAACCCTACCAAATGTGAAGCCTCTAACATTGCTCCTTAGAGGGCTCAGCCTTGGGCATACACATTGTCACCCCAAAAAGAGAGTGGATTTATCGAGATTCACATTGTCTCTTTCCCTTATCAAACCCAGCTATTAAGCACCACCAATTGCCAGATGATTGTTCTGTTGTTTTCTACAATATCCTGAGGCTAAAATTGCTCCACAGACTGATCTAATTAATTTGGGGTTCCTTTGCAAGAATAGTTTTTTTTAAAAGACTTTAAATTTTAATTGTGGTAAAAAATGCAAAACATAAAATTTACCATATTAATTATTTTTAAGCCTACAGTTAAGTGGCATTAAGTATATTCACAATGCTATACAATCTCCAGAACTTTTTCATCTTGCGAAACTGAAACTCTATACCCATTAAACAACTCACTATTTCCCCATTCCCCAAGACCCTGGCAATCACCATTCTACTTTCTGTTTTTATGAGTTTCACTACTTTAGATACGTCTTAGAAGTGGAATCATAGTCTTTGTTTCGTGTGACTGGTTTATTTCACTTAGCATAATGTCTTAAGATTCGTCCATGTTGTAGTGTATGATAGAATTGCCTTCTTTTTTTTTTTTTTTTTTTTTTGAGACGGAGTCTCGCTCTATTGCCAAGCTGGAGTGCAGCAGCAGGATATCGGCTCACTGCAGCCTCCACCTCCTGGGTTCAAGCGATTCTCCTGCCTCAGCCTCCCGAGTAGCTGGGCGTGTGCCACCATGCCCAGCTAATTTTTGTATTTTTAGTAGAGATGGGGTTTCACCATGTTCGCCAGGATGGTCTCGATCTCTTGACCTCGTGATCTGCCAGCCTTGGCCTCCTAAAGTGCTGGGATTACAGGTGTGAGCCACCGTGCCTGGCCGAATTGCCTTCTTTTTTAAGGCTCAATAATAT
This sequence comes from Homo sapiens, assembly GCF_000001405.40. NCBI lineage: Eukaryota > Metazoa > Chordata > Mammalia > Primates > Hominidae > Homo > Homo sapiens. Next base: position 44,609,873 of record NC_000003.12, on the reverse strand, counting down.
TCCATTGCATGTATATATGACATTTTGTTTATCCATGCATCTATTGATGGACATTTGGATTTCTTCCACCTCTTGCTATTGTTAATAATGCTACTATAAAAATGAATGTGCAAATATCTCTTAGAGATCCTGTTTTCAATTCTTATGAATACATACCTAGAAGTGGGGTTGCTGGATTGTATGGTAATTCTATTTTAATTTTTAATTAATTAATTAATTAATTTTTTATTGAGACAGGGTCCCACCCTGTCACCCAGGCTGAAGTGTAGTGGTGTGATCCCGGCTCACTGCAGCCTCGACCTCCCAGGCTCAATCAATACATCTGCCTCAGCCTCCTGACTAGCTGGGACTACAGGTATGCACTACCATGCCCAGTTAATTTTTTAATTTTTTATAGAGACAGGGTCTTGCCATGTTGCCCAGGCTGGTCTTGAACTCCTGGGCTCAAGCAATCCAACTGCCTCGGCCTCCCAAAGTGCTGAGATTACAGGCATGAGCCTCCATACCCAACCTGTTTTTAATTTTTTGAGAAATTGCTATTCTGTTTTATGTAGCAGCTGTGCCATTTTACATCCGCACCAACAGTGCACAAAGGTACCAATTCTGCACATTCTCATCAATGCTTATTATTTTCTTTTCTGTTGTTGTTGTTGTTTTGGTTTTGATAATTGCTATCATAATGGTGTGAGATGACCTCTCATTGTGGTTTCGATTTTTACTTCTCTAATGATTAATGATATTGAGCATTTTTTTATATGCTTGTTGGCCATTTGCGTATCATTGGAGAAATGTCTATTTAAGTCTTTTCCTCATTTTTTAAGTTTTTTGTTATTGAATTGTAGGAGTTATTTATATATTCTGGATATCAACTACTCATCAAATGTTTAATTGCAAATTTTTTCTCCCATTCCATAGGTTGTCTTTTCAGTCTGATTATGTCCTTTAGTGCACAGAAGTTTTAAATTTTGATGTAGTATAGTTTATCTATTTTTACTTTTTTTTTTTTTTCAAGACGGAGGCTTGCTCTGTTGCCCAGGTTGGAGGGCAATGGCACAATCTCAGCTCACTGCAACCTCTGCCTCCCAGGTTCAAGGGATTGTCCTTCCTCAGCCTCCTGAGTAGCTGTGAGTACAGGCACACGCCACCATGCCCAGCTAATTTTTGTGTTTTTAGTAGAGATGAGGTTTTGCCACATTGGCCAGGTGGTCTCAAACTCCTGACCTCAAGTGATCCAACCTCCTAGGCCTCCCAAAGTGCTGGGATTACAGGTGTGAGCCACCGCACCTGGATTTACTTTTATTGCCTGTGCTTTTGGTGTCATAGCCAATAATTCATTGTCAAATCCACATTTAACTTTTTAAACAACAGCCAACGTGTTTTCCACAGTTGTTACACTACTTTACATTTCTGCCTACAGTGTTTGAAAGTTCCAGTTCCTCCACATATTTGCCAACATGTGATGTGAACTATCTTATTAATTTTCATCATTCTAATTGGGGTGTAGTGGTATCTCCCTGTGGTTGTAATTTGCATTACCCTAAAAACCAGTGATGTTGAACATCTTTTCCAGTGCCTATTTGCCATCTGAATGTCTTTGTCAGTGATGTGTCCATTCAGATCTTTGCACATTATTCTACTAGGTTATTTGCTTCCTTATTGTTGGATTTTGACACTTTTGGATACAAATCCTTTATCAGATATATGCTGTATTCATATTTTTCCCAGATCGTGGCTTGTTTTGTAATTTTCCTAACAGTACTTTTCAAAAAACAGATCTTTTAGTTTTGATGACATCCGTTTATCAAATTGTTCTTTTGTGAATCATACCTTTGGCATTATATGTAAGAAATGTTTGTCTAATGCAAGATGACACAATTTCTCCAGATTTATTCTAGAATTTTCATTGTTTTAGGTTTCCTACTGAGGTATAGTATTCATTATTAATTTTTAATATATTGGGAGATATTGATCAAAGTTAATATTTTTACATAGGGATATCCAATTATTCCAATATGATTTGTTGGAAAGATACCATTTATCCACTGATTGCCTTTGAACATTTGTCGAAAATCAGTTGCTCATATATGTGTGGATCTATTTCTGAATTTTTTATTCTCTTCTATTTATCTATTTTTCTATCACTATGCCAAAACTACACTGTCTTGACTGCTGTAGTTCTACATACGTTTTAAGATCAGGTTAGCCCTCCAAATTTTAAAATATTTTTCTGATTTGTTTTGGCTACTCTAAGCTCTTTGCATTTTCATATAGAATTTAGAGACAACTTTTTAATTTTTACAAAACACACACACAACTACTAGGATTTTGATTGAGATGGATTTGAGTCTACAGTTTGTGGACAATTGACATATTAACCATACTGCATACTCTGATCCGTGAACAAAGTAGATTTCCATTTGGTTAGGTCTTCTTTAATTTCTCTCACCAAAGTTTTACAGTACTTAATATACAGATATTTTGCATTTTTGCCATATTAATTACTGTATTTCATATTTTAATGCTATTATAAATGATATTATTTAAATTTTGATTTCAAATTGTTCATTGTTAGTATATAAAAATCAAATTGATTTTTATAAAGTTATGTGTCCTGCAACCTTCCTCAACTCACTTACTAGTTCTAGTAGCTTTTAAAAGAGATTTAATTGGATTTTATACATAGCGAATTGTGTCGTCTACAAAGAAGGACAATTTTACTTTGTTCTTTCCAACCTGTATGCCATTTATTTATTTATTTACTTATTTTAACTGCCCTGGCTAGAACCTGCAGTACACTGTTGAGTAGACAAAGTGGTGAAAGCACTTTATCTTGTTCCTGATCTCAGGAGGAAAGCTCAGTCTTTCAACATTAAGTGTGATACCAACTATAAAATTTTTGTAGATACTTTTAAATCAGATTTAGGATCTCGTTTACCCCTAATTTGCTGAGGGGTTTAAAATTTCAAAATCAATGATGGATGTTAGATTTTGTCAAAAGCTTATTCTATACCATCATAGTGACCATGATTTTTCATTTTTAGCTTGTTAATATGGTGAATTACACTGATCAATTTTCAAATACAAAGCCAACATTGCATTTTTTGAAAAAATTCCTTTGGTCTGGATGTATTATCCAATTATTGGATAGTGATTTACTAAAATTTCATATTGTTGGCTTTAATTTGCTAAAATTAAATGAATTAGGATTTTTGCATTTAAGTCTGTGAAGGCTATTGGTCTGTACTTTTATTGTAACACTTTTATTGTATTGGATCTGGTTAATGCTGGCCTCACAGACTGAGTTGGAAAATATTTCCTCATACTCAATTTTCTGCAGGAGCTTGTTGTATAAAGTTAGTACTATTTCTTCCTTAAACGTCTGATAAAATTTACCAGTGAAGCCACCTAGGTCTAGATTTTTTTGAATTTTTAATTTTTGTGGGTACATAGTAAGTGTGTATATTTATGAGGTGCAGGAGATATTTTGATACAAGCATGCAATGTGTAATAATCACATTGTGGAAAATGGGGTATCCATCCCCTCAAGTATTTATTCTTTGTGTTATAAACAATCCAATTACATTCTTCTAGTCATTTTAAAATATGCAGGCTGGGCGCAGTGGCTCACGCCTGTAATCCCAGCACTTTGGGAGGCCGAGGCGGGCGGATCATGAAGTCAGGAGATGGAGACCATCCTGGCAGGTGAAACCCCGTCTCTACTAAAAAAAATACAAAAAATTAGCCGGGCATGGTGGCGGGCGCCTGTAGTCCCAGCTACTCGGGAGGCTGAGGCAGGAGAATGGCATGAACCCGGGAGGTGGAGCTTGCGGTGAGCTGAGATGGCGCCACTGCACTCCAGCCTGGGCGACAGAGCGAGACTCCGTCAAAAAAAAAAAAAAAAAAAAAGCAATTAAATTATTATTGACTTTAGTCACCCTGTTATCAAATACTAGGTGTTATTCATTCTTTCTATTTTTTAAATACCCATTAACCATCCCCACTACCCCCACCCCCCACTACCCTCCCCAGCTTCTGGTAACCATTCTTTTACTCTCTATCCCCATGAGTTCAATTGCTTTGATTTTTGGATCCCACGAATAAGAACATAAGATGTTTGTCTTTCTTTGCCTGGCTTATTTCACTTAACATAATGACCTCTGGTTCCATCCATGTTGTTGCAAATAAAGGATCTCATTCTTTTTTATAGCTGAATAATATTCCATTGGGTATAAGTACCACATATTCTTTATCCATTCATCTGCTGATGGACACTTAGGTTGCTTCCAAATCTTGGCTTTGTGAACACTGCTGCAACAAACACAGTAGTACAGATATCTCTTCAAAGTACCAATTTCCCTTGTTTTGGGCATATGCCCAAGAGTGGGATTGCTAGATCATATGGTAGCTTTATTTTTAGTTTTCGTCAGAACCTCTAAACTGTTCTCCATAGTGGTTGTACTAATTCACATTCCCACCAACAGTGTATAAGGGTTCCCTTTTCTCCACATCCTCACCAACATTTGTTATCACCTGTCTTTTGGAAAAAGGCCATTTTAACTGGACTGAGATGATATGTTATTGTAGTTTTGATTTGCATTTCTCTGATGATCAATTATGTTGGGCACCTTTTCATATGCCTTTTTGCCATTTGTATTTCTTCTTTTGAGAAATGTCTACTCAAATCTTTTGCTTATTTTTAAAATCGAATTATCAGATTTGTTTTCTATAGAGTTGTTTGAGCTTGTTATATATTCTGGTGATTAATCCCTTGTCAGATGGGTAATTTGCAAATATTTTCTCCCAATCTGTGGGTTGTTCCTTCACTTTGTTGCTGGTTTTCTTTGCTATGCAGAAGCTTTTTAACTTGATGTGATCTTGGGCCTAGATTTCTATGTCTGTGGGGGAAGTGTTTTATTTTTTATAGTTATAGCACTATTCAGCGCTATCTATTTTTTTTCTAAAGTGAGTATTGGTAGTTTGTGTCTGTCAGGGAACTGGCCATTTGATCTAAATTATCAAAGTTATTGGCATAAAGTTGTTTATAACATTCCCCCATTATCCTTTAATTGGTGTAGAATCCATAGTGATGTCACCTCTTTTAATCCCAATGTCGATACTTTGTGTCTCTTTTCCTTTTTTTTGCTGATCAGTCCTACTAGAAGCTTATGCATTTATTTATTTTCTAAAAACCACTTTTGGCTTGATTTTCTCTATTGTCTTCTTGTTTTCCATTTTACAGGTTCCCATTTTGATCTTTATTATTTCTTTTGTTCTGTTTACATTGGCATTACTTTGCTTTTTTTATTCTAGTTTCTTAAACTTTACTCTTTTCCTTTATTTTTTTTTAACACTGAGATAGGGTTTCACTATTTTGCCCAGGCTGCATTTGAACTCCTGGGCTAAAGTAATTCTCCCACCTCAGCCTCCCAAGTAGCTGGGACTGTAGGCATGCACCACCACACCCGGCTACTCTTTTGTGTGTGTGTGTGCGCACGCGTGTGTGTGTGCGTGTGTGTGTGTGTGTACATACAGTCTATGATACCATATTCTAATGTAGATATTTAGTGCTATAATTTCCCTCAGCTAATGTTTTAACAACATTCCATAATTTTTTTTGAGATGGAGACTTGCTCTATCACCCAGGTTGGAGTGCAGTGGTGTGGTTATAGCTCACTATAGCCTTGAACTCCTGGGCTCAGTGATCCTTTCATGCCAGCCTCCCAAGCAGCTAGGACTACAGGCATGCATCCCATGTCTAGCTAAATTATCTTTTTTTTTTTTTTGTAGAATCAGGGTCTCACTATGTTACCCAGGTGAGTCTTGAACTCCTGACCTCAAGCAATCTTCCTACCTTGGCCTCCCAAAGTGCTGGGATTATAGGTGTTAGCCACTATACCTGACTATAACATTTTTTTCTTTTCTTTCTTTCTTCTTTGTATTATATTGAGACAGAATTTTGTTCTGTTGCCCAGGCTGGAGTGCAGTGGTATGATTATGGCTCACTGCAGCCTCAACTTCCCGGGCTCGAGTGATCATCCCACCTCAGCCTCCGGAGTAGCTGGGACTACAGGCATGTGTCACCACGCCCAGATATATATAGTGTTTTTTTGTAGAGACGAGGTTTTGCCATGTTGCCCAGGCTGGTCTCGAACTCCTGAGCTCAAGTGATTTGCCTGCCTCAGCCTCCCAAAGTGCTGGGATTACAGGCGTGAGACACTGTGCCTGGCCAATAACTTTTTTGATCAGCTATAATTATTTGTTTTTTAATGATTGCTTTAGGATTTATAGTGTATGTCTTTAGCTTATTCGTCTGCCTTCAAGTGGTATTATACTACTTCCTGTACAGCAGTGGCATATAGCAGTGGTTCTCATTTGGGGGCAATATTGAGAGATATTTTTAATTGTCATGACGGGGTAAAAGCCATTGATGCTGCTAAACATCCTAGAATGCTAGGATAGCCCCTGCCACAAAAATTATCTGGTCCAAAATGTCAATAAGGCCAAGGTTGGGAAAAATTCATATTTCTATCAGGTGTCATTTTTCTTTTGCCTAAAAGACTTACTTTAACATTTCTTATAGTACAGGTCTGTGAGTGATCCATTATTTTAGCTTTTTAATGTCTGCAAATATGTTTTGCCTTTGTTCTTGAACTATATTTTCACTGGTCTGGAATTCTAGTTTGGCTTACTCTGTTGTCCAGGCTGGAGTGCAGTGGTGTGATCATGGCTCACTGCAGCCTTGAGCTCCTGCATTCAAGTGATCATCCCACCTCAGCCGCTGGAGTAGCTGAGATTTTTTTCTTTCAGTACTTTAAACATGCCGCTCCACTCTCTTCATGGTTGCATTGTGTCCAGTGAGAAATCTGTTGTGATCCCTGTCTTCTTCTCCATACCTAATGTCTTTGTCCTCTGGTCATTTTATTTTTGAATGTTTTGAGCAATTTAATTATAGAGTAGTTTTCTTCACATTTATTCTGTGGCTTACTGTTCTTCCCGACTGAGACAGTCCCTTCTGAGTACTCTACCTAATGCACAAAGCAATGCAGTGTTTTCAGTCCAGCTTGTGAGAACAGTCACTATTCCTGGCCATATTTCTATGCCTGACACCATTCCCTCTAATCCTTTGGGATGGTTCTTTCTTTGGCCTCAGATAAGTTTTCCTCATACGCCAATCAGTACTCTGTGGAGTATCCTAGGGGACCCTTCAAAGATCCCCAGAATTCTCTGTGCAGGTCCCTCTCCTCCAGAATTCTGTCTTGTGAACTCTATCTGCCTTGGTCTCCTTAGATTCTCAGTTGTGTCTTCAACTCAGGAACTTCATCACACAGCTACACCTGGGTCTCCCATCCCTGTGTAGCTGTCTGGTAACTCTCTCAAGACAATAAGTTAGGACATTTGTAGGGCTCATCTCATTTGTTTCCCATCTATCAGAGATCATCATATTTTGTTGTTGATGCCCAATGTCTTAAAAGCTATTATTTCATCTATTTTATTTGAGATTATTTCAAGCAGGGGTATAATTCTGGTTCCTGTAACTCTTCTATGACCAGAAATAGAAGACTGTCCTTCAGTTTTCTTCATATCTAAGTATTTTCCCTTTTTTAAATTAAGTTTTCTTCTTAACCCAGGAATTCTTTAGAAATGCATTAATTTCCAAATGTATTTTAATTTTGACTTCTATCTTAATTACATCATGTTCTGTGCAGAGGGCATTGTGCCACACTGTCCGGATTCCTCTTCAGATTTTCTCCCCGCAACCACCTCACTAGAGGGGCAGGCCAAAAGCCTTCAAATGTCAGCCTTCTCTGGGAACTATCCTCAGCTTTAATCTACCTCACCCACTTTAAGCCCAGGACAAATCCCACAATCCTCCTTGCTGTCTTCCATTGCTGCTGGCTGACTTTTTTCTAATGCATACTTTCACTGAGGGTGTAGCCCTGTAAGCATCTGGGCTTCTTGTGGAGACCTGTGCCAACTTTCCCCCTCTTGCAAGCCCAAGGACTCAAATCCTCTTCTGCATGGCTGATAAAATTCAAGTCCATTGGATACCAAATCACCAAACTGCCTCTTGGCAACCAAAGACAGCATCCACACACTTACCTTTCTAACTTCCATTTCATCTTCATTTTTGGCTCTAAGGATTTATTTCACTTTCTTGAAAATACTTTAAAAGGACGTTTAAATTTTATTCAGCATTTCTGTGTGTTTGTAGCCAAAGGGCTTTATGAATACCCAGCTTGTCATGTTGTTTTATTCTTTCTTTTTTTTTCTTGAGATGGAGTCTCACTCTATCACCCAGGCTGGAGTGCAGTGGCGCAATATCTGCTCACTGCAACCTCTGCCTCTCGGGTTCAAGCGATTCTCCTGCCTCAGGCTCCTAAGTAGCCGGGATTACAGGCGTGCGCCACCATGCCTGGCTAATTTTTGTATTTTTTTAGTAAACGGGGTTTCACCATGTTAGCCAGGCTGGTCTCAAACTCCTGACCTCAAGTGATCTGCCTGCGTTGGCCTCCCAAAGTGCTGGGATTACAGGCGTGAGCCACCGCGTCTGGCCTATTCTACTTTTTAAAAACATGCTAAATTCTGTGGTTAAACTAACTGCGAATGTGACAGCATTTTCTTTCTGACTCAGTTAACTGCTGATTTGTCATATGATTGTACAAGCTTTGGTATAAGTCTCAATAATTTTGTAATTTGTCACAAATCTTCTGTGGGAAGAGTCTTCTGTTCTTCCAAAGGAAAATGGATAATCAGTATAAAAACAGTCAACAGTCATGTAAAGAGTCAAGGCTCCTGGGCTGGACACAGTGGCTCACACCTGTAATCTCAGTACTTTGGGAGACCAAGGTGGGAGGATTGCTTGAGGCCAGGAGCTCAAGATCAGCCTGGGCAAGCCAACATAGTGAGATTCCTTCTCTACAAAAAAAAAGAAAAAGGAAAAAAGAAAAAAACCTCAAGGTTCCTAAAGGAAAATTTTATCTGATCCCCATTGCAAAGTTTTGTTTTATTCCAAGGCCCCACTGTAGATATGCTGATTTGGTGGGCCTGGGAAATTTATCTGTAGGTGTAAAATTACCTCTTGTGAATCCCAAACTTGGAATCCACTAGCCTTGGTTTCAGAGATTGGTCACAGCTTTTGTATGTCTGTAATCCATATAGTCAAGTTGTGCCGTCTGGATTTGAAATAATCAGAGAGAGGAATGGGAACTAGTCAGGTCCTGTAACTATGCTGCACAGAAAGGAGTCTGCCATCTCTTTTTAACCCTCTCAAACCTACCTTCTGGAGCAGAGAGGGACTTCAGAGAACATGGCTGGTTTTTATACAGCCATCTGAGGTCTGCACAGCAGTAGGGGTATGAAGCACGTGTGTGGCCAGAGAGAGGGTATGGCACATAGCCCTCTCAAGAAATAACAGAAGGAAAATTTCTAATGGCTAGAGAGTGCTTACTTATGTATTACTAGTGTGAAAATTACAAACTTCTTGTAGTGTTTGAATGAGAAACCAGCCAGAATCACTTCTTTATTCTAAAAACAGCCACTATGATGGTTAATATTAGGTGTCAACTTGACTGGATTCAGAGATGCCTAGATGGCTGGGGAAGCACTGTTTCTGTGAGTGTCTGTGAGGGTGATGACAGAAGAGAATGACATTTGAGTCAGTGGACTGGGAGAGGAAGACCCACCCTCAATGTCAGTAGGCATATCTAATCAGCTGCCAGCACAGCTAGAAGAAAGCAGCCGCAAGAAGGGGGATAAGAAGCTTGCTGGGTCTCCTGTCTCTTTCCATGCCAGGTGCTTTGCTTCCTCTCTTCCTGCCCTTAGACATTCTAAGTTCTTCAGTCTTTGGACTCTGGGACTTGCACCAGCAGCCTCCTGGAGGTTCTAGGGCCTCTGGCCTCAGACTGAGGCTGCACTTTAGTTTCCTTGGTTTTGAGGCTTTCAGACTTGGACTGAGCCACACTACCAGCTTCTCTTTTGCCAGCTTGCAGATGGCCTATGGCGGGACTTTGCCTTAAGCCAATTCTCCCTAGTAAAATCTCTTTTATATATACATACATCCTATTCATTCCATCCCTCTGGAGAAAGAACCCTAATATAGCTACTTAAAGAAAAGCAGATTGAACTATTTTTTTCCCACTCTGAACAAAGAAAGTAAGCAAAAAGAAAAAAAAAGTGATATTTATAAGAATAGCAGACGTTTATTGAAGGAATTATCACTACTTCCTGCAAAACAATTTCATGACTCCAGTTTTATAACATCAGAGGCTATTAAAGACAGTCTGGCGACTAAAAACAACTGACAATATGGGCATCTTTTAAATTTTATATTAAATGGAAAAAACAATCAAGAAAGGAAGTCCTGCTGAGGGTACAGAGCTGCAATGAAATTTAGTCTTAAGGGATTTAGATTCAACAGCTACTAATTAATCCTAATTACTCAGTTACTTAAAGCTGTTTTTTACTTCAATTTTCTTCCAAGTAATACCTAACACAGGACGCACCATCTATGAAAAAAGATTTCTAAGTCCAGGGCGACACTTTCCTCTCTAAGCAGAATTCTTTGTCTTACGTATTGCCCTCTACTCAAGGCTATATAAAATGAGATTTTCGTATTTTCCTCTCAACTAAAAAGAGCATATATATTTTTATTCTACACAGGAGCAATTCTATATAACCAGGATGTCTGTGGCTAAAATTATTGCCTCTTTATATTCCTCAGGAATATTCAGGGTACTAAAACTGTAAGTGAATAAATGTGAGTAGACAAGAAACCAAATAACAAGAATGAGCAATACACAGTAGTTTAGTGATATATATTTCAAAAGCACTGGGTTGGGTTTTTGTGGGTTTTTTGTTTTGTACTGTTTTGTTTCTGAGACAGGGTCTTGCTCCGTGACCTAGGCTGCAGTGCAGAATTGTGATCATAGCTCACTGTAACAGTGAACTCCTGGGCTCAAGTGATCCTCCCCCCTCAGCCTCCTGAGTACCTAGGACTACGTGTGTATGCAACCATGACTGATTAGAGCTAAGTTTCTGATGGAGAAGAGAGAAGAAATGGCAGTACAGAGAGGTACATGAGTTGAGAGACACATAAACCAGCAATTGAGGAATGCAGAATAAGCACTGCCCTTGGGGAACAGCCCGGTTTCCATTGGAACAAGAATGTGAAGAAAACACATTCATTCAAGACCAGCCTGACCAACATGGCAAAACCTCGTCTCTACTAAAAATACAAAAAATTAGCCAGGTGTGGTGGCAGGTACCTGTAATCCCAGCTACTTGGGAGGCTGAGACAGGAGAATCGCTTGAACCCAGGAGGCAGAGGTTGCAGTGAGCCGATATCACGCCATTGCACTCCAGCCTGGGCGACAAGAGCAACACTCCATCTCATAAATAAATAAATAAATAAATACACATATAAATAAAGCCAGGTGCAGTGGCTCATGCCTATAATCCCAGCACTTTGGGAGGCCGAGGCAGGTGGATCTTGTGAGGTCAGGAGTTCGAGATCAGCCTGGCCAACATGGTGAAACCCTATCTCTATTAAAAATACAAAAATTAGCTGGGTGTGGTGGCAGGTGCCTGTAATCTCAGCTACTCAGGAGGCTGAGGCAGGAGAATTGCTTGAACCTGGGAGCTGGAGGTTGCGGTGAGCTGAGAGCTGAGATCACGCCACTGCACTCCAGCATGGGCGACAGTGCGAGATTCCATCTCAAAAAAAAAAAAAAAAGAAAAGAAAAGAAAAGAAAGAAAAAGAAAGCACATTAAAAGAGACAGTTCCTGGTTTCCAGAGGGTATTATGAAAGGGCTTGAAAGGATGGTAAGAGCTGCATGCCTAAACTCTGACTGAGGTAAAAGTTGGTAACCCTGGGAGACTCCCGGAGAAAGGTGGGTGATCAGTTCAAATTATAGCTGAATGTTTATCTGAAAGGATGCAGGAACCCACTGTCAAGTGTTTATTCCTACAGCTCAAGGCAGGTATTAGCCTAGAAGATGGGTGATGGCCTCCTCAAGAGACTATAATCCTCGCCTGCCTGGGGCAAGAAATATGAAGCTCTCCTATATTCAGTTCTCTGGTTATGAGATGGCATCATATCCTTCCTTGAGATATACTCTTGAAGATCATAGTCTTCTAAGACAAAAAAGAAAGCCTATCTAAATAAAGAGTTTTAGGCACTATGACATGGTGGTGAAAAAATGTTTTGGTCAGAGAATATCTGCTCAGCAATATATAAAGCATCAACAATTCTGCTCAGGAATGATAGACCAGGCTTGTCCATGAATGCTACAAATCTGTTCCAGGCCTTCCAAACCCTGCTTGGAATGACCATGCAAAGGACTATTATATCACAAATTATGTGCAAACCACTATCCTATCAAAATAGGACAAAATCAGTAATTTTTTTTCACACAAATATACAACCTTCACCCTTCACTTCTTTCTTTCCGGTAACAGCAAGAAAGAAATATATATACCTTAAAACTAAATTATGAGGTACAGAGATAGGCCATAAACCCCATTCACAGAACACTGATAACATCTTCCCTATAAAACCATGGTCAAATATCAAATAATTGTTAGATACAATCACCTTTCATAGAGGCAGCTACCTGGGAAAACGCCAACTGGTCTTCCACTCACATACAGAACCACCATGGTGGGCAGAGGCACTTTGGTATAATGAAGAAAGCATGAATTTCAAAGTCAGATCTGAGCTCAAATCCTGGCTCCGACAACTTACTAGCCAGTCACCTAACCTCAATGACACTCAATTTTCTTGTATAATAGAGGGAGAACTAAATAACATATTATCAAAAATTCCCCAAACACTAATTCACTATGTGCATAAGACAGATAACAGTGGGCTTAGGGATTCACTGTATACACAGAGGAATGGCTGAGTTAAAAATAGGGAGATTCTAAGTGTTTCAGAGTGACTTTGAGCTAAGCACTTAAAATGTTTTAAATATTGGTGGAAGATGGGCTAAGACCTTCAAGGAGGACTGGTCATAAAGAAAGGCAGAGGAAGATAGAAAACATCTGTTGTATTGATTGCTCAACACCTCTCCGTCCCTTCTTCAGGGAAAGATTTTTCTCAGTGACAAAAGGAAGAAACCAGATGAGAAAGCCTCAGCTCCTTTTCCAGTTCCCAATCTGAAGGAGTTGTGTGAAGGCAAGATGCAGCTGTGGCCACTGTCTTGCCACCATGAGGTTATGAAAAATGAAAGTCAACATGCTGAAAATTATGGAGTTAAGAGAGAAGTGTGATGAAGTGCTGAGTTGCCAAACCAAACATAGCACTGCTTACCTCTAGATTCCCCTTAAGCAATCAATCAATGTTCTTAAGGTCTAGGCTGCTAGTACTTGGTATTCTGTTCAATACATCTGAAAATATCCTAAGTACTACCTTACACAAAAATTCTCTTTAATCACTCTCCCTAAAGTGTTTAGAAACACTGCTACAATGTCCTATACTTAAGATTTTATCATTTACCACGTGTCTGGCTTATCATATATTTCATGCATTACTCACTTAATCCTCACAACAACCTTGTAAGGTAGGTAATTGTTCCTTTTTTACACACAGGTCTGAGGCTCAGAGCAGTTAAGTGACTTGTCCAAAACTGACAAGCTAGTTCATGGTAGAACTGGGGTTAGAACATGGATATCTCCAACCCCAAAGTTTGTACTTTTAGCCTTTAAACTCTATATACCATGTGAAGGCAGAGTCTCCCACTAGTTTTATATTAACTGGTGACTGTATCTGAAGTTTTTGAGTCTACAGTTGTTTCAATTTCATTTTTTTCTGGTTGTGTAGACATATGTTGAAAAGATGAAGCCTAGGTAGTTCTCCATCATCTGCAGATCCTTCCAGAACTGTGGGAAAGGAGGGTTCAGTGAATTTTTGCTGTGTTCTTTTAACCTAACAGTGTTATTATATATTTTGTTGACAACTCTAAAGTCAGCTTGTCTTAAAACTAAAAAGGACAAAGGATCGGTGTTTATGATTTTACTTAACAGGAAACACGCTCTAAAAGGAAGGGACTTGCTCGCGGTTCCACTGCTGCTAAATGCCAGTGTCAGGGTGCAATCCCAGGGCTTTGGGCTCTATATACTACGTGCCTTTCATAACACTGCTGAGTGAAAATAAGCACGTCTTCATTGCATTTAAAAAATACTGTGCTTTTTTTCTTGCATATAAAATTAGTATATTCTCATGTAGATAATCTAGAAAGCATAGAAAAGTATACAGAAGAAAATAGAAATCACCTATAATCCTATCGCCCAGAGATGATCACTGTTAACATTTTGGTTTACTTCCTTCTCAATTTTTCCTATGCAAAAATATTTTTTTAAATTTTGGATTGTATGTCATTATCTTCCGTCTTATCCAATCATTTCCCCATGGCATTAAATTGTCTTTAAAAATGTTTGCAATGGCTGCAGAACCATCATATGGATAGCTCATCATTCATTTCAACCCTGTAATGTTGAAAATCTAGTTTTCTTCTTTCAGTCGTATATGATGCTGTCATGAACATCCCTTTCATTAATCTTTGTCTACTTCTAATTATTTTCTTAGAAGTAGAGTATGATTCTTAGAAGTAGAATTAAAGTTGATACTAAAGAACTACTTTTTAGAAAAGCAGCAGTCAGCCCTACTACCCACAATATTTGTTATTTATGAGGTTTCTTTCTCCTCATTATGTTTCCTCTGGTGTTGAATAAGCTGTGAACTATACCGATAGGCTTTCCCACACTCACTACATTTATAGGGTTTCTCCTTAGTGTGGGTTCTCAAGTGTAGAATAACTTGAGAAGTCTGCCTGAAGGTTTTCCCACATTCATTACATTTATAGGGTTTCTCTCCAGTGTGAACTCTCTGATGATCAACAAGGTTTCGATTAGAAGTAAAAGCCTTCCCACACTCATTACATTTGTAAGGTTTCTCTCTACGATGAAGTCTCTGGTGTTCATTAAGAGTTTTCCTTAAGATGAAAGTTTTTCCACACTCATCACATTCATAAGGCTTCTCTCCAGTGTGAATTCTCTGATGGTCCATAATCTTTGTATTAGAACCACATGTTTTCCCACACTCCTTACATTTGTAAACTTTTTTTCCTCTGTGCATTCGCTGATGTTGAGTAAGGTTTGAACTACGGCTAAAGGCTTTCCCACACTCAATACAAGAATAGGGCTTCTCTCCGGTGTGAACTCTGTGATGTGATATAAGGCCCGAACTCCGACTAAAGGCTTTCCCACACTCTTTACATTCATAAGTTTTCTCCCCACTGTGGATTCCCTGGTGCCGAATAAGATGTGACTTTCCACTGAAAGATTTCCCACATTCACTGCATGTATAGGGCTTCAGTCCAGTGTGGATTCTCCGATGAACAACAAGGTTAGAGCTATGACTGAAAGCTTTTCCACACTCCTTACACTTATAGGGTTTCTCTCCCGTGTGGATTCGCTCATGTACTGTGAGGTTTGCACTCTGACTAAAGGCTTTCCCACACTCAGTACATACATACTGTCTCTTTTCAGCCTGAACTCTCTCATTTGTTGCAGGGTCACAGCACTGACTATTGTCTTTTTCAGATTCTTGGTCACTCCCTTCTGTGAGTACTTTATTGTCTTTAACTGTCTTATGTTTGAAATTTCTTGTCTTTCTCCTCATTTTCTCCTGCTTGGAACATACCAGTGTCCTCTCTAGTCTTCTCTTTCCCTTCAGAGGAGCCTTCTAAATTTTGACTTCCTGGGCAATGTCTCTGTGGAATTCTCTTGAAAGTATGTATGATTCTGATTTTTCAGGAATGATGCTTTGGAATTAACTCCTCCTCAGTCCCAGTTTCACCATCTGACAGGAGAAACAGAAATTGCACATGTCACCTATTCTCTGTACCAGAGGAAGGAGATCTATCCACGGACAAGATGTGGTAGCCATATGGAAGGGTTAAGTGTTCAAGGGCAGGGGAACAGATCAAAAAGATGACAAAAATGAAGTTAAACATAGAGGCCAATGTAAAGGCTTATGGAAAGCCAGGGGCTAAGGGGAGCCCAGCAGGTCCAGCATCAGAATAAGCAATGAATCGTATAAAATCTACCCTAGTTCCTTCCTGCCTCATCCTCTACTCCCTGAATTGGAGCCATCTAACTCGTTGCTTTTTTTTTTTTTTTTTTTGAGATGGAGTGCAATGGCACGATCTTGACTCACTGCAACCTCCGCTTCCCAGGTTCAAGCGATTCTCCTGCCTCAGCCTCCCTAGTAACTGGGATTACAGGCGCCTGCCACCACGCCCAGCTAATTTTTTGTATTTTTAGCAGAGATGGGGTTTCACTATGTTGGCCAGGCTGGTCTTGAACTCCTGACCTCAGGTGATCCACCTGCCTCAGCCTCCCAAAGTGCTGGGATTATAGGCATGAGCCACCGCACCCAGCTCAGAGCCATCTAACTCCTAATGGCAGGCTCAACTATAATCTGGTCCTAGAAAAAGTGAACTGAAAGATGACTAAACTTTAGTTCAGTTTGGCTTTTAGTTCTTGCTAACCTATTCCCCTAGTACTAGTGATACTGTGGCCAGTATGTAAAAGGTGCTCAAAATGGTATTATAGAATAGCAACTAGGATTCTGTCTTAGGTTGTGAGTAGGATTTCATCTTTTGCTCAAGGTCCAGGTACTAGACCCCAGTCTACATCCTTGCAGGTAAACCCTATCTTGTTAAGTGGTGACACAGTTCTTTCAATATTGAGCCTAGTCACATCATAGCCTACTTCATAGGGGCTGGCCTATAGTTGGACCCAGTTTTTTTTTTTTTTCTGAGACGGAGTCTCACTCTGTCGCCCAGGCTGGAGTGCAGTGGCACGATCTCGGCTCACTGCAAGCTCCGCCTCCCAGGTTCACGCCGTTCTCCTGCTTCAGCCTCCCGAGTGGCTGGGGCTACAGGCGCCCGCCACCACGCCTGGCTAATTTTTTGTATTTTTAGTAGAGACGAGGTTTCACTGTGTTAGCCAGGATGGTCTCGATCTCCTGACCTCGTGATCCACCTGCCTCGGCCTCCCAAAGTGCTAGGATTACAGGCGTTAGCCACCGCGCCCAGCCAGTTGGATCCAGTTTTATATGCAAGTGTAGTCTGTCTGCTTTTCACCATGCTGTCACTCTGACAGACTGAGACTACTTAAGGGGTGAGTCTGAGAGGCTAAATTGGGAAAGAAGGTTAGTTAAAGCATGGCAGATGAAACTCTGATAGGATCTTGCATGGCATAATAGTAAAGTATCTAAGGATGGCAAAAGCGTCAGAGTAGGGGCAGCATAACCAAGAGGTGCCAATACATGAAACCAAACATCAGAATAAGGAGGAATTTCCCAACTGGTTTGACGTGAAACTCTGGACATACAGGTAACCATGGCAGACCTTAGAGGGAGTTGGGATGTAAAAGAAAGCAAAAAGATAACTACATGATACTAACACATGACTATGCTCCTTTATAGACTTGCCCATATGTATTTTGTTAGACAATTAAATATGGTAGATATTATTTTGCATCCTACTTCTTGCAGTTCATTTCATTTATTTTTTAGTTGATAAAAAAGTATATATATTTATGGCATACAACATGTTTTTATAAATGTTTACACATGGAACAGGTAAATCAAGCTAATTAACATATCCATTACTTCACATACTTATTATTTTTTCATGGTAAGAACATTTAAAATCTCTCTTAGCACTTTTCAAGTCTAAATATGTTGATATTAACTATAATTACCATGTAATACAATAGATTTCCTGAAATTATTCCTCCTAACAGAATTTTTGTATCCTTTGACCAACATCTCCCTAATCCCTGCCTCACAAATTTTTTTT
Organism: Homo sapiens; assembly: GCF_000001405.40. Taxonomy (NCBI): domain Eukaryota; kingdom Metazoa; phylum Chordata; class Mammalia; order Primates; family Hominidae; genus Homo; species Homo sapiens. Next base: position 44,592,005 of record NC_000003.12, on the reverse strand, counting down.
TGTTTTTTGAGACGGAGGCTCGCTCTGTTGCCCAGGCTAGAGTGCAGTGGTTCAATCTCCACTCACTACAACCTCCGCCTCCTGGATTCAAGCAATTCTCCCTGCCTCACCCTCCTGAGTAGCTGGGATTACAGGCGTCTGCCACCACGCCTGGCTAGTTTTTGTATTTTTTAAGTAGAAATGGTATTTCGCCATGTTGGCCAGGCTGGCCTTGAACTCCTGACCTCAGGTGATCCACCTGCCTCGGCCTCCCAAAGTGCTGGGATTACAGGCGTGAACCACTGCGCCCAGCCTCCACTTAATTTTTTAATGCACATTTTTCCACATTGCTATTTAATCTTCATATGATCATTGAATTCCTTCTAATTTACCTACCATTTTGCTAGTGTTGGACATTTCTGTTGTTCCTTGAAGTTAACTACTATCAATAATGCTATCATAATCTCTTTATACACACAAAATTTTCTTCCTATTAAAATATATTCCTAGGACAAAAGTTCCACAAATGAGTTAATTGGGTCAGAAGGAGTGCAACTGTTGTGCAGTATTGCTTGTTGCTATTCAAAAAAGTTTGATGGGCTGAGCATGGTGGCACATGTCTATAATCTCAGCACTTTGCAAGGCTGAGGCGGGAGGATCACTTGGGCCCAAAAGTTTGAGACCAGCCAGGGTAAGACAGGGAGACTACATCTCTACAAAGAATTTAAAAATTAGCTAGGCATGGTGGTGTGCACCTGTAGTCCCAATTACTCAGGAGGCTGAGGTGAGAGGATTGCTTGAGCCCAGGAGGTCCAGGCTGCAGTGAGCCCTGATTATGCCACTGCACTTCAGCCTGGGCAACAGAGCAAGACTTTGTCTCAAAAAAAAAAGTTTGACCAATTTCCATGTCCCACAGCTTTCTGATAAATGGAGCCACACTTTCTGGAGAAGGAAGATAGCAAATGGTGGCACTCGAGACTGGCAAAAAGATAACTGCACATATTCGAGTTCACATCTCAGAAATGCGGGTGGCCACTGATTCCATACACAGGCACATACACACAAACTCATGCCCAAGATAAGAAGGGTAGGAAGAGAGAATGGTGAGGGAGGGTGGATTCTTGCCAGGGTCCTGGGCTCACTCACATCCAGCTGCTGCTACCTCTCCTAATCATTAAGGATGAAGCAGGTGGAGAAAACAGTGCAAAGCCAGGGGACTGCAATGCAGAGCAGTAGAGCAAGTGAACTCACCTTCAAAGTTCTGTGAGAAAGTTGATAGTTTTTTCTGAATTTCTTTTCAATTTCTCATCTTCTCTGGAACTTCTCTTTTCTTCATACATTTCTTAAACTCATAACTAATGAGCACCCTACTCTGTATATATCCCTGTTCTGGGTCTAACACAGGGAAAATTTAAAGAAGCATTGTCATGGACTGAATGTTTGTGTCCCCCTAACATTTGTATGTTAAAGCTCTAACCCCCAATGTGACTGTATTTGGAGATGGGGCCTCTAAGGAGATAATTAAGGTTAAATGAGGTCATAAGGGTGGGCCCTGATCCAACAGAATTCATGTCCTTATAAAAAGAAACACAAGAAAGTTCTCTTACATGCTCTCCCTCTCTCCACACACATACACATAAAGGCTATGAGAATACATAGTAAGAAGATGGCCAGCTACAAGACAGGATGAGAGCCCCCTACCAGAAACCAAAATGGCGAGGCACATGGATCTCACACTTCTAGGCTGCAGAACTGTGAGAAAATAAGTTTCTGTTGTTTAAGCCACTCAGTTTATGGCATTTTGTTATGGTAACCCAAGCACACTAATACAAGCATGAAATATCATACTTCCCTTAAAGAGCTTACAATGGAGTAGTATGGAAAAACAATAAGAGAGCAAATTCAAATTTACAATGTATGCAAGCAGGAGATGAAGAGGACTAGGGGAGGGAGGGAGCAATTACTAAGGCATGGAATGATGGAGAAAAGCATTTTAAAAAGGCAGAATTTAGGCTGAGCCCTGGAGAATAAGCAGTGTTTTCTCAAAAAAAAAAAAAAAAAAAAAAAGGCACAGGGTTGGTATACATGAAAATAAATGGGAGATCATAATATTATATAAACTTCATGTAGGCAGGGATTTTGTCCGTCCTGCTTACCCTGTATTCCTAGCACTACCACAGTCCCAGGCACATGGTAAGCGCTCAACATTTTTTGTTGTTGGAATTAACAAATGAAGAAAGAATCAAGCTGCCTGAAGTGATTCCAACCAGAATACTGAAATTACAAGATGAAAAATATGGATATAAACTGATGGTCAAAGGGAAACCAGTTCTAAACAGAAGAGTGAAATCTATCCTTAATTTTCTTTCTCCATTCTATATTCTTTTTTGTACCTTGCTATTCTCCACTCTTGTTATTTTCCTTCTTTTTCTCACTTAACAATACAGTTTTTCAAGCATTACCATGCACTTCCCCTAGTTCCCATAGTTCCTCCACTACCACCTCCCAGAACATTCACGTTTCTCTCAGCTTAATGAAATGGAAAACAGAGGAGAGAGGCAGCTGGGATAACACATGGGGAGTAAATTGAGGGAAACAGAAAGTAAAGAATCCAAGAGATGTCAAGTAGGGCAATCATATATCCTGGTTTTCCCAGAATAGTGCTAGTTTAAGCCTACTATCCCAGCATCATATTTAATAATGGCTCCCTTAACTCACAACAGTATCCCCGTTTGGACAATAAATTTTGCATTATCCTACCCAAAAGTGAAATTAGGATAAGAACTCTTTAGGAAGATTAGCCCAGATGGATTAGAGGGGGTTAAAAAGAAAAGAGGAAGGGAAATGAATTAGGAGACAACACTAGTCATGCGGTACAGGTGAACACTGGAGGGTCTGGCACGTTGTAGGTACCCAATAAACGTTTGTTGAATGAATGAACAAATGAATAAGATAGCAAGACCCTAATCCAAGATGAGAGAACAGAGAACAATGAAGTCTAGCTATTTTCAGGAACGCATCCAGATGTATAACGCACACATCCATATTCCTTTGAATACAGAGGATGGACTGAAGGAAACAATCCAAGGTCATCAGATCCATGTCTGAATACCAAGAATGGTAGTGTCACTAAGCAAGATGGGGACACACAGAAACATTTTAGACAAGGTGAAGAGGAATATATCACGAAGGCAAATTTGAGAATGATAAGACAGAGAGGACAGAGGGAGTCATGAAAATGTATAAACTTACTGAGGGTCGGGCACGGTGGCTCACTCCTATAATCCCAGCACTTTGGTAGGGTGAGGTGGGAGGACTGCCTGAGCCCAGGTGTTTGATCAGCCTGGGTAAAAATATTTTAAAAAGTGAGCCAGGTGTGGTGGCATATGCCTGTGGTCCCAGCTACTTGGGAGGCTGAGGGAGGTCGAGGCTGCAGTGAGCTATGATCATGCCGCCACACTCCAGCCTGGGAGACAGTGAGAACTTGTCTCAAAATAAATAAATACATTAAAAAAATAAAAAAACAGATAAGCTTACTGAGAAAGGGATTTGGGTTAGAAAAGTGATATCATTTAGATGTTCCTTCCAAATCTCACATTGAAATGTAATCTTCTATGTTGGAGGTGGGCCTGTTGGGAGGTGACTGGATCGTGGGGGTAGATTTCTCATGAATGGCTTATCGTCATCCTCTTGGTTCTGTCCTTGTGATAGTGAGTTCTCGTGAGATCATGTTGTTTAAAAGTGTGTGGTATCCCTCTGCCTTGCTCTTGCTCCTACTCTCACCATGCTCTGCCTCCTCCTACTTCACTTTCCACCATGAGTAAAAGCTTCCTGAGGCCTCCCCAGAAACTGAACAGATGCTGGCACCGTGCTTCCTGTACAGCCTGCAGAACAGTGAGTCAATTTAAACTCTTTTCTTTACAATTAACCCAGTCACAGGTATTTCTTTCTTTCTTTCTTTCTTTTTTTCTGAGACGAAGTTTCGCTCTTGTTGCCTAGGCTAGAGTGCAATGGCGTGATCTCAGCTCACTACAACCTCTGCCTCCCAGGTTCAAGTGATTCCTCTGCCTCAGCCTCCCGAGTAGCTGGGATTACAGGCATGTGCCACCACGCCCAGCTAATTTTTTGTATTTTTAGTAGAGATGGGGTTTCTCCATGTTGGTCAGGCTGGTCTCAAACTCCCAACCTCAGGTGATCCGCCCACCTCAGCCTCCCAAAGTGCTGGGATTGCAGGCGTAAGCCACCGCGCCCGGCTGGTATTTCTTTACAGCAACACAAGAATAGCCTAACACAAAGGGGCAGGTAGGGAGAAAGAGAAATGCACAGCGATGCACTGTAAGAAAGCCCAGGGTGGTGATGGAGGAGCTGAGGAGGAAGCAGGACCAGACAGGAGATCAAAGAGGGCCAAATGAGGAGAGTTTGATCAAAAAGAAACCTATTTGCTCCCTTCTGTCTGATTGGATAGGAAATGCCCTCAGAAATCCTGGAAGAATTCCTAGGTACTAAGGAAGTAGGGTCTTGGCTGGAGAAGTTTGGAGGGAAACATGAGGCCACAGGCCAGTAGGACACTAGGGGTATCTAGGCAACTGTACAGAAAAGCAAAATCTCAGACAGCCAGTGAATGTATGAGGACTGATAAGGCCCTGCAGATCTCTAACCCACAAATCTCTGAGACTGGTAGGTAAGTGTTCTAATCCTAGGACCACCATCCATTTCAGGCTGTGAAAAATACATAAAGGGTAGAATCCTATTGAGAGAGAGAGAGAGAGGCTTTACTTGGAGGCTGTCTTCCTTTAATTCACCAGCATCATCTGCCTGTTCAAGTCCCTCTAAGCAATGGTTACATGGTTCTTGGTTATTGATTAGGTGCAGTGGAGTAAGGAATAAGAGGAAATACCTGAAAATAAATTCAAGGGATGGATAAGTGAAATGTAAACATTGCAAGAAAAAAAAAGAATTAGAAGAAAGGCCTAAGCCTCAAGGGAAAGGCTAACACCATGTGAAAAAGCTGATATATCTGACACATAAAAATTTCTGTATTCCAAAAAATGCCATAACAAATCTATAAAATAGAGTTTGCCTTATACTGGAATTGCTTGTGTGTATGTCTGTGTCCATCCTCAAATATATACATTAAGCTCTATGCCCTCAGAGAGCAGTTCCCATGAGATTTGCCTGTAGATACCACATGGTGTCTGACACAGAGAGGGCTCAGTCAGCATTGTTTGATTTGAAATGGTAAATTAAACAAGTTTAAGATTCTAACACCTGGAGTGCACATAGGGATGCTGAGAGCCAAATCCACACATCACTACTACCATCCCTCCTCTACATGTTTGTCCTTTTTGTGCTTCATATTATCTGGGAAACACCATAATGGTGTATTTGCATTCTTGGCAATTCTGTCTCAACAGAGTCATCCCAGGGACTAAATTCCCTAAGAGATTGACCTGGTCCCACTATTCAGAGACTCTCAGTATGTCAGAGCTGGAAGGAACCTCCCAGTCTATCCAGTCTTATATCCAAATGTACAGAAGGAAAACTTGGAACTTAGAGGAAAGCTGGGACTCAAATCCAAGTCCCATGACACCCAATTTTGAGTTCTACTACATCACCCTTATTCCCATCTGAAACAAAACTCTACTCCTCAAGGTCCAGAGGCCCCCTGCCCACTTCAGTGCTTTTCTCCTGTTTGATAAATACCACTGAGAGAAGCTCCCTTTCAACCCTGGTGCCCACAAGCAGGATTCCTGTGCCCAGACTAACTTCACAATCTAGGCCTCACCTGCCCAGGAGAGAATGGAATGACTCACCCATATTCCTGTGCACAGCAGCCTCAATCCAAAGGATCTGCACAGCACAGATCTTGCCTGATCTCCTCCTTGAGTTCAGTGAAGAAGTTCCTAAGAGGGTCTTGAGTCACTGTAAACAGATATAAATGACTGAGTTCTCTGAGCCCTGAATTCCAAGTGGACACTCAGGGCAGTGTCCCATCTTTGGGTAACTTCCCTTCCTATAGAACTGTGGGCAGTAAGAAGGATCATTTCCAGTGTAAAGATGAGGGAATGAAGCTCCCAGGGATTGAACGACTTGCCCAAGGTCCTATAGCTAGTGAGTGATTAAAAAGCCTTCTGTGTCTTCAGGAAATCCTAATTCCATCACACCACAGCCTCCCCTTTTCACCTGCTCCATTGATATCTAAAAGCTTCCATATTCTCATCTAACTGCAAAATACAATGCAGTGGAGAACTTCCTTGCAATCCAGCTTTCCACAGAAAGTCTGCACAAGGGGGATGAGAGGGAGAACTTTGCTGAGTCAAGTGTCTTTAGGAAGACAGAAAGAAACAAGTCTTTAAAAGAGCACTAGAAAAAGAATGTTCCTTTTTTCTGTTTACCCATTTCTTAGGATTACTAAGCCTCAAATATGTTTTGTGTTTCCCCCTCCAGATCCCCAGGCTCTGCTTCTAACCCTTGAAGTTTGTTTCATTTCTCCCCTACTAGAATTTAGTTCTGTCCTGTACACAACCATAACCCCAGGACCTAGCACACTACTGGGTTAGTGCTCAATAAATATTTGTTGAATGAATCAATGAATGAATGAGTAACCTTGGGCAAGACTCCGTCCTCTTCTCTGGGCCCCAGGTTCCTCACTGGTAACGGGAGGGATATTGGACTGGTGATTTGAGTCAAATACTCAGGGGCTGTGGAGTCCTGAGAGCCTAGGCGGGACTCGACCGCTACTACCCGGAAGGCCCACTGCCTAGGAGCGGGGACGACACAGTGCTGTCACCACGGCCAGCCTGGTCCAAGCGAGCAGCTACGAGGAGTCAGAGACTGGACCCAAGACAAAGGGGCAGCACTGAACGAGAGAAAGGGGAGGCCCACAACGACCCCTTGGCTGCCGCGCCCATCTCAGCAGCGGGCAGCCGCAGAGGAGCCCTGGCCTCCTGGCTTGCGTCTCCCACACGCTCCCAGAACCCGGCCCGACCCCCCACGCCAGACTGTAGAGCACCCCTCACCGAAAGCGCCAGACCCACATCTTGAACAAAGCGCAGAAGGAACTGCGTCAGCAACTCCCAGCTAACTCCCAGCCTGTCCCTCCGGCCCTTCTAGGCTTCGTGAGGTTTCCACATCTCTGTGCCCGCGGGCTGGAGTCCCCCCGCCCCTCAGAAGCCCCGCGCGGTCGGCCGACGCTCTGGCCCTGCCTCCCTTCCGGGCTTTGCCCTATCATTGGATGGAAGGGCTTGGCGACTTCAGCCAATGTGAGGAGGGCCCTGGAAGTGGTGGAAGCTGGGCAGGGGGCTTGGTTAGGGCGGAAAGAGACCGAGCATCTGGGTGGCCAGGCTGCCAGCCTCAGGCTGAGACTCCCTAAAGTTACACCCCCAGCTCCGGTTGCTGAGCAGAGAGGTCATCTTTCCTTCCACAGATCTGGGTCATTCAGCCTCAAAGCCAGGATCAGCTATGGTTTATTGGCAGCATATGAAAAGACGTTTTGGGTGCCTACTATGTCACTCACTGTTCCAGGCGCTGCGGATACAGTAGTGAAGAAAATGAACTCTCTGCCCCATTGAGTTTACATTCAAGTCAAGGAGACAATGATAAATAAATATGTAGAACGTAGCAGTAAGGGGAGAGAGGGAGTAAGGGGAGAGAGGGAGATAGTGGTGGGACTATTTTACAGATGACAGGGAGGGCAGAGACAGGAAGTGGGCAATTGAAGCATGTGGCTATCTGGGGAAAGAGTATTCCCATAGTGGGCCATTAGGAGCAAAATTCTTTAATCAGGAGTGGGGTGGAGAGGTGCACATTTAGGATCTTGTAGACTATGATAAGGGCTTTGGATTTGCTCTGCATAACAGCTGGAGGGCTTGGGGACAGAGGAACGACATGATCTAACTTTTTTTCCCTTACCACATATTCAAAGACTTGTTAGCTATGAGACATGAAAGAAGCCAAGAAGCCTGTTACTATAAATTCTGTGAATTCTTTGCTGTCTGTCCTTAGCCATTCTAACATAAACCTTGCATGAATTTTGCTCTTTGACTTATATTTTTAGTTTGCTTTGGCTGTCTTGTTGAGAACGGTCTGAAGGTGGGTAAGAGTAGAATCAGGGAGATTAAGAGGCCATTACAATATTCCAGATGAGGACTGATAGTGGCTTGGACAGGCTTAGAAGTGATGCAGGTAGTGAGAAATGGTTCTGCATATATTTTGAAGGCATGGCCTGCATGATTTGCTAATGAATTGAATGTTGGTTACTGATGACTCCATGGTTATTGATCTGAGCAACTAGCATGGGATGGTCTTTTAGAAATCGAGTAGCTTGAAAGGAACAGGTTTAGGGAGAGGGATTAATAGTTTTGTTTTGGATGTGTTAAAGATGCCAATTAAACATCCAAGATGAAATGCCAAACAGGCAGTTGGAATAGGAGTCTGGACTTCCGTGAAGAGATCACAGCTAAAGACATAAATTTGGAAGTTGTCAGGACAGGATGAGACAATCTAGGGAATGATTTATCTAAGAAGGAGTCTGAGAATCAAGCTTTTGAAGTACTTCGTCAATTGACAAATATTCAGTATTTAATATTGTTGAGTACTTAAAGTATACCAGGAGCTTTCTTCTCCATTGGCTCATGTAGGTGGCACAACTCCGCCACATTGTATAGAGATTGAAAAAGAGATTCAGACAAAAGTCCTCCACAAGTTCACACCCTCAGTTGATGTGGGACGTAGAACTCGGGACACTCTCCTGAAGAGCACAAGACTACTGCCACTACATCAAGAAACTTAAAAAGAATAGGCTGGGTGTGGTGGCTCACGCCTGTAATCCCACCACTTTGGGAGGCTGAGGCGGGTGGATCACCTGAGGTCAGGAGTTCGAAACCAGCCTGGCCAACATGGTGAAACCCCGTCTCTACTAAATATTACAAAAATTAGCTGGGCATGGTGGCAGGCGCCTGTAATCCCAGCTACTCAGGAGTCTGAGGCAGGAGAATCGCTTGAACTCGGGAGCTGGAGATTGAAGTGAGCCAAGATCACGCCATTGTACTCCAGCCTGGAAGACAAGAGTGAAACTCAGTCACACACACACACACACACACACACACACACACACACACGAATATTCATGTACATTAAGGGAGCTGTGATCTTTAACTTACTTAGTCTTCCCTTTCACCTACTCTTTCATTTGGGTGGGTGGGGCCATTCATTCTGATTCAAGCTGCTAACCCTACATCTGGTCCCAGGGAGGAATGATTACTCCTTAATATTCTAGTCCAGTAATTCTCAAATTTTAGAGAACGTAAGGGTCACTAGAATATATGTTAAAAATAGATTCCAGCCTGCCTGTATCCAGCTTCTATTGCCCTTATCCACAAGCATACTTTTTCCTACAAAAATCTATTCATTCAGTCAAGTATAATGTCACTGCTCAGAAATCAGGGTGTTTTTTTGTGTGTCATAATTGCCTAAATACTCAGCAATTTCAATCTTTATTATGACATCTATCTGCCAAAGAAATTCTAACTCATTTGGGTAAATGAAATCAACGTCTAGTTGGTCAGGTCTTTTTAAGTTTGTGGACTAGGCCATCTAAGGGGAAAAAACATTGTAATTTTAGTCAGTTGACAAGTCTTAACCAGGCATCATTTCAGGAATACCCACAGGCCAGAAAGGTGGGCCGTCATACATTGCTCTCCTATTGTGTTTTCATGTAAAGCACTCACATGCCTTAAAAGGGAGTCTGCATCTCACCCTACTTGGCATCCACCTGGGTAAAGTGACCCTGTGCATATATTAGTGGAGGACTGTTATGATTTGGTGAATAATAAATCTAAAATGTCCTATCCTGGATCAAGTACTAGCACCACTAGGTGCTTGTGGAGCCAGCTGTAATCGTTAACACCTTCCCTGTATCCAGCTGTGGCAAATTCTACTGGTCCCCATCAGGGCAGAGCATGACCTGATGTTAGGGATAGGGGATTTACTTTCAATTCTTTTTATAGTGCCACCATGTGCGTATTCACAATTGACAAATTCACAACCTGTCCCTAACCCCTAGAGGTTTTCAGGAATGCACGCTCTGTAGTACTCCAGAAAAAGGTCAACATCTTGACAGAACTGTCTCCCAACATGGGACAGTACTCAATAACTTGTTAACATCCACCATCTCTTGACATTTCCTACTGCATTTAGAAGCTGAATGACCAGGGCTGGAGTTTATGATAAGGGTTTGGCTGTAGAATATTTTCATTGCATGTTTAAGAGGTAAGTGAGTAAGTATACCACTCCCAGCACCTTCACTGGGTCTGACCACCACCTAAACTGTCCTTGGGTTTGAATTCTGTTTGACTAAAACATATATATATTAAATTGGAAGTTCTGTAACACTGTTTACTGATACCTTTTTTCGTGGGTTCCCTCATGTACCAGGAACTATGTGTTGTATAACAAAACTTTTCCACTTCAGGAATATTTTTCAGAAATATGTGCAAAATATGGAAGCTCATGATGAATGATTCCTTGACCTCTAAAAACCAAAAAGTTCTCTAACCCGTGTGATTTATCTGATGTCAAACAAAGTCTCTGGTGTATGATGTTTGCTACAACTGAATGGTTTTTCACATATCTTAAGAATTGGTCATTTGCAGCGGCCGCGGGGCGCTGAGGGCAGCTGTGGCGGCGCGGACGAGCCGGGACGGCGGCGACCGGAGCTTGAGAGGCGGGCCGCAGCGGGAAGCAGCGGGCCCGAGGCCGCGTCCTTGGGCCCACGGCGGCTGGGCGGCGGCGGTGCGGGCGGGAGCTGGGCGTCGCGCGCGCTGTGAGGCCCGGGCGGCTCAGGAGCCTCGGCGCGTGCAGCGAGCCGCCCGCAGGGAAGGAGGCCGGTCAGGGCCTGTGGCAGGGCCGGCGAGGGATGCGGCGGCGGCCGCGCTGAGCCCCTAGCCCGCCGGGAGCGCCAGGCCGGCCGGGCCTGCGCCGCCGCCGCCGCCGCGCCGACCATGTCGGCAGCCAAGGAGAACCCGTGCAGGAAATTCCAGGCCAACATCTTCAACAAGAGCAAGTGTCAGAACTGCTTCCAGCCCCGCGAGTCGCATCTCCTCAACGACGAGGACCTGACGCAGGCAAAACCCATTTATGGCGGTTGGCTCCTCCTGGCTCCAGATGGGACCGACTTTGACAACTCAGTGCACCGGTCTCCGAAATGGCAGCGACAGTTCTTCATCCTTTACGAGCATGGCCTCTTGCGCTACGCCCTGGATGAGATGCCCACGACCCTTCCTCAGGGCACCATCAACATGAACCAGTGCACAGATGTGGTGGATGGGGAGGGCCGCACGGGCCAGAGGTTCTCCCTGTGTATTCTGACGCCTGAGAAGGAGCATTTCATCCGGGCGGAGACCAAGGAGATCGTCAGTGGGTGGCTGGAGATGCTCATGGTCTATCCCCGGACCAACAAGCAGAATCAGAAGAAGAAATGGAAAGTGGAGCCCCCCACACCGCAGGAGCCTGGGCCTGCCAAGGTGGCTGTTACCACCAGCAGCAGCAGCAGCAGCAGCATCCCCAGTGCTGAGAAAGTCCCCACCACCAAGTCCACACTCTGGCAGGAAGAAATGAGGACCAAGGACCAGCCAGATGGCAGCAGTCTGAGTCCAGCTCAGAGTCCCAGCCAGAGCCAGCCTCCTGCTGCCAGCTCCCTGCGGGAACCTGGGCTGGAGAGCAAAGAAGAGGAGAGCGCCATGAGTAGCGACCGCATGGACTGTGGCCGCAAAGTCCGGGGGGAGAGCAGCTACTTCTCTCTGGAGAAGACCAAACACGACTTGAAGGCCGAAGAACAGCAGCTGCCCCCGCCGCTCTCCCCTCCCAGCCCCAGCACCCCCAACCACAGGAGGTCCCAGGTGATTGAAAAGTTTGAGGCCTTGGACATTGAGAAGGCAGAGCACATGGAGACCAATGCAGTGGGGCCCTCGCCATCCAGTGACACACGCCAGGGCCGCAGCGAGAAAAGGGCGTTCCCTAGCAAGCAGGACTTCACCAATGAAGCCCCCCCCCAAGCTCCTCTCCCAGACGCCTCGGCTTCCCCCGTCTCCACACCGAAGAGCCAAGTCACTGGACAGGAGGTCCACAGAGCCCTCCGTGACGCCCGACCTGCTGAATTTCAAGAAAGGCTGGCTGACTAAGCAGTATGAGGACAGCCAGTGGAAGAAACACTGGTTTGTCCTCGCCGATCAAAGCCTGAGATACTACAGGGATTCAGTGGCTGAGGAGGCAGCCGACTTGGATGGAGAAATTGACTTGTCTGCATGTTACGATGTCACAGAGTATCCAGTTCAGAGAAACTATGGCTTCCAGATACATACAAAGGAGGGCGAGTTTACCCCGTCGGCCATGACATCTGGGATTCGGCGGAACTGGATCCAGACCATCATGAAGCATGTGCACCCGACCACCGCCCCGGATGTGACCAGCTGGTTGCCAGAGGAAAAAAACAAGAGCAGCTGCTCTTTTGAGACCTGCCCGAGGCCTACTGAGAAGCAAGAGGCAGAGCCGGGGGAGCCGGACCCTGAGCAGAAGAGGAGCCGCACGTGGGAGCGGAGGCGAGAGGGCCTCTCCAAGACCTTTGACTGGGCTGAGTTCCGTCCCATCCAGCAGGCCCTGAATCAGGAGCGGGTGGGCGGTGTGGGGCCTGCTGACACCCACGAGCCCCTGCGCCCTGAGGCGGAGCCTGGGGAGCTGGAGCGGGAGCGTGCACGGAGGCGGGAGGAGCGCCGCAAGCACTTCGGGATGCTGGACGCCACAGGCGGGCCAGGCACTGAGGATGCAGCCCTGCGCATGGAGGTGGACCGGAGCCCAGGGCTGCCTGTGAGCGACCTCAAGACGCATAACGTCCACGTGGAGATCGAGCAGCGGTGGCATCAGGTGGAGACCACGCCTCTCCGGGAAGAGAAGCAGGTGCCCATCGTCCCCGTCCACCTGTCTTCTGAAGATGGGGGTGACCGGCTCTCCACACACGAGCTGACCTCTCTGCTCAAGAAGGAGCTGGAGCAGAGCCAGAAGGAGGCCTCAGACCTTCTGGAGCAGAACCGGCTCCTGCAGGACCAGCTGAGGGTGGCCCTGGGCCGGGAGCAGAGCGCCCGTGAGGGCTACATGCTGCAGGCCACGTGCAAGTGAGGGTTTGCAGCAATGGAAGAAACGCACCAGAAGAAGATTGAAGATCTCCAGAGGCAGCACCAGCGGGAGCTAGAGAAACTTCGAGAAGAGAAAGACCGACTCCTAGCCGAGGAGACAGCGGCCACCATCTCAGCCATCGAAGCCATGAAGAACGCCCACCGGGAGGAGATGGAGCGGGAGCTGGAGAAGAGCCAGCGGTCCCAGATCAGCAGCGTCAACTCGGATGTTGAGGCCCTGCGGCGCCAGTACCTGGAGGAGCTGCAGTCGGTGCAGCGGGAACTGGAGGTCCTCTCGGAGCAGTACTCGCAGAAGTGCCTGGAGAATGCCCATCTGGCCCAGGCGCTGGAGGCCGGGCAGCAGGCCCTGCGGCAGTGCCAGCGTGAGAACCAGGAGCTCAATGCCCACAACCAGGAGCTGAACAACCGCCTGGCTGCAGAGATCACACGGTTGCGGACGCTGCTGACTGGGGACGGCGGTGGGGAGGCCACTGGGTCACCCCTTGCACAGGGCAAGGATGCCTATGAACTAGAAGTCTTATTGCGGATATAGGAATCGGAAATACAGTACCTGAAACAGGAGATTAGCTCCCTCAAGGATGAGCTGCAGACAGCACTGTGGGACAAGAAGTACGCAAGTGACACCACAAAGACATCTACACAGAGCTCAGCATCGCAAAGGCTAAGGCTGACTGTGACATCAGCAGGTTGAAAGAGCAGCTTAAGGCTGCAACGGAAGCACTGGGGGAAAAGTCCCCTGACAGTGCCATGGTGTCCGGATATGATATAATGAAATCTAAAAGCAACCCTGACTTCTTGAAGAAAGACAGATCCTGTGTCACCTGGCAACTCAGAAACATCAGGTCCAAGAGTCTGAAGGAAGGCCTGACGGTGCAAGAACGGTTGAAGCTCTTTGAATCCAGGGACTTGAAGAAAGACTAGGTGTGTCCCATCCAAGTTGAGCACGCACCTTCCCCAGCTTGCAGCAGCACACCCCGAGCGCTGCTTTTCACCTGTACCTTTGTTTTACTGCTGTTGTTGTCATCGTTAACTGTGGGCATGGAATGCGTGAGGCTGGCTTCTGGGTTGTCCACACCACTCTCTGCTGTGTTGACTTCCTGTTGTCTTCATCAAAGCTTTTTTCCGTGGTATTCTAAAATTAGGCCAGCAGTGGGGGCTGGGCGGGCATCTGTGTTAGTCCCTTCCTGGCTGTGACCCCCCACACTCACTGTCAGTATTAAGGCCCAGCAGCCTGTTGATAAGCTACCCTGTCTCACCATGTGCTGGTGTGGAAACGGGGCCCAGCCAGCACGCCTCAAGATAGATGGAATCCCCACTGGTCAGAGAAAAAGCCATGCGGACACTCCAGCTTGGCCTGGGTCACAGCACTGACTCCTCACCCGCTAGTCTGGCTGTTAAGAGGAGAAAGTGCACTGCCTTCCAGCCTGGGAGGAGGACAGCATTTTGTATTTGTTCCACTGATGCAGCTTAGAACCACACCCCTGAGAATCGTGGCAAACCTTTCACAACCTGGAAAATGTTGAAAGCAACCATTCCTAAAAAAAAACAAAAAAAAAAAGAATTGGTTATTTGGGCTGGGCATGGTGGCTCACACCTGTAATCCCAGCACTTTGGGAGGCCAAAGCAGGAGGGTTGCTTGAGGCCAGGGGTTCAAGTCTACTCTAGGCAACATAGTAAGACTCCTGTCTCTATAAAAATTTTTTTAAAAATTAGCCAGGTATGGTAACATGCGCCTGTAGTCCTAACTACTCAGGAGGCTGAGGTGCAAAGATCCCTTGAACCTAGGAAGTTGAGGTTGCAGTAAGCCATGATCATACCACTGCACTCCAGTCTGGGTGACAGAGTAAGACCCTGTCACTTAAAAAAAAAAAAAAGATTTTGTTTCCAATGTGGAGTAATGACTTGTGACTGAAGGGTTTTCCACATTCAGTTCTTTCACAACCAAGCTATTTCCAATGAGGCAGAGAACTTGGAAGGAGGCTCCACTGGATAACTAGCCTGGAGGCTGAGCCAAAAAGAAAGCTAGATATAAAAGTTGGCCCTGAGTGAAAAATTTTCAACCAGCTTAGCAAAATTGAAGCTGCTTCTCTACTGCTGAAGTGCAGAGTTACATAAATTTACAACTAACCTTTTAGCTTCAGATCTAAAGGGACAGTTTTAATAGCACCTACTTGGAATGTAAAGGGAAATCCATTTCCCTATCTGCAGACAAATATCAGGACTGGAAAGCCCTTGTCATTCACTAATGAGGAAAAAGCAAATGTATGTGAAGGCAATGCAAAGCCTTGGCAACTTAAGGCAGTAAAAGAACATATGAAAAAAAAATTCAAGAGAAATGAAATTCAAAAAGAGAAACAAGATACACTGCCTTTGGTAATCCTGAAAGTAAAAAAAAAACTGAAGGGAAACCAAAATGCAAAACATCATACAGTTGGCCCCCTGTATTCTTGGGTTCCGCATCCACATATTCTGAGGATATGGAGGGCTGACTGACTGTAAAGGAGCATCTGAGGGCTTTGATATCTGAGATAGGGGCATCCTGGAACCAATTCCCTGTGGATATGACTATATATGGAAAAAGAGGTCAATTACATATACAGAACAGAGGAAAAGAATCTTACAGAATACTAGGTGTAACTTTATGCCAACGTTTGACAGAATAGTAAATACGATTTCCAGATACATATTAGAAAAATTTACACAGAAGTAGAAAACCTGAAGAACAAAACCACTGAAAAAAACTGCAAGGATGCTACTGCCACATCCAAACACCAGGGGAAAAAAATTATATATATATCAGAATGCGTCATTTCTAGCTAGCCTTTAAGGAATAACTGCTATATTATGCATACTGTTCCAGAGTAATAAAAGAAAAAAAACTTCCAAATTCATTTTGCACAGCCAGCAAAATATTGGCAAATTGAATCTACTTCTGAACTTTAAAAAATAATAATAATAATAAGGCCAGGCGCAGTGGCTCATGCCTGTAATCCCAGCACTTTGGGAGGCCGAGGCGGGCGGATCACCTGAGGTCGGGAATTCGAGACCAGCCTGACCAGCATGGAGAAACCCTGTCTCTACTAAAAATACAAAAATTAGCCTGGCATGGTGGCACATGCCTGTAATCCCAGCTACTCAGGAGGCTGAGGCAAGAGAATTGCTTGAACCTGGGAGGCGGAGGTTGCAGTGAGCCGAGATCGTGCCATTGCACTCCAGCCTGGGCAACAAGAGTGAAACTCTGTCTCTAAATAAATAAATAAAATAGATTTATCCCAGGAATACAAGAAAATTTCAATTATTTGGGAACTTTTAGATTTTTTATAACTTGATAAAACTTAGCAACTATTCCTAATAAAACTTTTATTATAGTGTATACTATGTGTCAATCACTGTTTTAAGTACCTTACACATACTGACTAATTTAATCCTCACAACCCTATGAAGTAGCTCCACTTTAGAGACGGAAGAGCTGAGACACAGGAAAGCTAGGTGATTTTCCCACAGTTACACACCTAACAAAGTGGTGGACATGCAGATTATTTTTTAAGACAGGGTCTCACTCATTGCCTAGGCTAGATTGCAGTGGTGCAATGATAGCTCACTGGAGCCATGGCCTCCCAGGCTCGGGCAATCCTCCTGCCTCAGTCTCCTGAATACCTAGGACTAAAGGCATGCACCAATACACCCAACTAATATATTTTTTTATTTATTTAGGGACAGGGTCTTGACGTGTTGCCCAGGCTGGTCTCAAACTCCTGACCTCAAGTGATCCTCCTGCCTTCACCTCCCAAAACGCTGGGATTACAGGTGTGAGCCACCACACCTGACTGGACCCAGAATTTGAACATAGGTTGCTGGGCACAGACATGTTTTTTGTTTGTTCATTTTGTTTTGTTTTGTTTTTCTTTTGAGATGAAGTCTTGCTCTTGTCACCCAGGCTGGGGTATAATGGTGAGATCTTGGC
Source organism: Homo sapiens (assembly GCF_000001405.40). Classification (NCBI taxonomy): domain Eukaryota; kingdom Metazoa; phylum Chordata; class Mammalia; order Primates; family Hominidae; genus Homo; species Homo sapiens. Next base: position 44,574,875 of record NC_000003.12, on the reverse strand, counting down.
TCACTGCAGTCTCCACCTCCCAGGTTCAAGCAATTCTCCTGCCTCAGCCTTCCAAGTAGCTGGGATTACAGGTGCCTGCCACCACACCTGGCCAATTTTTATATTTTTAATAGAGATGGGGTTTTGCCATGTTGGCCAGGCTGGTCTTGAACTCCTGACCTCAAGTGATCCACCTGCCTCAGCCTCCCAAAGTGCTGGGATTACAGGCACATGCCACCGTGTCCACCCCAAACCTGTGTTGTTAACCACTATATTACCCTGCTTCCTCTAGAAATAATATTAGAAGGAAACTTCCTAAACGCAACAGAATATTTATCAATATCCAACAATGAACGCAAATGAAAATGTGAAATACTAAAAACATCCCTCCTGAGATTTTAGAACAAGACATAGAAGACCTGTTATCTACTACTCAACATTTTTGGAAGTTCTTGCTAATGCACAACATAAGTGGCATAAGATTGAAAATAAGGCCAGCTCACACCTGTAATCTCAGTACTTTGGTAGGCCAAGACAGGCGGACCGCTTGAGCCCAGGAGTTCAAGACCAGCCTGGGCAACATGGTGAAAACCCATCTCTACAAAAAATATCAAAAAATTAGCTGGGCATGGTGGCATGCACCTGTAGTCCAAGCTACTTGGGAGGCTGAAGTGGGAGAATCACCTGAGCCTGGAAAGTTGAGGCTGCAGTAAGCCATGATCACATCACTGTACTCCAGCCTGGGTAAGAAAGTGAGACCCTGTCTCCAAGAAAAAAAAGAAAATTTAAAGCTAAAGGAGCCATTAATTTATTATATACCTAGAAAATGAAACTAAAAAACCATTAAAACTAAAAATAATTCAGCAACATAACAGTCCAGATTTAAATTTTTTTTAAGTTTATGCTAGCAGTAACCAATAGAATTTGAGGTATGGCTTTCAAATGCAGCCAATTTTCCTCCATTCAAAAGCCTCAGGCTTTTAAGGATGTCAAGGCACACACTGGTGTAGAATTCCCTACATCTACTCTTTTTTTCCCTACTATTCCCACCTTAGTTATGAATAGTGCAGGTTTCCAACCTCTAGAGGGTTAGTGTGGTAGGCGATGAGCAGACAAGAACCAGAAGGTAAAACTGCAACATCCAATAAGCAGGAACGTTCTATTGAAGACTTAACCAGAAATGTCCAGCTCAGGGTAGAGGGCTGGACCCATGTGCTCATATAGGGTTGGGCTTGTCCCTGGGATCTGGGAGCTTCCAAACTAAAACAATGAAAAAGTCCTATCTGCATATCTTCTAAAGGAAAATGGAAACACATACTAAATATAAAGTTGAAAACAAATTTAAAATATATATTCATAAGTGGCAAATTTTCAGTTCTGTCCTGGGTTCAGTGTTTTCAGGATTCCTATTATTCTTTCTAAACTTGCCTGAGATATGTCCCTAGAATCACATCTAATCTTATTTTCCTATGCCTCAACTCCACCCTTTCTTCTATGTTAAAACATACACCACACCTCAAAAAAATCTCCCCTCCAGATTATATAACTCGCATGGCTCCTCTAGCCTCCTCCTCTACTCTGTCACACTGTGGATCCTCTAAACCTATTAAGTTTAAGGGATGGAAAGAGAAGGAGGTAGACAACAGAGGCAAACGTCCCCCAGATCTGGGCCATATTGCAAGGGTGGAAGGGAAAAGTTGTTCAAGCTCATGGACTGACATGTGATGGCAGAAGGACAGAAAATCTTCTGAGATTTCTTTTCTTATGTCTTCGGGGAATGAAAAGATGGTCCAGAAGACAATTATGATAATTAAGGGTACAGCTCTCATCTTTAAATTAAGATGGCAGTTGTAGGTAGATAGGACTAGTCGATAAGGAAAACAGATTCCTGTGAATCTATTATCTTGCCACAAGCCTCGTCATAGTGAATTCCAAGCATCAGGGAATGCTGCTAGCTGGATTTTCAATAATCTGTACCACTGCTATGAAAGTCAAGTCTTCGGTGCAGTAAATTTTGACACAGTTCTTTTTTTTTTTTTTTTTTTTTGAGACAGAGTCTCGCTCTGTTGCCCAGGCTGGAGTGGAGTGGTGCGATCTTGGCTCACTGCAAGCTCTGCCTCCCAGGATCATGCCATTCTCCTGCCTCAGCCTCCCGAATAGCTGGGACTACAGGCGCCCCCCACCACGCCTGGCTAATTTTTTGTATTTTTTAGTAAAGACAGAGTTTCACCGTGTTAGCCAGGATGGTCTCCACCTCCTGACCTCGTGATCCGCCTGCCTCAGCCTCCCAAAGTCCTGGGATTACAGGCGTGAGCCACTGCGCCCAGCTGACACAGTTCTTAATCTGTTGATTTAGGAAGCAGGGTACAGTTAGCAAATTCAGAACTAGAATCAGCATGTAGGGGAAAGTCCGTACCAGTGGGATATGACTGCCCAACCCAATACCTAGATACACACACATTCACACACATACACACACACACACACTCTCTCTCTTTTGCATACATACACACACACACACACACACACACACACACACACACACACACAAAATCCATTCGCATTTTGAGGCTGAAGTAACAGTAGTAAGACTTCCAGGAGTATATGTAAAAGATATCAGTAAGACCTCTGTATGTGATATTCTATGATGAGATGGACTTCCATCTTTAGAAGCAGCTGGTCCAGCTGGGGAGGGGAGAAAGATCGTGCATACTTTAAGGATAATTCAATGTGAGAGCTGAGATTTTAAAAATTATTTATTTAACAACTGGTATGTACAAAATACTATCTATATGGGAAAGAAATACATACCTGACCTCAAAGAGCCTACAATAAGTTGGTATAAAAGTATACAGACACGCAAAATTTACAAGGCAATTAACCACAGTTACATATTGTAGCACCAGTGAATTCAAAGCACTGAGGTCAAATCAAGAGAAGTTGAAGAAAAATAAAAAAGTACTTGAAGAAGAAAGTATTTCAGTGATGAGATGGATTTCAAAAATTGTGAGGGACAAAGATTAGCAAACAGAAGAAAATGTTTTCTAGATAGGGAACAAAACTGATGAAAAGTTATAGATTAAAGTTTAAAGAGTAGATGGGGAGGGCCATAGCCAAGAGGCAGGAAGGCATGAATCAGCCTTTTTGAATGACTTTGTATAAATGGTGAAATGGAGGAAGTAGAATAGAATAGAGAAGATATTATCTCTGTCTTTAAAAAGCATGGAGTCTGATTATGAGATGCATAACTAAGAAATGAAATAGATTTTAAAAGTTAAAATTTAAAAGTAAAGAAAAAAAAAGGAAACCTACAATTCAATGACATGTGTAGTCCTTACCTTCCTAATAATGGGTAAGAACTGGAATAAGTTACTCCTACTCTCCCACCTTAGTGATCCAAGGAAAAGCAAGTAGGGAATGGTCCACCGTGACTACTGGCTCCGGGAAACCACTATGAGCATCCTGCTTATAAAGACAGCTTAACTCAAAGGTCGTTGCTCTCTGTCTCAGAGAACCATACCTTAAGAAACTGACCAAGCCAGACCTGAGGACTTCTCTCCAGTGTGAGTTCGCTGGTGGTGATTAAAAGTGGAACGCTGACTAAAGGCTTTCCCACATTCACTACATTCATAAGGTTTCTCTCCGGTGTGGACTCTCTGGTGTACAATAAGCTGTGAGCTGTCACTAAAAGCTTTCCCACAATCATTGCATTTATAGGGTTTTTCCCCAGTATGGGTTCTCTGATGTACCATAAGGCTGGAGCTATAACTGAATACCTTCCCACACTCATTACATTCATAGGGTTTCTCACCAGTGTGAATTCTCTGGTGTATAATAAGGTGTGAGTTTTGATTGAAGGATTTTCCACACTCATTGCATTTATAGGGCTTTTCACCCGTGTGAAGTCTCTGGTGCCGAATAAGACATTTACTCAGACCAAATGCCTTACCACACTCGCTACATTCAAAAGGTTTTTCTCCAGTATGAATTCGCTCATGCTCAATGAGTTGAGAGTTCTGATTGAAGGCTTTCCCACATTCACTACATTTGTATGGCTTTTCCCCAGTATGGAGGCTCTGATGTCGAATAAGACATTTACTCCGACTGAAGGCTTTGCCACATTCACTACACTCATAAGGCTTCTCCCCAGTGTGGATTCTCTGATGGTCAATGAGATTTCTATTGGAACAGAATGCTCTCCCACACTCATTGCATTTGTAAGGTTTCTTACCAGTGTGCAGGACCTGATGTCGAGCAAGACTTTTGCTTCGAATGAATGCCTCTCCACACTCATTGCATTCATAAGGTTTCTCCCCAGTATGGGTTCTCTGGTGGTCAGTGAGTCGGGAACTCTGAGTAAAGGCTTTTGCACATTCATTACATTTATAGGGTTTCTCCCCATTATGGAGTCTCTGGTGTTGAATGAGATGGGAGCTGTGCCTATAGGCCTTTCCACACTCACTGCATTCATAGGGTTTTTCCCCTGTGTGGGTTCTGAGATGAACAATGAGCTGGGAGGTTTGCCTGAAGGTCTTCCCACACTCATTACACTCATAGGGTTTCTCTCCAGTGTGGATTCTCTGATGGCCAATAAGGTGAGAACTCCGATTGAAAGCTTTGCCACATTCATCACATCGATAGGATTTCTGTCCCTTTAAAACTCCTTCATGTTCAACAGGACTGGAAGACAGAGGTGGATGTTCCCCAACTTCCTTATATTTGTCATATCTGTCTTTTGTGGATTTTTTCTTATCTTCATCTGTTATTTCCAAGAAATCATTTTCTAGTCTGCTCCCTTCTTCATCTGAGGTTTGTCCTTCTAACTCCTTGAAAGTATCTTCACAAACATCTCCAGTCTCTGCTGCCCCAGGAACCACCCCAAAGAGTCCCCCTGATGTCCTGTTAGATGACTCTGATCCTTTAAAAAATTCCTGCTTTGGAGTCAACTCTGAACCCTTCATCATGTTCTCACCTGCTGCCCAAAGAAAGAAGACAACAACTTTTACCCATTTCTTATCCTGTTTAAGAAAGAGAATCATTAAGAGCTAACATACCTGAAAAAAAGTCACATTATGGTTAAGAAATGAGATGACACATTGAGAACAAGAGCAAAATGGGAAATATTAATAGCTCAATTTTTTTTCCCTAGGGACAGGAAAACAAGGAAGGGGAAGGTGGTCAGTGAAAACAGGTGGAAAAAAGATACTAAGCCAGCACAACCAAGTCAGAAGGGCCACTGGAAAGCAAAAAAGTGGATTGCAAAGCATGCTGTGATCTTACAGAAGTTACTCTCGTGCTATGTCTCCTTAGTAAAGTGATGAACTCTAAGATCCCTTCCAACCATAACATTGCATGGTTCCATTGTTCTCAGAAAACATGTTGGGAGAGAGGAGGCTGGCAAATACCTCAAGCCAAACATAAGAAAGAGACAGGGAAAAAAATGAGAGTGAATTGACTGGAAATTTATATTATGGAGGTATGATAAGGAAAGTGTACAAAAAGAACAGATCTTACATGATAGGACAGTAAAAAGACTGCCCTAAACTCGTCAACCACAGGATCTGCCCTTCCAAGAAGCCCTTTCAGGAAACTGTTCTGCCCCAGTGTTTGCAGAGAGGGATGCTTAGGCAACCATGCTTGGTGCCAAGTGACCCTGAGCATCCCACGATGGGCCACAGGTGATTGGACTGGCACCAGGTACTAGACTGAAGGGTCTATTTGTAGGTTAGGCTTCAGCCTCTGCTGTGGCCTGGGCCAAACCCCTGTGCCCAAATGAGATGATGCGTAATGGCTATAGCAATGAAAGTCCATCTCTGAGGAAATTTGGAACTGGAGGTAGGGCAAAATTAAGGCACTTACGAGTAGCAATGGAAGCTGAAGTGGCGCATGGAGAGAAGCCAAGCCATTAGGAAACACAGCAAGCAACAAGTGTAAAAGAACAGAAAGTAAAATTAAAAGAGCTATGAAAAGGACAAAAGATTCACAGTGAAGAAAATGGGCAAGAGGAGGAGGACAAGCAGAGAGAAAACAGATACACTGCGAGCAGCTGCATTACATTCACACTGGAACACAGGCATCAACATGCATTTGCTTTTGCAGCTCAGGCTCCCAGGGTCAAGGCCCTGCTTCCCACAGTCTGGTCTAGCTCATCAGTTTCTTCCAGGTTCTCATTCCTTTAAGCCTATGACTCACAGCTCCTTACTTACAATAACTTGAGTGGCTCTCTGTTCCTTACAACTAAGAAGCCCTACCTAAACCACACTATATCAATTCATAATGAGGTGAAGAGTATGCTGATCACTGTTGAATCTCAGTGATGAATGCAGAAAGGGTCCCTATATTATTCACTCTAGTTTAACTATGTTTGGAAATTTTCATGGTAAAAAGTTTAAAGAGACAAGGAATATAGAAAAGAGATTGTGCAGCATGCAGACTTTAAGTGACTAGGAAACAGAATCATTACCCAAGGAGGCCATGCTATGGTGATTTTCTGGCATCATGTTCCACTGCAGGGCTCTCTGACTGAGTGTGAGACTTTTCCATTTCTTCTGAGTGTAGTCTACAGATAGGTCCTCATATGCCACAGTATCCTGGAATGACAAGCTCCAATCGCTCAGGAACATTCACAGCCTGAAGGGCAGAGTCATCAGGGGTACGAAGGGCACAGGGTATGGGCTCTTCATGGGCAAAAGTATGGGAGAGAGGAGCTGAGATGACACCTCGAAAAGGACAAGTCCAGGGCAAGATAGAGTCCATTACCTCCAGGGGAAGTAATGAGGCAGGAGAGCCACAGGAATAGTCTTAGATGGGGCAGAGTCCTGGGGGTGAGACCTCTAGCCATTCTTGGACCAGACTCATGGGGACTTGGTAAAAACACAAAGAACCAAGCTCACCTGGGGCCTGACCATCCGAAGTACAGTTGCCCCTGCTTGGTCTCCTGAGTTCCCCACTTGAGGAAGGGTAGGAACTGGAGAAGTACATTGAGCTGAGGGAGGAAAGAAAGCTATGAGTGGGACAAGCCCTGCTTCTGGCTCCCATAAGATCTATATTCCCAATAAGTGGATTCAAGAGAACCCAGGCACCTCCACACACACTGACTCTTAACCTCTTCCATAAGGCATTATCCCAAGAGTGGTGTGAATTTTCCCTGGAGGGTACAGTACAAGGTCCCGGATCAAGCTGAGAACTGGGTGTTCCTCCAAGCCCTCACTCTCTTCAACTTTTTTCAGGGAAGCTATTCTGGCCACTCTCTCTCCCATGGTTTCCCTAGCACCAGCCAGCCCTGATTTTCCCCTCACAGTTGTGGTTCCTCATGCCTGCTCCTGCCCTCTCATTATGGACACTCCTTGCAACTCAGGCCCTAGTGCTTCCTTGTTCTTTCCGTCAGCAATCTGACCAACTCTCATTGCTTTAATACTGCTCTCACAGTTCTTACTTCTCTCCTAGACCCCTACCACATGCCTCCTATTGCCTATGGGACATTTCACTTGGGTGTCCTGCAACACTTTAAGTTCAGTGTCTAGAATGGATGGATGTTCTAGGCTAAGGTGGGAGGCTGGCTTGAGGCTAGGAATTCAAGACCAGCATGTACAACATAAGGTTGTCTTTTTCTCCCTTTCCTTCCTTCCCTTCCTTCACTCTTCCCTTCCCTTCCCCTCCTCTTTTCCTTTCCTTTCTTTTCTTTTGCTCCCTCCCTCCCTCTCTTTCTTTTCTCTCTTTTCTTTTCTCTTCTCTTTTTCTTTCTTTCTTTCCTTTCTTTCTCTTTCTCTCTCTCTCTCTCTTTTTGTTTTGAGACAGAGTCTCACTCTGCTGCAGTGCAGTGGCATGATCATGCCTCACTGAAACCTCTGCCTCCCAGGCTCAAGCAATTCTCATGCCTCAGCCTCTGGAGTAGCTGGGATTACAAGTACCTGCCACTATGCCTGGCTAATTTTTGTATTTTAGTAGGAAGGGATTCATCATGTTGGCCAGGCTGGTCTCAAACTCCTGACCTCAAGTGATCCACCTGCCTTAGCCTCCCAAAGTGCTGGGATTACAGGTGTGTGTGCCACTGCTCCCAGTAGGAGACCCCATTTCTATAAAAAGTTAAAAAAAAAAAAAGAGCTGGTCATGGTGGCATGCCTGTAGTTCTAAGAGGCCATGGTGGGAGGATTTCTTGAGCCCAGGAGTTCAAGGCTACAGTGAGCTATTATGATCGTGCCATTGCACTCCAGCCTGGGTGACAGAGTGAGACCCTATCTCTCTTTAAAAAAAATAAATAAATAACATTAAATAAATAAATAAAATGTTCTTATCACCTTTCTTTCAGATTTCTCAATTTCCCTCAATGATTCCATCATTGGCCAAAACATTCTAATTCCCCTGCCTCCCCTTTCAAACTCAAGTCCCACGGATGTTTCCATGATAATATTTTTCAATTTTATCCTTGCCCGTTCCTCTCTTTGCACTTCAGGCATTAATCACATCTATTCTACCGCACCAGCCTTTAACTAAGGCGCCTTCCCCTTCAATCCATAATGCTCACCTGTGCCAGAGTAATCCTCCTGAAATACTATTTCTAACACATTATCCTCTGACTCCCAAAATCTTCCTGCCTCAATCTCAAGGTCCTGTACAAACAAGGCCCAGGTTCCCAAATACAGTCTTTCCTGACTCCACCTCAATCAGGGCTCAAGGAATCTCCAGCTTAGGGTCTTTGTTGTGTCTTCTAATGGCATGCCTGCTACTTTTTTCTCCCCTTCAAAATTCTTCCACATTTTTACTGCCCAATACTCTGCTACCTCCTTCATGAAGCATCCCTTACCAGTTCCAGCCCACAATGATCTTGCTTTTTACCCAGTGATCACTTTTTCCAATGCCCACATTGCTCATTTGTGACAGGATCAAATGCTTGAGGATAGATATCATTCATGTGCATCTTATGAGGTTGCCTCTTCTTACACATGACTAACTCATCCTACCATCTAGATAACAAGCTCTTTGAAATCAGTGACAATAGATGTACTACATCTCTCTGGTCTCTGGCAGTGCCTTTCCTACGACATGCCCTTGATGAAAACTTACTAACTACACGAATGATTAGAGAATAAGCAAAAGGAACAAACAGGGTCACTAGGGAAGAAGGACAGACAGCAGAGCAATGAGGGATTCCATGGAGTAGGAGATGGGCAGATAAAGGAAAGGAGACTCCAGAGGAGAGAAGGGAGGCATGACTTAAGGCCAAAGCTGGGGAGATAAGTACCGAAGTCCCCACTGGGGAGGTGGTGTGTCCCTGGGTCATAAGGAGGCTCCAGGTGGGCTCCAGGGGCTGAGCCCCCACTGAGGGGTGAGGTAGGAGGAGATTCCTTTGTTGTACCCAGAGCTGTTGTCTCCTCAAAATGCATTTCCTGTTTCTGTGCTGGGGCTGAAACCTAGAGAGAGGGAAATACAATTGGGTTCAAAAGAGCATCCTTGAAGGTACTGAACCCAAAACCTCTAAGCAGCTCCCTCCAGAAAGAAAGCCAGGGAAAAGAAGAGCCAGGGTGTCCTTCCAGCCCCACCACTACAGTCTACTGGGGGAAAAAAAAAACTGTGAAAGCAGAATCTAAAGCTTGCAATTCTACTTGCCATCCCTCTGTTGACCCTTTTGGTAGGGGCTTGAGGACCAGATTCTATAACCATTTCCACTCTGTGTCAGGTCTTCAGACACATATTTTCTTATGAAGAACCATTTAAAAAGGGAGCCAGGAGAGCAATTCAGTACATTCTCTAGGGCCTTAGCTGACAGAAAGGAATAATCAGAAGTACAAAGGATAGGCCAGGCGCAGTGGCTCACATCTGTAATCCCAGCACTTTTGGAGGCCGAGGTGGTTGGATCACCTGAGGTCAGGAGTTCGAGACCAGCCTAGCCAACATGGCGAAATCCTGTCTCTACTAAAAGTACAAAAAAATTAGCCAGGCATGGTGGCACGCAGCTGTAGTCCCAGCTACTTGGGAGGCTGAGGCAGGAGAATCACTTGATCCTGGGAGGTGGAGTTTGCAGGGAGCCGAGATCACGCCTCTGCACTCTAGCCTGGGTGACAGAGCGAGACTCCGTCTCAAAAAAAAACAAAAACAAAAACCAAACAAACAAAAAAAGAAGTACAAAGGAGGTAAAAAAAGATAAGTGTAAAAAAAGATAAGATTTGTGGATGTGCACAAATAATGCTACTGACACTAACAGCTGAAGCAATACCCAGAACAGTGGCTGGCATACCAGGAGAGCTTTTCCAATTTCTCTGAGCAAAAGTATCTCCTCTTCAGAGAAGCTTTCTCTGAGCACACTGACAAAGCAGGGATAGTCAGACTCAATTAACCAATTATAATTTCTAGATTGCATGTATTAATCTTTAAGTAATCTTACTTATGTCTTTATTGTCTATGTTTCCCCAACAGAGTGTGAGTTTTTTGAGGGTAAGAACTTTTGTCTTGATCACTAGCTCCAAAACAACATATAGCCCTACAATGGTGTTCAATTAATATCTGCTGACTGACTTCCTGTTGATATTTTGCTAAAAGACTTTAAGGTTATCTGCAAACTCAGTTTTCAATATGTACTACTTCTCCCCAATAATTTATATTTTAAAAGCCAAATAAGATCAGACACACTAATCTGTAGAGATCTTGAGAATACCTCAGAACATAGACATTTTATTTCTAACCCTTGCTTATTGTCATCAAACCAGCTCCTCACAATCTCATGGTTGCTCCTTTTACCAGCATGTAGGGCAGAAAACCTAAAATATTATCTAAATAAGGCACATTTTAAAGTTCACTTGCTCTGGTATGTACATAGCACAGCATGAGGTAAAAATAACTTCTCCTTCAATAAACCACACAGGATTCACCCTATTAGGCTGCATCTGCTGAGATGTTAAGGGACTCTCTCCTTTAATATATATCTCACCAGTGTAGTGGTAGGACCAGCAGGCTCCCTGGATTCTGTAGTTCCCAAGCTCTCCTACTGAAAGGTTCTTTGAAACTGAAAGACTCTCTAAAATGGAAGTCACAGCTCTTCAATACAGGAGCTCTGGGTATTGGCAGAAGGTAGAACTTACTGCACTGTGATAATTCAACTTTGTAATCCACTAATAATTTAATCCTGGTAAAGTTCCTGTTCATTATCTAGGACTTTGATATGGTTTGGATTTCTGTCCCCGCCCAAATCTCATGTTGAATTGGAGGAGGGGCCCAGTGGGAAGTGACTGGATCACGGGGGGTGGGGGTAGGGGGGGAAGATTTCCCCCTTGCTGTTCTTGTAATAGTGAGTTCTCATGAAATCTGATTGTTTAAAAGTGTGTGGCACTTTCCTCTGTGTGCTCTCTCTTTCCTGCCACAATGTGAAGAGGATCCTTGCTTCCTCTTCAACTTCCACTATGATTTTAAGTTTCCTGAGGCCTCCCAGTCATGCTTTCTGTTAAGCCTGCAGAACTGTGAGTCGACTGAACCTCTTTTCTTCATAAATTACCTAATCTCAGGTAGTTCTTTACAGCAGTGTGAAAAAGGACTAACATAGAAAATTGGTACCAGGAAAGTGGGGCACTGCTATAAAGATACTTGAAAATGTGGAAGCAACTTTGGAACTGGGTAACAGGTAGAGGCTGAAACAGTTTGGAGGGCTGAAAAGAAGACAGGAAGATGTGGGAAAGTTTGGAACTTCCTAGACACTTGTTGAATGGTTTTGACTAAAATGCTGATAGTGATATGGATAATGAAATCCAGGCTGAGGTGGTCTCAGATGGAGATGAAAAACATATTGGGAACTGGAGCAAAGGTCATTCTTGCTATGCTTTAGCAAAGAGACCAGCAGCATTTTGCCCCTGCTCTAGATATCTGTGGAACTTTGAACTTGAGAGAAATGATTCAGGGTATCTAGTAGAAGAAATTTCCTTTTTTTTTTTTTGTTTTTTGAGATGGAGTCTCATTCTGTCACCCAGGCTGGAGTGCAGTGGCGCGATCTTGGCTCACTGCAAGCTCCGCCTCCCAGGTTCATGCCATTCTCCTGCCTCAGCCTCCCGAGTAGCTGGGACTACAGGCACCCGCCGCCATGCCCAGCTAATTTTTTGTATTTTTAGTAGAGATGGGGTTTCACCGTGGTCTCGATCTCCTGACCTCGTGATCCACCTGCCTCAGCCTCCCAAAGTGCTGGGATTACAGGCGTGAGCCACCACGCCCAGCCCTCTAGCAGAAGAAATTTCTAAGCAGCAAAGCATTCAAGAAGTGACCTGGCTGTTTCTAAAAGTGTCCACTCATATTTGTGAACAAAGAGATCTGAAACTGGAACTTATATTTAAAAGGGAAGCAGAGCATAAAAATTTGGAAAATTTGTAGCCCGGCCATGTGGTAGAAAAGAAAAACCCGTTTTCTGGGGAGAAATTCAAGCCTGCTGCAGAAATTTGAATAAGTAAAGAGGAGCCAAATTTTAATAGCCAACACAATGGGGAAAACGTCTCCAGGGCATTTTAGAGACATTCACAGCAGCCCCCTCTCATCACAGGCCTGGAGGCCTAGGAGAAAACAATGGTTTCATGGGCTAGGCCCAGGGCCTAGCTGCTCTGTGCAGCCTCAGGACATGGTCCCCTGTGTCCCAGCCACTCCAGCTCCAGCTGTGGCTAAAAGAGGCCAAGGTATAGCTCAGGCTGTGTCCTCAGAGGGTGCAAGCCCCAAGCTGGCAGCTTTCACATGTTGTTGGGCCTGCAGGTGTGCAGAAGGCAAGAGTTGAGGTTTGGGAATCTCCTCCTAGATTTCAGAGGAGGTATGGAAACACCTGGATGTCCAGGCAGAAGTCTGCTGCAGGGGCAAAACTGTCATGGAAAAACCTCTACTAAGGCAGTGTGAAGGGGAAATGCAAGGTTGGAGCCCCCACACAGTCTTGCTGAGGCATTCCCTAGTGGAGCTGTGAGAAGAGGGCCACCATCCTCCAGACCCCAGAATGGTAAATCCACAAGCAGCTTGCACCATGTGCCTGGAAAAGGCACAGGCACTCAATGTCAGTTGGTGACTGCAGCCATGGGGGCTATAACCTGCAGAGCCACAGGGGCCAGGATGCCCAAGGCCTTGGGAACTGATCTCTTGCATCAGCATGCCCTGGATGTGAGACATGGAGTCAAAGGAGATTATTTTGGAGCTTTATGACTTAATGACTGCCCTGCTTGGTTTTGGACTTGCATGGGACATGTAACCCCTTTGTTTTGGCCAATTTCTCCCATTTGGAATGGGAGCATTTACCCAATGCCTATATCCCCATTGTATCTTGGAAGTAACTAACTAGTTTTTTATTTTACAGGCTCATAGGTGGAAGGGACTTACCCTGTCTCAGATGAGACTTTGGACTGTGAACTTTTGAGTTAATGCTGAAATGAGTTAAGTCTGGGGGACTGTTGAGAAGGGATAATTGTATTTTGCAATGTGAAAAGAACATGAGATTTGGGAGGGGCCAGGGCAGAATAATAGTGGTTTAGATTTGTGTTCCCACCCAAATCTCACAACGAATTGGAGGAGGGGCCTGGTGGGAGATGACTGGATCATGGGGTAGATCTCCCCTTGGTGTTCTTGTGGGTTCTCATGAGATCTGATCATTTAAAAGTATGTGTCACTTCCCCCTGCATTCTCTTCTGCCACAATGTGAAGAAGGTCCTTCCTTCCTCTTTGCCTTCTGCCATGATTGTAGGTTTCCTGAGACCTCCCAGTCATGCTTCCTGTTAAGCCTGTGAAACTGTGGGCCAATTAAACCTCTTTTCTTTTTAATTACCCAGGTAGTTCTTTATAGCAGTGTGAAAACAGACTAATACAGAATCACAGGTTTCCCTTCCTTGAAGACATGAAAACCTCATTCTAATATGGCATTCCACAGCAAGACCCTAGAGAAAAGCTGTTGGCTTAGAAACTAGGGAGATGGAAAATCCTGGTCCTCCCACTTGATGGTAATCAGAAACAACCACACCTCAGCTAAATCTTTCGGGCAAGGGAATGCTTACTACATGTGCTCACTTCACTTGTCAAATGGAGATAATGATTACTGCACTGCCTGTTTTGTAACCCTGGCAGGAGATGAAAAAAGATACAGGAAACAGGCCAGGCGTGGTGGCTCATGCCTGTAATCCCAGCACTTTGGGAGAACGAGGCGGGAGGATCATGAGGTCAGGAGATCGAAACCATTCTGGCTAACATGGTGAAACCCTGTCTCTACTAAAAATACAAAAAATTAGCTGGGCGTGGTGGCAGGCACCTGTAGTCCCAGCTACTCAGGAGGCTGAGGCAGGAGAATGGCGTGAAGGAGGCGGAGCTTGCAGTGAGCTGAGATTGTGTCACTGCACTCCAGCCTGGGCAACAGAGTGAGACTTTGTCTCAAAAAAAAAAAAAAAAAAAAAAAAGATACAGGAAACAAAAGAATTCTGCAAGTTGCATGACTCTGCAGCCCAGCAGGGATCACTATACAAACCTTTCCCAGCCACAATGTGCACACATGTACATGCTCCTTCTGCAGCAATAAAGTGGCTTGCTCCTGATAAGCAAAATGACTCCAATTTACCTGGACCCTCCTTAATCTCCTCTTGGCAAACTTCCATGGAAAAGCTTGTTTATTCATTTAGCCATTCTGTAAACATTTTCTGAACGCCTGCTGATGAAAGATAGTCCTGCCCTTATGTCTTCGTGTCAGAAAACATAACACTGACAGTAGTGGGAGATTAAGAAATGGACTCCAAAGACCCTACACCCAAGCTGGAGCCATGAGCATTCAGCTGCCTCACTGTCTACTGTTAGTCATTTTCTTGGGTTGTGACTCAACAGTCACCCTTTTCTGAGGCTGCTAGCTGGATAAAGCACTAAAAGTTTTAATGGAGGAAGCATTAACTTCTTAAGCAAAACCAAGCAGGAAATAGGGACATTTTCCTTCTGCCACCCTCACTAAATGGTTCTCTAAATATGTCTTCAGCCACCTGTCATTGCCATGGCTGGCCCAGCTGCTCTCTAGACCCTTGTGATGGTTGATTTACTCATATGTGCTTACTTGTTTACACAAAGAAAATGATGGTTGATAATGACAAATGTGTACTGCTAATAATCCTGGAAAAATGTCTAGCCCCAGGATCCTGATCAACTAGAACTGATTCCCTAGTGATATGTAATCATTTTTTAAAAAGCATTGAATAGGCTGAGCGTGATGGCTCACACCTGTAATTCCAGCACTTTGGGAGGATGAGGCAGGTGGCTTTCTTGAGCTCAGGAGTTCAAGACCACCCTGGACAACATGGTGAAACCCCGTCTCTACTAAAAACACAAAAATTAGCCAGGTGTGGTGGCTCACACCTATGGTCCCAGCTACTAGGGAAGCTGAGGTGGGAGGATCACTTGAGCCCAGGAGGCAGAGGTTGCAGTGAACCAAGATTGTGCCACCACACTCCAGCCTGGGTGATAGGGTGAGACTCTCTAGGAAAAAAAGCATTGAATAAAATGATATATTGGGTACTTGGGAAATTCTCTATACTGTTTTCCCCTGATAAAGTACAAAGGGGTAGAGGGGACCTCTAGTTCACCCTGCTTCTATTATAGGGGAACAATTTGAAACTCATTAGGAAGAACTAACTTATCCATGGTGTGATGATCTTTTGATGTGTCAACTTGGTACTAATCAAACATCAATCCAGGTGTTGCTGTAAACTATTTTAAAAATGTGATTAAAGTACATAATAAGTTTAAGTAAGGGAGATTATACTAGATAACGGATGAATGCATGAGCCTGATTCAATCAGTTGTAAGCCCTTAAAAGCAAAGCTAAAAGTTCCATGAAGAAGAAATTCCAGGCCAGGCGTGGTAGCTCATGCCTGTAATCGCAGTGCTTTGGGAGGCCAAGGCAAGAATATCATCTGAAGCCAGGAATTCAAGAACAAGCCTGGGCAACATAACAAGACCACATGTCTACAATAAAAAAAATTAGCCTGGTGTGGTGGCACATGACTGTGGTACCAGCTACTCAGGAGGCTAAGGTGGGAGGATCACTTGAGCCAGGAGGCTGAGCTTGCAGTGAGCCATGTTCATGCCACTGCATTCTGGCCTAGGCAACAGAGCAAGACCCAAAAAAAAAAAAAAAAAAAAATGAAGAAGAAAGGAGAAAGCAGACGAGGAAGAAAGAAGAAGAAAGAGAATAAAAGGAGGAGGAGGAGGAAAAAGAAGAAAGGACAAAGAAGAAAGAAGAAATTCCACCTGTGCACTGCAGCTTCAGCTTGTGCCACTGTTTTGGGCTGCCCTTGTCGATGGCCTGCCTATGGGTTTCAGACTTGCCTAGTCAGCCTCACAATTACGTAAGCCACTTACTAGCAATAAATCTCTCTTTCTTTTCTTTTTTTTTTTTTTTGAGATGAAGTCTCGCTCTGTCACCCAGGCTGGAGTGCAGTGGCGTGATCTTGGCTTACTGCAACCTCTGCCTCCTGGGTTCAAGTGATTCTTTTGCCTCAGCCTCCCCAGTAGCTAAGATTACAGGTATATGCCACCCTACCTAGCAAATTTTTGTATTTTTAGTAGCAATGGGGCTTTGCCATGTTGGCCAGGCTGGTCTCAAACTCCTGACCTCAAGTGATCCACCCCCTTCGGCCTCCCAAAGTGCTGGGATTACAGGCATGAGCTACCATGCCCAGCCACCAATAAATCTCTTTACACATGCACATGCATGTGTGCCCATGCCCACACACACACACACACACACACCCCTCTCTCCTACTGATTCTACCTCTCTGGCTAAACCCTGACTGAAACACATGGGCACAGAGCTAGTTGGCTCTATGGTCCTAGAAACCAGATTTTCCAATGTGTCTTACTGCTCACTCTTCCCAACTATTCCTCTAGTTTAAATTACCTTGGTATTACATTTGCAAGAACTCCAGGAAATAGGGAAAACTTAAATTAGAATTAAAGATGCAAAAAGATCCCAGTTAGGTTTGGAGAGCTAGCAAAAGGAACAAATAATTACAAGGCCCAAAAATGTCACCTTTCAGGGAATCAAAGAGGCAGAAAAAGAGAAAATTGACTCTGAGAAGTCCAAGGAAGTGAGCAAAGAGAATGTCTCAAATGAAGGCTCGTATTATCAGCATACCCAAAGGCCCGCCTTCCCCCGATCGCCCTATTCTAACCAGCATGCAGATCCCCCGCCTGCCAGGAGTACCATGCGAATCTCCAGGATGAAGCTAGGCTCAGAACACAGTATTTCACAGGGTGAATCACAGAGCTTAGCTGGGATGTGCACTTGTGTTTATGGCTTGGAGCACAAAACTATTTTCCCTCTATCCACAGGACAAGTTCAGCAACCCTAAAGGCAAACTGGCCTAGGGCCTGGGAAGTGGAGAATGCCTATTCCTAGGCTAACCCAAGCATTAGAGAAGCATCAGGCCGCCATTCTAGACTCAACTGCTCACCTCCTCTGATCCACTGAGGTGTCTCTGGAAATCCTCCACCACAGCCACAGCCTCCTCACCACTCTCAGGGTGATGCAGCTGCACCCAGGTCCGGAGCTCCCCAGGGAGGATGCTCAGGAACTGCTCAAGCACCAGCAGCTCCAGGATCTGCTCCTTGGTGTGCACCTCTGGCATGAGCCACCAGCGGCAGAGCTCCCGAAGCCGGCTCAATGCTTCCTGCGGCCCAGACATCTCGTGGTAACACAATTGCCTGAAGTGTAGCCGGAAGATTTCGCAGACAGGAGGATAGTTCTTCTGGAGACTGCTGCCCTGCCCCCAGGTCTGGTTTGCTGGCTCCTGCTTCACAGTCAGGCGCCCCTCTTGCTTCTGGAAAGCAGTGCTCCTGGGGATGAGGCCTAAATTTCCCCTGCCTGCAGTGGTCATTGTGACCCCAAAGAGAAGCTTGTTACAGCTGCAGTTGGTCCGATTAAAATGATGGTCAATAGTTCAGGTCTCAGGAACTGTTTTTCAGGGTTGGAGAAAGGGGTGATGGTAGTGTGGCCTACAGAAACAAGAGTGAAATCAGAGTTCTTGGAGTATTCAGCCCCAGGCTGATGACAATCCTCCACTGAGTTAAAAAACAAAGCTCCAGGAAAAAAGAACACAACCAGGCATTCTTAGTAAGCATCTCTCCAAATGATGCCCTTCTTAAAGTTTCAGTGGCTCCCATTACCTACAGGATAAAATCTAAATGTCTATGCCTTGCATTCACAGCCCTTCACAACCTGGCCTTACCCCCTTCACAACCAGCCACACCCTCTACCACTCACCCCAAGTACCCATGCTAGAAAGACAGCAATGGTCTCCAATGTGGGAAATGCAGGCTATCCCAAAGGGTGCAAGAGAAAATACTAAGTTATTTAACTCCTATTTAATGTATGTTTTATAATGTGCATTACAATTTGTATAGTAGTATTCATGTTTAAATTACAAATAAACCAATGTAGGGAGTAAGTGATCAAACCTCTTCTACTGATAGAAATGCAAAATAAAGAAAGTTTGGAGCTAAAGCTCTAGAGACACACTTAGAAGCCACACATACTCTTTCTTTGAATTTTTCTTCTTCAACTTTTGGCAAACTTGTCTGTCAAGACCATGAACAAAGGCAACTTTTTCTTGGTTTTCCTGATTGCCCCATCAGGAAGAGTGCTGGTAGCTTCCCTTTGTGTACCTCTCACTATAACCCTTTAACTGGTTTATGCACAACTCACCACTCTCACCCTCCAAACTGCTGCACGGCCACCAAAGGAAAGGAACCAAATGGAATCAGAAAATACTAGACCTTTTTTTACTCAATGCACCTCCCCTAGAAAGCCTTCCTGATCACGCTAGGCTTAGAGAGGTGGTTATTGTCTCAGTGATCCCAAACTACCTTTTTCATTCAAACCTCTAGTAGAGCACATCTCACACTGTAATCGTTTGTGGTTTACACGACTGTCTCCCCTGCTTTCTGGGAGGATACAAAGGGCAGAGCTGACTTCCAGTCATCTTTGTACACGTGTGCACATGGCACACATAATTGGGAAATGAATGAATATGATACATTTAGCTGACACTGAAGTGGAGGAAAACTTTGAACGTTTTAAAATCAGCACCTTACTGGTAACTAGGGCATCTGTGCTGTGCTTCCAGTTCACCAAGAGCCCAGATCCCTGTGTCTCAATCTCTTTAAAAAGACAAAGAAGGACTTTAAAATAATCTGTAAACTCTGCTCTAAGATCCCATATATGTAGAAAGTTCAGGCCATTCTCCTGCTTCCCATAGTGTTCCGAATGCTCAGCACTTTAAAATCTCAATTGGATTTTTGCATTTCCAAGTCACGCTCCACGTTTGCGATTCTGAGCCTGGGTCTGACCCAAATATGACAGTTCATACAGTTTCCTACTGCAAGAGCTGGGAAAACAGCGATCTACCTTTCGTGTTAAACCAGGCTTCAGCAGCGCCGCTCACCTGGCCACGTCTGCCCTGTTCATCGCT